>NC_000008.11:11016420-11320901 GCF_000001405.40 Homo sapiens | reverse complement strand
ACCATTCTTGTATGTATACTTTATGCTATTAAACATAAACATGAATAAATGTGTGCTTATTATCTTCAAAATAACTTTAAAAATTAAATGGTATTTTAGAGGCTTTGTTTAATGAAACACTATATAGTTCAGATAGATTTTGGTTATTTTTATCTTTATTTTTATCTTTTTGAGAAAGTCTCGTTGTGTCACCCTGGCTAAAGTGCAGTAGCATCATCTCTGCTCACTGCAACCTTTGCCTCCCAGATTCAAGTGATTCTCCTGCCTCAGCCTCCTGAGTAGCTGGGGCTACAGACCCGCACCACCAAATTGGCCTGTTTAATTTTTGTATTTTCAGTAGAGATGGGGTTTCACCATGTTGGCCAGCCTGGTCTTGAACTTCTGACCTCAAGTGATCCACTCACCTGAGCCTCCCAATGTGCTGGGATTACAGGCGTGAGCCACCACACCTGGCCAGATTTTGGTTATGTTTTAATTAATAAGCTTCCATACTTAAGGGGATAAGCTTCAATAGTTGGAAAAATCAGTGCATATAAAAAATCTACTTTAGAATAGATTTAAAAATTAAGCATATAGTCCCATAAGAACAATGAAATATCTGTGTTACTGCACTGATGGTATTTTGTGCCCATTTATAGAAACTTACTGGAATGCCCAGCCATGTAACTCTTTAATACCATTTAATACAAGAACCTATCCTAATGACTGCTTCATTAAGGGACAGAAACTCTCCCTGATGAGCTTACAATTTATTCATGTCCCAACTACTTACCAACTCTCTTAGGCAAAGAGTAAGGTACTTTCTTATCTAGAAAAATATCCAACATAAACAGCAATGTAAAGAAACACTGTTAATTTCTCAATGGTAACTGAAAAAAAAAAAAAGTGTGGCTAGATAACTGATTTGAAAGAGAAAAACATGCCCACACTGAGAATGACAATTCACACAGGTCTGAGGGCCACGTCCAGCTCACCATCTTCATACATCACCAACAGCACACACTCACAGGCAGCCGCATGCACACCTGACCGTTAAGAAGTTTGCAAAGGATGCGTGGTTTACCTTCCCACAGTGGAAGACTCTGCGGAGCAACTGAAGGCCAGATGACAAGGTTGTTGGCTTCAAAGAGGGGATTGGTGAATTTACTCAGCTCACTGGGCTGATTAACCCAGGACCACAAAGACATCGTCTTCTGCTGTAGCTTCAACTTACATCTGATCAAGAAAGAACACTGCCATTAAAGTAATTAATTTATAACAACCATTATTGAGTGCTCCTCTTACGAGGACAATTTCTTCTCAGTATGAAAGAAGATAGAATACAAGACTTTTGGTAGAGAAACAAAGTGTTGAAAAATCAATAGATTTGTCAAAAAGCTCAATCGGCATTAGAACTCTCAACAACAACAAAACAAAGAGTATTTTACAGGCTTCCAAGAAGCTGGCAGGAGGATAAAAACAGAATCTGGTCACATCAGGTTTGGTGTTAAACCTTAACCCAGAGAACATTACTGTACACAAAAGTCCTTTGTTATATTTGGGATTCTATTTTAATTAAAAATAGCTAAGCATAAAAAAACTTTCTAACCTTTTTGTTTCTGAGAAGCCTATAATATAAACATAAAAATTATACACTTTTTGACATTTATGTCCTATTTATTTTTCTAGTTTCTTTAAGAAAGGGCTTGTTGTGCAGAAACAACCAGGATAGCTTACAAATATGAATGTCTGGAAAGACCCCCAGGGTCTTCATTATTTACATTGTTTGATAACCACTTTCTAATTGTTTTTTTTTTTAATTTTTTATTTTAATTTTTCCATAAGTTATTGGGGAACAGGTGGTATTTGGTTACATGAGTAAGTTCTGTAGTGGCGATTTGTGAGATTCTGGTGCACCCATCATCCGAGCAGTATACAATGAACCCTAATTGTAGTCTTTTATCCCTCGTCCCCCTTCTGTCCCTCCCCCAAGTCCCCAAAGTCCACTGTATCCTTCTTACGCCCATACTAATATTAAAAGTGGAGGTTGAGTCAAATCTCAAACAAAACTTAAAATTTTTTAGAGACTTAGCTTTTAGGGAAAATAACTTACATGTACATAAAATACAGATTGTCAAAGATGAAAAATCAATGTGAATCTTGACATAAATACATATTTAATCTATATCCACATACAATGAACAGGCTTCATAATAATTCTAAAACTCTGGAACACTCTTTATCATGTGAATAAACTGTTAGAGAAGGATAACAGTCGATCGGCATGTTTTAGAAAAAAATACATTTTAACACAGATTGAAAGACAGTCTGTGGTAAACCTTACATCAACCAAAAAGATAATACATTCAATTCTCATAAGACTCAGTTTAAGCTGAGATTTTATTATAAAATCAGTTTTGTCTCTGAAACCACATGATTATTTATGAGCTACGTGCAACTTACTGCATTCTTTTTGAGCTAGCAATAAAAATAATCCACATAATCATAGAGCCTATGTGGCATTGGACTTTAACTGCTGGGATAGCATGTCCCACGCTATGTTCCCAGGAACCAGGGATGACAAGGACAGGACATTATTGCATCCACTGCCTCCAGCCCTGTGCCCCCTGCCCATGGCCGGCCAACCACTGAACTTGCTCTGGCTGAGCCTGACACCACTTCAGAATCCTTCCCATCAGCATTGCTGGCAGCCTCTACCAACTGGGAAACAGAATGGGAATCTATTTTGATCCCTTCTTGAAAGCTAGTCCTGAGGATATTAACAGGTATAACACCAAAAAAAATTCATCATCAAACACATTTCTTAAATGCTGAATTAAACTTATATACATTGCTTTACTGAAGAGTGTCTTAAAGCCTTTAATGATTATGCGTTAATCATTAAATCCTCCCTTCTAAGTGGGGGAGTTAATCCTCCCCTCTAAGTGGGGAGGATATTATGTCATATTCACCAAACTTCCTTGGCTATAGAAATTGCCAATCCCTCCTGTCCCTCCCTGCCAGAGTACAGTCCAGGGCTAAGCAACACATGCTTCAGAAAATGGTGGCTGCCAGCAATGAGGCAAGGAAGGCTGCTGATTGTACCCTGAAGAGATTACCAGGCAACCTCCCTGAAAGATCATTCTGATGTGAATCTTGTAAATGAACCTATACACTTGATGGTGCCTGGGCTGTAAGGTGAGCTTGCCACTCTGGGCCTGAGGACAGTTTCTAGGTGTAACAAAGTCTGGAGCAGGAGGAGGAAGACCTGTAATTTAGGCCAGGGATCCCCAAACCCCAGGCCATGGACCAGTAAGGGTCCGTGGCCTGTTAGGAACTGGCCACACAGCAGGAGGTGAGTGGCAGATGAGCGCGTATTTCCACCTCCTGTCAGATCAGCATCAGATTCTCAGAGAAGCGCAAACCCTACTGTGAGCTGCGCATGTGGGGAATCTAGGGTGCGCCTTTATGAGAATTCTCCTTATGAGAATCTAATGCCTGATGATCTGACATGGAACAGTTTCACCCCAAAACCATCACCAATCCCGCTGCCACCCAATCCAAAGAAAAGTTGTTATCCACAAAACTGGTCCCTGGTGCCAAAATGGTTGGGGATCGCTGCTCTAGGCCACACTTTTGATGACCAACTGACTCTATGTCCTGGGAAAAGTCACGTAACTTCTCTGGATCTTACTTTCTTAATAAAATTAGAGGGAAGACCTGAATTATAAATTAAGGCTTTTTCCACATGTAAGATACTATGATCCTATGTTAAGAAATTAACATTTAAAATGGTTGCCCCTTAATTCACGTATGGACTAATTTTAACCTAACAGAACAAAGTCTAGGACATGCTCTCATAAAAGAATATACTTCAGGTCATTTAAATTATAATTAACTGTAGCCTCTACCTTTTTATAAATAATTTTAATATAGATCCAAATCGTCGTCTCCTAGGAGATTCTGGCTACTTAGGAAGTAGCCAAAACAACGGAAAAGGAAAGGTCCCCATGTGAGCAGTGTACTCACCTTTCACTTTCATTGTTGCCCAGAAATGTTCCAAACTGTGAGGCATAAGCATGCTCAAAGAGCATGATGAGGAAATTCTCATTAAACTCAAAAGAACAGGGAAACTGACGAAGGATCTGCCACACGCAGTCCAAGAAGAGAAGAAATACAGGAGCCTCCCACTTCTGCTTGGTGTTACAGTAGGCTGACTGTGCACAGCGCTGCTGGAATGGGTGACCAGCCTAGGGGGAAGATGGAGGCGTGACAGTCATATCCTGGTGAGATCACATGACAGAGCATTCTACCGACACCACTATACACAATTACAGTGACACTCCTAGTACCTGGAACATCATATAATTAGGGTAGCTGTTGTACAGATTAATGATTTCTTGGTATAAAATAAATAGCGGCAGCAACTAAGGAAAAAGACACACTTCCAAATCCTTAATGAGGCTGCGCGGCTAAGGTGTGACCACAGGAACTGCACTGCCCTTGGAATATCCCATGGAAGAATAATGAACTTAAGCAATAATAAACTTACAAAATAAACCTTTCTAGGTCTACAAAACCTGGAGCAAAGTCAAAGAACATAAGCTCTCAGTACAAAGAAGAATCATCACCTCTGTCTAACACTGTAGATTGTGCTGTACACTAAACAAGCCTCACCCTAAGTGGAGACAGATATGGAACTCTGATCACCTTTATAATGTCAGCTCTGATAGTAAATCTCTAATTATATACGAAAAGTTATTGTGTTGAAAGATCTTTATGAGTACTTTTCTACAGGAGATAAAGCTGTCATTAATTACCCTCTTCTCCCAAAATGAACAGCAAGAGTCTGCCATCTACTGACCAAAGTAAATTTAAGACTCATTTGACTGTCTTGTTCAGAACCCAAATGCTGACCTTAATACAAATCATACTCTGCTAGGAATTTCACAGATCTGCTTTGTCTCTGGGTCCTTCTACTACTGTATGTGACAAAGGTAATGACATAGAAATTTTACAGTGGTTCACAGAATTGTGATATCCATTAAAATAACATAAAAATCAGTCAGTCATACTCATTTGTTTGTCTACTATGCATCATGAGGAATATAGCTCAATAGACTTTCATCAAATATGGAGCATAAACTTAGTATGGTCTGACTTAAACAGAGGTAAGGTCAGTTGTCAGGCAGGGTGGACATGGTGTACGTAACAGCATTAGTGCATGATAAATGCGAATTGTAACCAGAGGAGCAAGATACTCTTTTTGCCAGAAAAATGTCTGCTTTCAAGATATGTAAGCATTTGTGTTCAAATACAATTATTTACCAGCTTACACAGTAGAAATATATTGAAAAGTAATCTCTGTGGAGGATATCAATCCCTGTTATGAGTGAGACTTTTATTTTGGCAGCCATCCAACATTACATGATTCAGTTTTATCTTTGAAGGAAGCTTCACAGGGTGGAGCAGCACGAGCAAAAGGCTTTGAAAGGGTTAAAGCGCTTTCCTTGCAACTACAGGCCCCACTCCCCCTTCCCCGACTGCTTATGTCTTTGATCCGTCAAGACCCAGCTTCTGGGAGATTGCACTATGCTTCCCATTCTTTGTATTTCTCCTGTATGTGATAAAGCACAGCCAACAGGAGTTTCCTAAGTGAAGGAAGTGTCAAGTGAGGAATACAGGCAAAGAGACATCCAGAAACAAGGAGAAGACAGATTAACTGTCCTGCAGTAAATTAAACACACAACTTAGAAATTTTAATCAATCGAAATTTCACACATTATGTCAGCTACCACACAAAGCAGGATCACAGCATCAATAAGCAGTTCCTCTGTGAATCAAACAGCTCTTCTCACCTGCAGCCACTCTCTTTCAATCAGGGCCTCAAAACCACGAATGGTCCTGCTTCTTGGCTCTAAGATGATCTGGGCCAAGGAGGTCACCTGGAGTGTGGAATCAGTTCCTTCTGTTCCGTGAATCAATATTGATGCTCCTTCCCTGATAGGAAAATCAGGGAAGAGTACAAATGGGAAATGTCCAACATGGTCAATGAACTCTGTTAATAACAAGCGTTTATTGAGCACAACATTTTAGTCTACTGAGTTCAGTTTATTTAGTGTATTGAGTACAACATTCTGCTCTGACTTGTAGAGTTCAGAATCTAAATCTAAATCTAAGGCATACGATAGATAAGATTCTCTTGGGAAAAAATACGACTATAATGAATCTCAAATTTCACATGGCAAGACCTCTTTAAGTTATAACAAATTTCACAGAACCTTTTAGCTGAATTTTTCTTTCCCTTTTCAAAACCAAAAAGCAGCTCTTAACACAGAAGGCATTTACCCTTTCTGCTTTAATCGTTGGTTAAAGCCTCTTCTCATCAAAACTATAGACATACACTAAAATTATTTTTCTGACTTTGACTCTACCTTTCCACCATCAGCTGACTATAAGGACACCTTCATAAACTGTAATTCAATCTGGAAAATGAGACCTAGACCACACTTTGAGAAACACGACAACAGGAAAAAAAACAAACATAAAAGTGTCAATCTAGAAAGTCAGTTGTAAAGATACCACTGCATCATGAGACTCAGAAGTGTCTGGGACCCCATTATTCTAAAGAGAATGAAAGAAAACACCAAAACTAAATTTACTACATCTTCTCCCCTCCCCTTCTTCTACCCTTTCTGTTGAAACAATGAAGGAAACTTTGGAAAAAATAAAAACCACCAACTTCACACAAAAGCTTCGGGTTTGGTTACTACTGTCAGTTTTTACCCATGTACATATACACTACATAGAGCTTTAATACGAGGCAATTTCCTCTATTCTCACTCTTATTCTACACTCGTATCCTTCCATGTTTGTAAGTCATCTTCAGAACTAGGATAATAACAGTTGCAGGCATAGCTCGTTCATGGATCTTCCCTTGGTTGCTCTTCACAGATACTGCATTTTCCACAAATGGGAGATTTGCAGCTATCCCACGTCAATTAAGTATGCTGGCACCCATTTTCCAACAGCATGTTTTACTTTGTGTCTCTGTCTCATTTTAGTAATGCTCACAATATTTCAAAATTTTTCATTATTATTACAACTGCTATGGTGATCTGTGATCAGTGATCTTTGATGTTACTTCTACAAGTTTTGGGGGCATCAGGAACCACGTCCATATAAGACAGTGAACTTAATCAACAAATGCTGTGTGTGTTCTCACTGCTCCACTAACCAGCTGTTCCTTTGACTCTCTCTTCAGGGAGACTCTCTATTCCAGGGATCACAACAATATTGACATTAGGCCAGCCAACTAATAACCCTACAATGGCCTGTAAGTGTTCAAATGAAAGGAAGAGTAGCATGTCTCATTTTAGATCAAAAGCTAGAAATGATTAAGCTTAGTGAGGAAGGCACGTCGAAAGCTGAGTCAGGCCAAAAGCTGGGCCTCCTGCACTAGTTAATCAAGTTGTGAATGCAAAGGAGAAGTTCCTGATGGAAATTAAAAGTGCTTCTCCAGCGAACACATAAATGATACAGTGACACAGCCTTACTGCTCACATGGACAAAGTTCGAGTGGTCTGGATAGAAGATCAAACCAGCTGCAATATTTCCTTAAGCCAAAGCCTAATCCAGAGGAAGGCCTTTACTCTCCTCCATTCTACAAAGTTCTATGAAGGCTGAGAGAAGTAAGGAAGCTGTAGAAGAAAAGTTGGAAACTAGCAGAGGCTGGTTCATGAGGTTTAAGGAAAGAAGCAAACTCTCTTGTCAGCGAAAAAATGCAGCTGGTGACTTTAAGCTGAAGCCAGTGATTATTTGCAATTCTGAAAATCCTAGGGGCCTTAAGGGTTACACTAAATCTACTCTGCCTGTGCTCTATAAATGGAACAATGAAGCCTGCATGACAGCATGTCTGTTTACAGCATAGTTTACTGAATAGTTTAAGTCCACTGTTGAGACCTACTGCTCAGAAGAAAAGACTCCTTTCAAAACATCACTGCACACTGACAATGCACCTGGTCACTTAAGAGCTCTGATGGAGAGGTACATGGAGATGAATGTTGTTTTTCTGCCTGCTAAAACAACATCTATTCTGCAGGCCATGGATCAAAGAGTAATTTCAGCTTTCAAGTTTTATTTTAAGGCCATAGCTACCCTAGCTAGTGATTCCTCTGATGGTTCTGGACAAAGTAAATGGAAAACTTTCTGTAAAGAATTCACCTTTCTAGATGCCATTAAAAATATCTGTGATTCATGAGAGGAGGTAAAAACATCAACATTAAAAAGATTTTGGAAGAAGTTGATTCCACATCTCATGGATACTTTGAGGGGCATAAGGCTTTACTGGAGAAGTCACTGCAGATGTTACAGAAATAGCAAAAGAACTAGAATTAGAAGTGGAACCTGAAGGTGGGGCATGGTGACTCATGCCTGTAACCCCAGCATCTATGGAGCCCAAGGCAGGAGGATTGCTTGAAGCCAGGAGTTTGAAGTTAAAATGAGCTATGGCTGTGCCACTGCACTCCAGCTTGGGTGACAGAGGGAAAGACCCCATCTCATAAAAAACAAAATGCTGGGTGCAGTGGGTCAGACCTGTAATCTCAGCACTTTGGGAGGCTGAGGCAGGAGGATTGTTTGAGCTCAGGAATTTGAGACCAGACCGGGCAATAAACAGAAACCACATCTCTGTTAAAAATTGAAAAAAAAAATTAGGTGACCGTGGTGGTGTGCACCTGTAGTACTGGCTATTTGGGAGGCTGAGGTGGGAGAATCATTTGAGCCCAGGAGTTCTAGGCTGCGGTGCGCCGTGATCCTGCCACTACACTCCAGCCTGGGTGACAGAGCAAGGCCCTGTCTCCTAAATAAATAAATAATTAGGAACCTGAAGATTTGACTGAATTGCTGCAATTTCATGATGAAACTTGAAGAAATAAGGAGTTGCTTCTTATGGATGAGCAAGAAAAGTAGTATCCTGAGATAGAATCTACTCCTGGTGAAGATGCTGTGAATATTGTTGAAATGACAAAAAAAAAAAAAAAGATTTAGAATACCACATCAACTTAGGTGATAAAGCAGTGGCAGTGTTTGAGAGAACTGACTCTAATTTTGCAAGTTCAACCGTGGGTAAAAATGCTATCAAACGGTATCACATGCTACAGAGAAATCTTTCATGAAAGGAAGAGTCAATTGATGCGGCAATCTTCATTGCTGTCTTGTCTAAGAAATTGCCACAGCCATTCAAAGCTTCAGTAACTACCACCCTGATCAGTCAGCAGCCATCAATGGGGAGGCAAGGCCCTCTACCAGGGCCAATAACCTCAAATACCAATAAAGTATTTTTAAATTCAGGTATGTATATTGTTTTTTTAGACATAATACTATTGCACAATTAACAGACTGCATTATAGTGTAAACATAACTTTATATGCACTAGAAAACCAAATATTAATAATGAATGTGACTCACTTTATTGCATGACTTGCTTTACTGTGGTTTTCTGGAACCAAACCTGCAACATCTCTAAGGTGTGCCTGTGTGTAATATCCTATTAAGTGATGAACTGCAATTTACTTAATCCTATAGTTGGACATTTAGGTTATGCCAATTTTTGTTACATTGTAGATGATGTACTTAGCTTTTTGTCTTCTGTTGAATTCTTTGGGGGTTCTTAATTTAAAAGTAACAGATTCCCTGAAGTCACTTATGGTTAGGCTAACCCCATTCTCAGGATAAAACCTAATGACTAGGCTGAAGGGGATGAGCATGTACTTTAAGGCTTCTGTGTATATTGCATATGTACCTTAATTATCTGTGGGATATTCTGAATTCAATTCATTTAAACTCTATTTTCATGTTTTCAGTAATTAATTATAAGGGCAAATTTGTATGGAGGTGAAAATAATAGGCCAATATATATCAGAAAAAGGGACTCAAACATGGCAAAATTAACCAAAACCCTGAACCTTCCCAAGAGTCTGGAAGTCTCTGCCTTTGAGGTGGCCAGCTCAAACTAAATGAAGGTGGAAATCATGAGAACTGTTCTGCATTCTGCACTGAGGGATGTCTTAATCTGTATCATCATGCTGTCACAGCTGCAAAATTGAGAAATGTGGTGATTAACTGTTTATTACAATTCCTGTTTCATAAAAAAAACAGAAGCCTCTGTACTCATAATGTAAGGAGAAATCTGGTAAACTTAGGTTAAAAAGAAAAAAACCCTCAGTATTAACAAAATCATTATGTATTTGTTATTTCTCTGCCACAGAACCTTGGTCTTTAATTCCCACAGTTTATTAGGTAAATGGGCTTCACCTAACGCCTAAAACAGAAAGAACAGGGATAGCCTGGCAATCTTGACCCCAAGGGACTCTACCTTGATGGCTCTGTTGCTAACTTACCACATGATTTCAGCAACCCATTCTATTATGAATTTCTCTATAACCATAACAAATTAGGTATATATTTCCCTAATTTGGAAGCATCAATAAAACAAGTTAAAGTCTCAAAGAAAAGTGCCATCTATCCATGTGGTGATAATACTTATATCTACCTACTGTTTCAGTGGAATCCCCTTCTTAGAAACGGCATTCTAAGCTTCTGCAAGAATTTGTGCCAATCCTTCTGCCTCTGTTCAAGTCTTCTGCCACAAGACTCAAGGATTAGCAACCTTTAACTGAGTGAATTAACTATATGAACTAAAATCACTTCATATACTCAACATCACTACCACTAGGTGTTCTCAACTTGAGATCCAGATGTAATCGCACATATCAAGTAGTATGAAATAAGATATCCCGGAGGTTAGAAAGGATCATTTTACTGTGTAACAAAATTACGTTTCCTTTCGCTGATATTTCAAAAGTAAGGAGGTAAGTTCGCTCCTCTAAGAAAAAATAAGAAAACTTCCTTTCATTCTATTTCACAGTTTAAGAAAAAAATTGGCAAATTCATGATTTAAGGGTGTACTAGAAAAAAAAAACGGGTCCATTAGTACTTAAAAATTTGTGTCATAGAAGACATGTATATTTACCTGGTTCATATTTATGAAACAAACATTATCTATTAAATGCCAGACTCTAGGCACACACCTCATCAATAATGGGATGGTGTTGACTAGCCTACACAGTAATTTACTGCAAACTTTCACATAATCTATAAACATATGTCTGGATAAACACAAAGTCTAGTTAGCAGCGCCATGTTTCGCTCAGGAACGCTGAAATGCACTTTACCTGTCGATGCACTGAGCCGCTAGGCAGGCAGTTGTCAGAATCTCTTTGATGTGAGTCAGCCAGTTAGAGGCCTCCAATTTACTGAGCCATCGGTCCATGTTATGTGTTTGGTCATTACAAGCTTCCACAAGTTTGATTAAGCTCTCCTGAAGAATGTGATACCTTTTAAAAGTAAGAAAGTAAAAAATAACAAACCCAGAAAATAGAAAGATAAAGAAACCAAACCAAAGATTCAGCCTCCAACATATCTAAGAGCAAAAGTAGTTCAAAATACTATAAAAATATTTACCCTGCTATAATTTGAGGATTAAAGGTTGAAAAACTAATATTTAAACATTGTTGCAAAGGCTTAAAATGCCTGCCATGGTAACGTATTCCTTACCTGAACAGATTAAACCCAGTTCACATACCTGGATTATCTGACTATAGGAGAGGCCAGAGCCCTGCGTTTCATGACAGGTCAGGAGACACAGCACCACTTACATTTGCAATCCTGTTCCCACCGATCTAACACTAGAGACCCAGTGCCATCAGCAGCCTTACCCAACCCAGCTTGGATCCCACTGTTTTCTAGCTACAGCTCCCATTCACCCACCTAGAGACACTTATAAATCACTCTTTTACAGTACAAACAAGAGACAATAGGTGGAGGAAACTGTGCGAAAATAGGTCGATATGGGGAGAAATTAAATCTCTAAAGTCTTTGACTTAGGAAAATATAAGTATATGTAGCAAATCTGTTCAGTGTAGCAACTGCTGATCTACCTGCAGAGGAGCTGGCCTTGTGGTGATGAGACCACAGGGTTGGCTTAGAGAAAGAATGCTAGTGAAAGGGACTCCTGCAGGCCTCCAAGAGCACAGCTTTCGCCTATCAAACACAAAGGCTGGCTGTTCAAAAAGAAAGATAAAACTAACAAACCTTTAGCTGAAGGTTCTTTCACTAAAAACAGAGAGAAAAACAATGCAAATGCATACAATCAGAAATAAAGATGAGATATTACAACTGATATCACAGAAATACAAGGGATCATAAGAGACTACTGTGAACAATTACACATTAACAAATTGACTGGATAATCTAGAAGAAATGGATAAATTCCTAGAAGCATACAACCTACCAAGACTGAGTCATGAAGAAAGAAAATATGAACAGACCAATAATGAGTAAGGAGATTAAAAAGACCTCCCATCAAAGAAAAGCCCTGGTCCTGATGGCCTCACGCAGTACCTGATTTTAAAATATGCTACAAAGCTAAAGTAATCAAAACAGCTTGGCACTGGCATAAAAACAGACACATTGACTAATGGAACAGAATAAAACCCAGAAATAAATCCATGCATTTATGGTAAATTGATGTTTGAAAAAGTTGCCGAGAACATACAATGGGGAAAGGAGCTTCTCCCATGAGTGGTGGTGGAAAAACTGGGTATGCACATGCAGAAGAAACTCAACCCTTACCTCACACCATACTCAAAAATCAACTCAAAGTAGATTAAAGACTTAAACATAAGGCCTGAAACTGTAAAAATCATTAGAGGAAAACATAAGGAAAAAGCTTCTTGACATTGGTCTGGGAAAAGTTATTTTGGATATGACCTCAAAAGCAGAGGCAACAAAAGCAAAAATAGACAAATGAGACTGAACAAACTAACAAGTTTTGCACAGCAAAACAATCAACAGAGTAAAGAGACAACCTATGGAATGGGAGAAAACATTTGTGAACACCACACTGGATAAGGGGTTAATATCCAAAATATGTAAGAAACTCAACTCAACAGCAAGAAAACACAAAACCTGATTAAAGAATGGGCAAGACCTGAACAGACATTTCTCAAAAGAAGACATATAAATGGCCAATAGGTATTTGAAAAAAAAAATGCTCTGCATCACTCATCAACAGAGAAATGAAATTCAAAACCACAATGAGATATCACCTCACCCCTGTTAGAATGGCTATTACTAAAAAGACAAGATTTAACAACTGTTGTTGAGAATATGGACAAAAGGGAACCCCTGTACAATGCTGGTGGGAATGTAAATTAGTATGGCCACTGTGGAAAACAGTATGGAGGCTCCTCAAAACATTAAAGATGAAACTGCAATAAGATCCAGTAATCCCACTTCTGGGTAAATATTTTGAATATCGGAAACGAAATCAGGATCTCAAAGAGGTATCTGCATTCCCACGTTCACTGCAGCACTATTCACAATAGTCAAGATATGGATTCAACCTAAATGCACGTCAATGGATGAATGGATTAAGAAAATGTGGTACAATACACAATAAAATACTATTCAGCCTTAAAAAAGAGGGTAGGCCAGGCACAGTGGCTCATGCCTGTAATTTCAACACTTTGAGGGGCCGAGGCAGGAGGATCACTTGAGGTCAGGAGTTCGAGACCAGCCTGACCAACATGGCAAAACCTGGTCTCTGCTAAAAATACAAAAATTAGCCAGGCGTGGTAGCAGGCACCTGTAGTCCCAGCTACTTGGGAAGCTGAGACAGGAGAATCACTTGAACCTGGGAGGCAGAGATTGCAGTGAGCTGGGATCGTGCCACTGCACTCCAGCCTGGCTGACAGAGCAAGACTCCATCCCAAAAAAATAAAATAAAAATAAAAAAGAGGGGAAGCCTGTCATTTGCAATAGCACAGATGAACCTGGATGACATCATGCTATATGAAATAAGTCAGGCACCCATGCACAGAAAGATAAACACTGCATGAACTCACTTATATGTGGAATCTAAACAAGTTAAACTCATAGAAACAGAGAGTAGAATGGTGGTTGCCAGAGGAAGAGAAAGTAGCAGGAGGGGTCGGGGTAGGAGGGACACAGATATGGGGACATGTTGATCAAAGGTAACAACAAAGTTTCACTTAGGAGGAATTAGTTCTGTAGGTCTATTGTACAGCATGGTAACTGTAGTTAAAACTAATATATTGTATGCTTGAAAACTGCTAAGAGAATAGATATTAAATGTTCTCACCATCCAAAAAAATGATAACTATGCGACGTGATAGGTTAATTCACTTAATCAGTTCACAATGTATATGTATATCAAAATAGCACAGTGTACATCACAAATACATGTAATTTTTATTTGTCAATCAAACCTTAATAGAGCTGACCAAAAAAAAATGAGAAGATGGCTAGCCCATCATTGACCCTAAATTAATGCAGAAGTTAATTTGAGCACTTGTGATTTTCAAATGGCTAAGGCCTTACCCACTATAATTAGCTTCTAATAAGAGTCTGTACTATCTTTGGAATCTTTTACCTCTCAATGGACTTATGAATTCGCCTCCACTGAGGATAATGAGCTTCTTGTTCAAAGCCACCTCCTTTGGCTCTAGTTTGCTGAGCCACGTTCAGGGATCGGGTGTCAATGATGTAGCCACGCTTTCCAGCCCTGAGGGTAGCATTTATCAGCTTCTCGTCCTCCTTGCACCTCCTCCCGTTTGTACCAGTGAGTGGCTGACCACTTCGCATAATTACCTAGAAGCATAATAAAGCTGAAAATTCAACAGCAGTTGCTTTTAAAGTTTCTGAAAACAGAAAGAAATTAGCTAGATTAAGAGTATCTCAAAAACAATTGTGTGACACTCTGCAGATGGATTTGATCCATAAACAAAGAAATATTTGCATGTATTGACAATAGTTAATAACTATAAAAGATAAGCCTTAAGCTTTTACACAATTTCTCTGTCTCAAAATACTGTCACATAATAAATTATATCTCCTCTTTAAGATCAAATATTGCAATTCATTTAGTGTGTGAATCAAATACCTGTAGACCTGGACCTGTAATAAAGACAATAATGGCCTATGAGCCAGTAAACCTTGACTTCAACTAAACATACATAGAGTTGGCAGGTTTTAACAACAATTATAAGAAGTAAAGGCACCAGTGGCAAAATTTAAAAGTTCAAACACTGTTCTCATTGTTTGGGAAATCATTTTCACTACCTCAGAAGCTGACTGTCTATTATGTATTCTCCAGTGGCCTCTACCATCCTTTTCAGTATTCAAGGATTTAACTACTTGTTTCTAAAAACTACCCCACCAACTATACATCTGGAAATGTTTGCTTTTGAAACTTTTCTCTAGAAATCAATGTCTATTATACTAATCTCTTCCCTGGCGAATGGTTTAGAGTTCTTTCAAGACGCCACCATTACAAGGTAGTTATCTTAACTCCTTGTTTAATCCTGACTCCAGTGTTTACTAGAGTTGTGACTAAATGACATGAGCATCACTCTTTTCACCTTTGAAAATAAATACGTCTGCTCCACCTTTCACGTGTAAAGTTGTTAAGAAAAATTCAAGTATTTTACCATTATTCTGAACAGAGAAATTTCTCATTTTTCTACCAGAAGAATGTTGCTGTAAGCATCAAATAAACACTAGTTTCCTTTGTATAGTGTCCTGGAGATAAAGCTATCAGGGCTTTTATACGGCTGAGCAGGATCATGGAAAGAATTCAGCATCACATCCTCACCACAGAAAACACCCTACTCCTGATTCCCTAAAGCTTACATGAAGGAAGCCCTTGTGGTGGAGACCTGGACAATCATTTCAGTGAACAGACAGAGAGCAAAAGGGAACATTTCTACGAAAAGATCCCCAACCCAAGCCTTTCAGTACATCAAGCAGTAGTGCTGTGCACTTACCATCCCATTTTTTTTGTGGTAATAGCTTAGTACTGGGAAGCGCCCTCCATGTCGAAATGTAGCTACCTTCCGAAGAGCTTCATCATCGATGGATTTGGGCACTGTGACAATTGGTGGGTAAGAGGGACAGACAGCAAATTCCTTATTGACATAGCTTAGCCTCCATTCACTGGTCTGAAAAACACAAAATACTTCAAAGCTAAGCAACTATCTCAATGTCGCAAAATAATCTGAGAAATTTTAAAAGACCTTAGAGGTCAACTTTCACTGATGAAGAAGCCATTTCTCAGGAATTTCACAGGTGGATCTCTAGCTTATATGTAAGTAGCTGCAGAGAAAAGGAGCTCTATGGTTCAGGGCCAGCTTCCTGCATTGCTAGGTATCACCAGTTCCCAGAAAGTGCTTTCTCACACTGAGCAAAACTTGTTGCTCTGTAGCTCCCTCTATTGGTTTTTACTGTACTTTCAGACAACACCGTACAAGTTCCCTATTTTACACGGTATCCCATCAAATGTTTGAAAGACAGCTGATCCTCCTTAGTGTTCTATTCTCCAAGTTAAATATATTAAGCACATCCACAATTATCACGGCCAACATCATCCTACTTCTTCCTTTTCTGGGTCCCATTTAGTTTGTTAATGATCCTCTTAAAGCACAAGTAAGACTGTACGACTCCAGATAATGCATCCCCAGAACAAATGAGAACACAGCTACTATCTATATCAAACCCTTTGTTTATTTTAAAAAAGGTAAAAAATGTACTAAGATTGGTAACACCTTTCTTAAAACAGTACCAACTCAATACTAAGGAAGGTTAAGCTTAGGAGTCAATGAAATAATTTCAAACTGAGTAAGGACTAGAAGTATACAATATAAAACTATCAAATGACAACTTATTTTAAACATCAGAATTAAAAACAGCTTGAACACTGTCAAAAGGTTTTACAGTAAAAAAAAAAAATCAAATTATATGTAAATTTCAATATGTTCTGTATATCTGAGTTGGCCTAACCATGGGTTACAATAGCAGGAAGATAAAGCTAAAAAGTATGTTAGACGTACTAACAGACAAGATTATTACTTTTAAAAAATGCTTTTATAAGATACAGTATCACATTTTTAATTAAATTTTTTCACTTTTCAAAGTTATTTATGTTACCAGTTTAAAAACATAGTTTCTAGGCTGGGCACAGTGGTTCACACCTATCATCCCGGCACTTTGGGAGGCCAAGGCAGGCAAATTGCTTGAGTTCAGGAGTTCAAGACCAGCCAGGGCAACATGGCCAAACCCCATATCCACTAAAAATGCAAAAATTAGCCAGGCACAGTGGCACACACTTGTATTTCCAGCTACTTAGGATGCTGAGGTGAAAGAATCACGGGAGCCCAGGAAGTCGAGGCCACAGTGAGCTGTGACAGCGCCACTGCACTCCAGCCTGGGCAACTGGAGTGAGATTGTTTCAAAAAATAATTAATTAATTAATTTAAAAAAAACACAGTTTCTAAAGATTTATTATTTTTAAAAAAATGTAGTTATCTGTTCCTTGCTAGCCCATCCCAATTTGCTTTCCCCAAAGGCAATCATTTTCAACATTTTTAGCTTTTTCAGTGTTTACCTTTACATTTCTAAACAACATGATAATACTGTTATTTCTTGAACTTTCACTATGATATATTATTATTGATTTCCTACTCTGGAGAATGACAGGGCTCTCCATTGATCTGCAATGCCGCTTCTGTTGGTCCAAATGTACTGTGCTCTCCATCCCGTCGCACTTGTCCACTTTAGTAACTCCTATAGCTTTTAAAATAAGTTTGGTATCTAGTAGGCCAAGTGTCCTCCTCTCACCTTTTTGTTCTTCAAAGAGTAACGTGGCTCCTCTTGGTCTTTTGGTCTTCCATGCAACTTTTATCAAATTCAATATAAAAACCAACTGGGGTTTTTATTAAGATTGTATTGACTTTATAAATCGGAGGGAATGACTTACATCTTTAGAATATTCAGTCTCTCTATCCATGAGTATATTGTCTTTTCCATTTGTTTAAGCTTTCAAAATTTTTTCCATAAATTTTTATAATTCTCTCAATAAAGGTCTTACTATCTTTTCTTAGATATATTCCTAGAAACCCAATAATCTTTGTTGCATTTTAACTGCATCTCTTCAAAATTGTGTTTGGTGTACAGAAATGCCTATGATCTCAAGATTCTTTCCTTTTCCTATGTAGACAAGCATATAATCAATAAATATTGACAATTTTGCTACCTTCATTTCAATCCCTATACCCTGTATTTTTCCTTCTTGTCTTATTGAGCTGACTAGAAGTAGTCACAATGGACATCCTTGCCTCATTCTTGAACTTAGAGAGAATGATACAAGATTTGCTTTTTTTATGTTTTTGGTTTTGGTACCCATCCTTTATCAGATTAAATAAATTTCCTTCAAATCCAACTCTAAGAGCTTTTATCATAAATAGATATTGATCAAACTTTTTTCCTCTGTTAATCTAACACCATGCAGGTCATTTGTCTTTTAACTTTGTGGTATTTTCTTTGCTTTATTGTTCAGTAGCTGAACAACAACATGTCTAAAGATTTTTTTATTATCTTGTATGGTATTTGCTGGGATACCTCAGCTTAAGGGTTCAATAACTTCTACTGATTCTGGAGAATTATCAACCATTATGCATTTGAATATTGTCTTTCTTCTATCATCACCTTTTTTTTTTTTTTGTCTTCCTCTTTTTTTTTTTTTTTTTTTTTGGAGACAGGGTCTTGCTCTCTCACCCAGGCTGGAGTGCAGCGGCATTATCACTGCTCACTGCAAACTCAACTTTCTGGGCTCAAGCCATTCTCCCACCTCAGACCCCCAGGTAACTGGGACCAAAGACACACATTATCACACCTAGCTAAATTTTTTCATAGAGATGGGGTTTCACCATGTTGCCTAGGCTGGTCTCAAACTCTCCTGAGCTCAAGTGACCTGCCTGCCTCAGCCTCCTTAAGTGCTAGGATTATAGGTGTGAGCCACCATAACCAGCCTCTATCATCTTTTATCCTAAACTCCCATGTAATAAATATTGGATCTTCTTCCTTTATTAAGCATGCATGTGTCTAACCTCTCTGTTTTTCCATCTTCCTTCTCTGTTCCATATTCTGAGTAATTATTTCGGATCTATATTTCAAATCACTTATTTTCTCCTAAGCTGTTTCTAATCAGCTACTTAACATTTGCATTAGATTATTCTTTTATCTTCTTTTTAGTCAACTTTGAGACAAAACTTATAAAAAATAAACTGAATCCATTTTGACTACACAATTTCATGAGTCTTGACAGTTGTATACACCTGTGTAACACCCAATACTAGGAAATCACTAACCTGCTTTCAGTCACTTTTGGTGTCATATCTAAAAAATCTCTGTCTAACTGAAGGTCATAAAGATTTTCTCCTGTGCTTTCTTAAAGAGGTTTGATAGTTTTAGTTCTCATGTTTAGTTGCATAATACATTTTAGTTAATTTTTGTGGATGATGTGAGGTAAGGGTCTAGGTTTATCTTTTTTACATATGGATATCCAACTGTTCCAATACTATTGGTTGAAAAAGCTATCCTTTCCCAATTGAATTGTATTGGTACTTTTGTCAAAAATCAACTGAGCATTAAGGGGAAGGTTTATTTCTGTACCCTGTATTCTGTTTCATTGGTCTGTATGTCTTCGCTTACAGCAATACCATACTCTCTTGATTACTGTGGCTTTACAGTAATCAAGTGTTTTCTCAAAGCTGTTTTGACTTTCCATATAAACTTATATATTTAAATTTGCATTTCCATAAAATTTGTATCATTTTGTCCATTTCTACAAAAACACCTATTAGAATTTTAACAGGGATTGCACTGACTCTACAGATCAATTAAGGGAGAACTGCCACTTTAATGAGCCAAATCCAGCCTGCTACTTGTTTCTGCAAATAAAGTTTATTAGAACATAGCACCACCCATTCACTGATGTCTCATCTGATTGCTTTTTTCATGCAACAACAGCAGAGTTCAGTAGTTACAACAGAGACCACATGACCTGCAAAGCTTAAAATATCTACTATCTAATGGTCTTTCACAAAAGTCAGCCAACCACTAACCTGAACAATATTGTCTTCCAATTGATGTACACAGTATCTCTCCTTTTATTTAGATCTCTTGCAACTTCTTCCAACAATGTTTTATGTCTTTCAGTGTATAGACCTTGAATTTCTTTTGTTAAATTTATTCGTAAATATTTTATTCATTGTCAGATCGCTTGTTGCCAATTCAATTCGTTTTTGTATACCGATCTTATATCAACCAACTTTGCTAAACTTACTTATTCTAGTTATTTTATTGCTTTCTGCTCTTATTTTTATTATTTTTTCTTTCTAGTTACTTTGCTTTTTTTTTCTAGCTTCTTAAATTGGTGCTTAGGTCAATAATTTTAGACTTTCCTTTCTAGTAAAAATTTTAAAGCTGTAAGTTTATCTCTAAACACTGCCTTAGCTGTCTGTATTCCACAAATTTCAATATGTTACATAACCATTATCACTCACTTCAAAATGTTTTCTAATTTCTTTGACATGCAGATTATTTACAAGCGTTCTGTTTAATTTAGAAATACTTGGGGGTATTCCTAGATATCTTAGTATTACTGATTATTAATCTAATTCCTTTGTGATCAGAGATCATACTCTGCATGGCTTCAATCCTTTTAAATATATTAAGATTAGGAATGGATAAGTCAACTTCACCTTATTACTCTTCAAAAGAAGTGATCATTTTCACAAGTCAAATAAGGTATTGGGTTACTTCTCATAATCCACAGTTCTCAAAAGTTAACTCACAGCTGAAGAATAGAGTTCAAATTCTTGCTCAGGAAGGAAGGAATGCCAGCCATCTTCTATCACTTCAAACATAGGACGGTAAAAGAAAGGGTACATCAGAGTGATGGAGTCCAGAGTAGACAATGCCTGGGGGCAAAAAGAAAAGAAAGACAAAAAAGAAACATCCACAACTGGAAACATATTCTAACTGACAAATTAGTATTAAGCAAACATGGTCTAATAATGATGGGCACCCAGAATGTTTCTCTAACATTGTGTTTATCACCAGATACAATTTTAGTCTTACTGAAGCTGATTTCTTTGCTTCTAGTATCTAACAAAGGCATCTGCCACATAACACACACTCAAAAGTGTTGACGGGATGAAAAAAAGAACAAAAAAATGTGCATACCAATTCTAGAAGAAAAATGAAATAACACCTCGACATCAATTAATAAAGCTTAATAAAAAGGTCTAAGTATTTCTGGGGATCAGTTTTTGGCTAGTCAGTAAGGTCTTGGCTCAAAATCCAGTTATTACCTAAATAAACTTATGTAAATTATTTGAAATCAGGGTGGGTTAGTAACTGTAAAAAAGGATGATACAGCCTAGAGGTCTACAGTCAGATGGGAATGAGAATGCCGGACTGAAATTCCAAATCCTAGCAGTGCAGTAGGAAAGTCATGTAACCACTCTATGCCTCAGTTTCCTCAACTGTAAAATGGGGGAAATAACATACCTACTTCATAGTGTTGTTGAAGCATTAAGAGAGATAATGTGTGTAAAAGGCTTAGAACAGTGTCTGGCACATAATAAAATCTAAAGTAATTCCCACTTTTATTCTGAGACAGAGTTTTGCTCTTGTCACCCAGGCTAGAATGGCGCGATCTCGGCTCACTGCAGCCTCCGCCTCCCGGGTTCAAGTGATTCTCCTTCCTCAGCCTCCTGAGTAGCTGGGATTACAGGTGCCTGCCACCACACCCAGCTAATTTTTTTGTATTTTTAGTAGAGATGGGGTTTCACCATGTTGGCCAGGCCAGACTTGAACTCCTGACCTCAGGTGATCTGCCTGCCTCAGCCTCTCAAAGTATTGGGATTACATGTGTGAGCCACCGCACCTGGCCAATTTCAGCTATGACATGCTCTACATAGGTAGAAATTCCATCAATGTTCATTTCCTCTCTTCCTAGACTGGTATATGCCATTTGGTCATGTATCATCATATTTTCATGCTGCAGGGATCCATTCTCAAATGGGGGCAATAACTCTATCAGCCCCAAATGGGCCTATATTTACCTGGAGCACTTGAATCCTGGAAAACAGACATAGGAAAACCTGAGTAGATGGGAGGAACAGAGAGAAGGAAAGTCTCTATCACTAGGCAGATTCATCCTTCTCACAGGGGGATTATGGAAAAAAGTATTTCTATACTGGATGGCGGGGGGGGGGTGCAGCGGGGAAAGGATACCATATCAATTAGCATAATTCAAACTGCAGGAATGATGGAGACATTCACCTGGACAGGAGGAGAAGGCCCAACAGCAATGCTCAGAATGCACTTATCTCCCTCCAGGTCAGAGGAAGATCAGGCATGCAAAAGGATAGGCCCATGACTATTCAATAGTAGACCGGACATACAGCTCAGCAGTGTAGCAAAAACATCTCCATCCAAAGTTATTTTTCTATCCATCTATAAATCATGAAACCTTCTCTCCTACCTCATAAAACAAAATATAGAGAAGCATGGCTGTATAATCCATTATCCATATAAATATATATATATATATTTTTCCTACATCTATACTGTCTTTGGCTGCCAATCACACCAAACAGAAGCAGAACAGCCAGCGTCCATGTCTGACCTAACTCAGGGCTGCCGTCAATCAGAACCACCATTATTTTAAATGCAAGTCAGCAACCACTCTCACAGGCAATAAGCACTCATATTTCATCTTGAGATCTTATGTCACTAGAAAGAGGTCTTTTCCTTTAAACACATTAATGCTGAGAGAACTGAAAACATTTCACTTCCAAAGGCAGGTGAAACACTGAAAAAAAGCTTCACTAACTTATTGCTACAATTTAGATAACTGAGCACTTGCCAGCTATTCTTCCAATGGGATTCTACGTGAGGCAGCAGAATATATTTGAGTATACGGACTCCTAATTACAAAGGACAGCTCAGCTATGCTATATGAAAAATTCAATTACTACTCACAAATCGTGTCCAGATGTATTCGGGGAAGGGTGGAGGGCTAGCAGGAGGGATTCTGTGCCAGGAAAAGGATAGAGGACAGGTTCACTATGTTAATCACTACGCTGTAAGAACATTTAACAGAGCATTCATTTTCTGAGGTCAAATGAGCTCATAATTTACGGCTTCTTTTCAGTCCTAAGGGCTTTTATATAATGAGTCAGTTTCTAAAGAGTTTTAAAATATATACAGCTACTTAAACAACTGATCAGCGTCAGCAAGTGGGTAGCACACTTCCCCTTTTCCTTCACCACTGTGCCTCACCACAGGCAGCATCTCTGACACCAACCAGCCAGTCATCTTACAGATCAATTCTCACAAAGGAATAAGAAAAACGAAGACTGGTCAGTGAAAATCCAATCTCCTAACTGAAAAAAAAAAAAACCACAAAACCCACAAACACATACATGCTCAATGGAAGTGGGTAATGTTCCTCTGCCCAAATGCCCAAATAGTGGGACATTATTTCAATTTAACAGTCTATAAACTACATGCATTCTCATTCAATTTAACAAATTACATCAAATCAACATCATGCATTACTTCCAAATGACAGATGTGTAAGACAAACAGTTCAGTTCATCTTCTCATTTCCTTAAGTAAAATTCAACAAAGGCAGGAAGAAATGTGTTATGTACCATTTACTTAGCACTATAACAGTTTTTCCTCTATTTCTCTATTCCTGTTTTAAAAATCACTAAAATCCTACTTCTAGATTTTTAAGACTTTCTACCCATTTTTAATAGCTAAGCTGATAGCATTTTTTGGACACAAAGTCCAGATTAGTTACACATACACGGAAAGAAAAAATCAACGTTCCTATAGTAGTCTAGAAAGTACTATAAACCTAAGATTAACTGATATAATTTAGTGGCAATAGTTTAAAATAAGGCAATTTAAAATTTCAGTGTACATCAAAATAGTTGGTTAGAATGGAAAGAAAACAGTATGAGCTCTTCCATTTAAACTAACCAAGTAAAATTTCTATTATTTGTAATCTGAACCAATATTCAATATTATTTATATAAATAAAAAGCAAACACACCCTGTCTTAAGCTAATTGATACGTGAAAATTCAGATTACTAAAAACAAACAAAAAACTATAATCACTGGTGACAGTTACTTGCTTTAGAAAAGAAATAACTTTTTAAAAGTCTCACCACATGCATCCATAACAATGGAATATTACTCAGCCTTAAAAAGTCAGAATTTACAACACAGATGAACTGTGAGGATATTATGCTAAGTGAAAAAAACCAGTCACAAAAAGACAAATACTATGTACTATGATTCTACTTATATGAGATACCTAAAGTAGTCAAATTCAGAGAAACAGAAAGTAGAATGGGGGTTCTCAGGAGCTGGAGAGAGGGGAAAATGGGGTGTTGTTTAACACAGAGTTTCGATCTTGCAAGATGAAAAAGTCCTGGAGATCTGCTGCACAACAATGTGAATAAAGTTTTATACCCTACTAAACTGTACACTTAAAAACGGTTAAGTGTTTTCTAACCACAATTTTTTTAAAAAAGCATCACCATAAAATTATAGTAAGTAATGACAGAGGACCCTCAAATGGTAGCTGCTATTTACCAAGTATTATACTAACCATTCTACACACATCAACTAATAAAATTCTTACAACAGCCCTAAAAGATAGGTACTATTATCCTTGTTTTATAAAACGTAGAAAACAAATCAGAGAGATGTTAAGTACTTTACCAATGGTCACAAGCTAGCATGTGGTAAAATCAAGAATCAAACTGTGCTATCGTTCAATAATGTACTAATACATGTAATAATGTGTATATATATATGTAATAATATGGTACAATAATATTCTAATTTATTAATATTTCTATTCAAATTTTTAGAACTGTATTTATTACAAAAGATATACTAGTATATTCAAGAAGAAACAATTCCACTTCTAGCTGCTAACCTGGTAGAGAAGTGAACAGTGCACTGGTTAACTCACTAGTGGTTTGCAGTGTCTCTAAGGAACTCTGTAGAGGGCAGATGGGAATAGTCAAGTCAATGAGGGCTTCTAGGTCCCCCCAGTCCCTACCTACTCACTGTAATGTGACTAAAAGCAATTCTAACTGTATCTATTTTATTGGTTTACAATTCCATATAAGATTTTACTTGAACAAACCTCAAGTAAAGGAAAGAAAAAGAAGTTTACAGTCTTTGGCACAGAGCTTTGTATAGTGAACATAAAATATCAAGCAAAACTTTAAAATTTCTCCCAAGAACCTCTTTACTAAATCTTCTAATGGTTTCCCCAAATAAGAACTCATACACTCAAGTGAAACAGTATCTGTTATTTAACCAATATGAACTCATGGAAATTCCACAAAGCCATTGGAAATGGAATTCCAAGCAACTCATGGAATTGAGCTACTCATATAACGTGAGTAACACCAGACACTGCTGGAAGTCAAGAAAGTTCCATTACACTCATATGACGATGAACCAGGGTGAGGCTTTTCCTATCAGTCTTCAGTATTTGAGTCAGAGAACATGACTAAATTATCTAATGAAGAAATGGAAGAGCTACACTGAGTCATAATATAAAATTATGTTTCATTAGATTTTGCTTCCAAAATACTTACCTCAATGGAACTGGCTATATTCAAGCATTCCTCCATTCCAGGAATATCCAACTGAATAATTCGAAAATCTTTACATTTTATGATGATGGTACCCAGTGATCCTACAAATCTGTAAGAAATTGCAAATCATGTTTAGGAACACATATATTACTAACTTTAAATATATTATTATTTCTTTGAAAAGAGAATATAGTTGTAGTTACCATCTATATTAACTTTCTTCTCCTCAGTCTAATTAAGGAAGAAGCAAGGCTGCATCATTAAAATGTGAGCCATACATTACTTACAATATATGTCTTTTTTAAATTTCAAATATATAAAGTAATTCACATTAAGCTAACTGTTCTGATGGAGATTATTTGGGGCCTTATTTCAAAGAATAGGAAAAAGATCTGTAACTAATGTGTTAAGTGTTTGTAGAGAGATATTTCTGGAGCATAGGAAAACAGTTCACTTCAGATTTCCCTTACTTCCAAGTGATACATATTATGTATCAATTTATAAAAAGCAAAAGGGCCGGGTGCCGTGGCTCACGTCTGTAATCCCAGCACTTCAGGAAGCCAAGGCGGGTGGATCACGAGGTCAGGAGATCAAGACCATCCTGGCTAACACAGTGAAATTCTGTCTCTGCTAAAAATACAAAAAATTAGCTGGGCGTGGTGGCATGCAGCTACTCAGGAGGCTCAGGCAAGAGAATCGCTTGAACCCGGGAGGCAGAGGTTGCAGTGAGCCGAGTCTGAGCCACTGCACTCCAGCCTAGGTGACAGAGTTGAGACTCTGTCTCAAAAAAAAAAAAAAAAAAGTGAAAGTATTTGACAAAATCTAACATCCATTTCTGATTTAAAAACATGAAAAACCAAAAATTTCTCAGCAAATTTGAAACAGAAGGGAACTTCCTCAACCTGATAAGGGCATTTACAAAAAACCCCACAAAAAAACCCCTAAATCTAATAGCACACTTAACGGTGAAGGATTGAATTATTTCTCTCTAAAATCATGAATAACACAAAGATGTTCACTGTCACCACTTCTAGTCAACATTGCACTCAAGGTTATAACTAGTGCAGTAAGGTAAAAAGAATAAAAAAGGATTAAAAAAGAAGTAAAACTACCTTTATTTGCAGATGACGATTGTGTAAATGTACCCAGAATTTTCTTTTTATTGTCAATTATTCCCCAAATTCATCCAGTGATACAACATAATTCCAAACAAAATCACAGCAGACTTTAATGTAGAAACTGAAAAGGTGATTCTAAAATTCATATGGAAATGCAAATGTCTTCAAATAGCCAAAACAACTTTGAATAAGAACAAAGTGGTATGGCTAACACTACACAATTTCAAGGCTTACTATAAAGCTACAGTAATTAAGACAGTGTGAAAATGACATGATGATAACAGATCAACTGAACAGAAAAAAAGAGTCCAGAAATAGATCCACTTACACGTGAACAGAGATACGAAGACAATTCAATTGAAGACAGGTCAGTCTTTTCAACAAATGGTGCTGGCACAACTGGATAGCTTTTTTTTTTTTTAAAGAATTTGAATCTATAATCATGAACCATATACAAAAACTAACTCAAAATGGGACCTTTTACCTAAATGTAAAACCCAAAGCTATAAAACTGCTAGAAGAAAACATGAGAGAAAATATTTGTGACCTTAGGTGAGGCAATGGTTTCTTAGATAAGACACTAAAATCCCAATCTATAAAAGAACAAACTGACAAATTGGACATGTTCAAAATGTAAAACGTCTGCTCTTTGAAACACAGGGTTAAAGAGCATGAAAAGGTAAGCCACGGGGCATTCCTGTAGGCTATTGAGGACTTCATCAACAGGCTACACTAAATTTACTGTTAAAATGTTTCTTTCTTCAACAATAAATTAACCTTACCTTACTGTAACTTTTTTACTTTATAAACTTTTTAATCTCTAACGTTTTACCTCTTTTGTAATAACACTAAGCTGAAAATACAACACACCATACAGCTGTACAAAAATATTTTCCTTCTTTATATCCTCATTCTATAAGCTTTTTCCAATTAAAAAATTTTTGTTGGTAAACTTTCTTGTTAAAACCTAAGACACAAACACACACATTAGCCTAGGCCTACACAGGGTTGGGATCATCAATGTCACTGTCTTCCATCTCCACATCTTGCCCCACTGGAAGGTCTTCAGGGGAAATATTAATAACATACATGAACCTGTCATTTCCTGTGATGATAATGCCTTCTTCTGGATAATTCTTGAAGGACTTGCCTGAGGCTGTTTTACAGTTAACATTCTTTTTAGAAGTATAAGCAGTATACTCTAAAATAACAATAACAAGTATACTATAGTAAATACATAAACCAGTAACAAAGTCGTTTTATGATCGTTTATAAATATTATGTGATGTATGCAATGGTATGTGCTACATTGTTGTGTAACTGGCAGCCCAGGTTTGTTGTTTATACTGGCATCACCACAAACACAACGTCACTGGGCAAGAGAAACTTTTCAGGTCCATTATAATCTTATGGGACTACCATCATATATATAATAAATCACATGACTGTGTATGAATATACAAACATACACTCTCAAAACGCAGTAAGAAAGCAAATAATCCATTACAAATGGGAAAACTATATGGATGGTCACTTAGCAAAAAAAAGACATATGGATGGCAAATAAGCATATGAAAAGATGCCCTACACCACTAGTCATAAGGGAAATGCAAATTTAAGCCACAGTAAGATACCACTTAACATCTATTGGAATTGCCAAAATTTAAAAGACAGACCATAGCAAATGCTGACAAGAATGTGGAGGAAATAGAACTCTCACACACTGCTCATAGGTATGTAGAACTGTAGGTACAAGCACTTTGGAAAACAGTTGGGGCAGCTTCTTAAAAAGTAAAACACATACCTACATCTGATCCAGCCATTCCACTGGCAAGTAAATGGCTTGCCACCCAAGAGAAAAGAAACCACATGTTCATTCAAAGACTTGCATAAGAATATTAAAAACAACTTTATTTAATAGCCTCAAATTGGAAACCCACATTTCCATCACCAGGTGAATAAATGAACTATGGAATACTGCAAAATGGACACTTAGTACTCAGCAATAAAAAGAATGAACTATTGATATATACAACATGGACAAATCTCAAAAGAGAGTACTGCATGATTTATGATATACTGACATAAATTTCTAGATAATGCAAACTCATCTGTGACTACTTGGAAAAGAAAAGAAGGAAGGGATTACGAAAGGGCACCACAAAACTTATGGGGGTGATAAATTCATTATCTTGAACTTATGGTGACAGTTTCAGGGTGTGTACATATATCAACACACATCAAAGTTTACACTTCAAATATATATAGTGTGTAATACGTCGACTGTACCTCAATAAAACTGTTTTAAAAATCACTGTCATTCTGCTTCAGCTGGAAGTGAAAGACACACAGCAACCAAACTGTCAGTAAAAAAACAAAAAAAATGTACAAGACATACGGTTATTCTCTTGTAAATTTCCATATCATCTATGCTTGTCATACTAACTCATTTTGTAAGGTGAATTTTGTTTTGTTAGTCTGGCAGGTTTTATGTAGTTGCTATAAAGTATAATGAATGACTAGAGGAGTTAAAAATAATTGTTACTTTATGTCAGAATAAATATGCTATAAACTATTAAGGTATTCTCCATTCATTTATTCAATGTTTCTAGTCAGTTACTTATAGAACAGTGGGCCAAGAAAAATATGTTTTAAAAACATAAGAGCTCCACAAAACTCCTATGATTCACATCAATTGTCAGATTCAGTTCTATTTTATCATTTTGTCCTTATTGTCCCATCCATGCCCTGTATACATCCCTATCACAGCATTTAAAATACTTTATTAAACTTTCTAGTTTATATGTTTATTTCTTATAATGGTCTTAGTTTTTTCAGGTAGAAGGCATGTTTGATTAATTTCTATATCCTCAGCTCCTAGTACAGCACCTAGCATATACACCATCTTAAAGTTCCACTAAGGGACTTAAAGGAAGATCTGAATAAATAATGTAACATTGTTCATGGATGTCAAGATGTCAATTTGACTCCAATTAATCTATAAATCCAAAACAATTCATTTTTTTAAAATCCTATGAAAATTGTATAAAGTCTGTGGTCTAGTTAATAGTACTGCACCAATGTCAATGTCCTAATTTTGTCCTCATTTTGATTACACTACAGTTATAAAACAGGTCAACATTAGGGGAAGCTGAGTGGACGATTCTAAAACCTCTATGTGCAATTTTTGCAACTGCCTTTGAGTCTTCAATTATTATTAAAGACTTTTAAAAATCCCATGAACATAGCAAGTTTTCCAAAATTGCATGGAAACATAAAGGTCGAAACATAGTTGTCAACTTTAAAAAAAAAAAAAAAAAACGAAAGCGGGGCAACTAGCACTATCCGATTTTTGGACACATCACAAAGCCACAGAAGGAAAGAGAATATGATGATGACAAAAGAGCAGATTAATGAACCAATGGATTATGACAGAGAGCTCAGAAACAGACCCGTATATATAGGATAACTTGACATAAACCAGCCAAGGTTGGGTTGTCACGTGATGGGATTAAGAAAACTGGCTTGCTCTATGGAGAAAAATAGGTTCTTATCACACTTGAAACAAAGATAGAATCCAAATTAAAGACCTAAAAATGAACAGTAAAACTATGAAGCTATTATGGAAGAAAATGTAGGAGAACATCCTGGTGATTTGGGGACAGGGAAGGAGTTCTTAAGACAAGCCACACACCATAAAGCAAAACATTGGCAAGTTCTGCATTAAAAGTAAAGATTTCTGTTCAACAAAGGGCACCACAGAAAAAAACAACAGATGGGTGACACACTAGAAAACATTCGTAATGCCTAAATGGAGAATGAACACCCACAGAGTATACAAGGTACCCATGCAAATCAACATGAGAAGGACAATAAACCCAATGTTTAAAAGTAGACCACAGAAATTAGGCAATTCACAAAAAGGAAAAAAAAAAATTTTAAGTATACTGCTCACAAGCATATACAAAGATAATTAAACACTAATAATTAATGAAATTCAAATTAAAACAAAGCAATAACTATTTCACAATCTTCAGACTGGAAAAATTAGAAAGACAATACCAAATGTTGGTAAGAAAGTGGAGACGAGGTACCCTCTCCTGCACCATCATGGGAAGGCAATGTGCAATTGTCATCCTGGAAAGCAATTAGTTTGTGAAATGAGATACGCACCTACTTTATGGCGCCATCCCATCCTAGGGGCAGTCTCAGAGCAATTATGGCACAAGACTATATAAAGGGACATGAATGAGTATGTTTACCAGAGTTGTTTGTGATAGCAGGGAGTTGGAAGTTACCTAAAAGGTCTGTTAAGGAAGCTCTTTTAGATACTTTGGAATCCTATGCTGTCAGAAGCAGTGAAATGGTTGTACACACAGCAATATGAAGAGATCTTGAAACAGTATTGTGTCACCATATTAAGAAGCAGAACAAGATCTACAACATAATCCCAGTTAGGCAAATTAAACTCACACATGCATGTGTGCGCACACCCATACACAATAGTGCTATCTATTTTATAGCAACAACTAACGTGGTTGCCTACAGGGATTGTGGATGAGGCAGGAAACGGGAGTGAAAATTAGGGAGGAAGAAAATCAACAACAGAGGAAACCTTTTAAGGAATCAATCATGAAAATGATGAGTCATCAACTGAGTAGTAGTAACTCAATTTTCTGAGGTCCATTAAAAAAAAAACCAGGTATAACTGTAAAACTTGTATACAACCTTGCATGTTGAAAGGATCAAATAAAATGATGTAAGCGATATATATGAAAGTATTCCACAGACTTGTGAAGCATTATTTAAACTTAAGTTTCTACGAGGTTAAGTAGTTTGCCCAAAGGCACTTGTCTAGTAAGAGGCAGAACTGAAGGAGTTACCCTTAATGACTTTCTCACCTCATTTACAATTCACCAGCAAGGCAAGGCAGCTCCACTTTCAAAAACACATCCCAAATCAGATTCCTTGTGACTACACTACTGTTTTTTGTTTGTTTGTTTGTTTGTTTTGAGACAGAGACTCACTCTGTCACCCCAGGGTGGAGTTCAGTGGTGCAATCTCAGTTTACTGCAACCTCGGCCTCCCAGGGTGAAGTGATTCTCCTGCCTCAGCCTCCTGAGTAGCTGGGATCAGAGACATGCACCACCAAACCCAGCTATTTTTTGTATTTTCAGTAGAGATGAGGTTTCACCATACTGGCCAGGCTGTGTCGAACTCCTGACCTCAGGTGATCTGCCCGCCTCGGCCTCCCAGAGTGCTGGGATTACAGGCGTGAGCCACCGTGCCCGGCCTACCATCATCTTTTATGTGAACTACTCTACTCTCCAAGCTGGGCCTGCTGCTTCCAGTCTTGCCCCCCTACAGTTTATTTTCTGCCAGCAGCCAGAATTGTCTTCTGAAACATCTATCAGCTGCTGCTTCCTAGCTTTCACCTCTCCAAGGGCTCCCATGAAAACCATTACTGTGGCCTGCAGGCCCTCCACGGTCTGACCACTGCTTATCCCTCCAGCCAGTCTCTACCATCAACTTCCTGTACTCTCTGTTCCCTGCCCTGCAGCCACACTGGCCTCTTCGCTCTTCTCTGCACATGCCAAGCATGTTCCCCATCTCAAGTCTTTGTATTCGCTGTTCCCTCTGGCTGCAATGCTCTTCCCCCAGACACTCACAGTTCTAGCTTCCTCATTTCATTCCGGTCTGTAGTCAGATGTCACCTGCCTTCTCTGAAATCCTTTCTAAGGAAACTGCCTCCCAGTGCTCTTTATCCTCTCATCTTCCGTTACTTTCCTTCCTGGCCCTTATTACCTGACATCATTATATATATATTATATATATATAAATATATTATATATTTATGTATATATATTATATATACATATTATAATATATATTATATGCTATATTATACTATATTATAATATATAATTATTATAATATAATTATTATTATTATATATTATAATTATTAATATATTATATATAATAATTACATGTATTAGGTGAATAGGTGAATAAATAATTATTCACCTATTCGCTGAATAATTAGGTGAATATTTAGGTGAATAATTATTTAATATAATTAGGTGAATAATTATATATATTATATAGGTGAAATATAATATATATTATATAATACGTATTATATAATATATATTATATATCATACGTATTATATACTATGTATTATATGTAATATATATTATATAATACATATATAATACATAGTATATAATACGTATGATATATAACACATATTATATAATATATAATACATATTATGTTATATATAATACGTATTATATATGTTATATATTATAATATAATATATAACATATATAATAAAATATATAATGTTATATATTATATATTATATGTATTATATAATATGTATTATATATAATATATAATAAATATATAATAAATAAATAATAAATATATAAGAAAATAATATATAATATATAATATATATTATAATATATATAATATATAATAAACATAATAAATATAAATATATCTAATAAATATATATATTTATTTCTGGACTTGCTTGATTGTCCATCTCCCTGGCCAGTACCTAAGCATCTTGTCTTAGTCACCACTGCAGCCGCACAGCTCAGACAATGCACGTGGAAAACAGGTGGATGTAAAGATTTCTTGAAAGCAGCAATTTAACAAACTCTGATCTGATGCCTCCCCTATGCTCTTTCACTACACCACGCTGCTTCCCAGGAAAAGGATAAATGTGTGTACAGTTCGTCATTCTCTCCTAACAGATTCAAAGGTCCATGGCTCATCTGCTTCTTCTTCATGTACTACAAAGCCCAGCACCTTGTAAATGCAAGGTAAAAAGGAGGAAACAAATGAGCGCAAAGTAACCACCATAAAAGGTAAATAAGAAAGGAAAGGTAGTTGATGGTCATGGAGAAACTACTCAGTTGTATTCAACGGCATCTGACCATTCAGCGGTCAATCCTTCTTTTGTTTCCTACGCGTCTATATGCCCAAGCCACAGTTAGACGTTTCGAAGGAGATAAAAATGAATTCCAGTTGTGGAATTAACAGAAGAATTTGTGAAGGAGGTAGCGGTCGAAATGGTTAAACTGAATACTCATAGACAGGTAACAGGCTCATTGCCTGTGAACTCCTGAAAGACAAGAACTGTAACATATTTTATTTACCTTGGTGTCTTAAATGCCTAACAAAACGTCCAGAACATAAAGGCATTTGGCAAATGTTAAACAAACTTGGGAGAGGCAAGGCATTCCAGCAGAAGGAAGAAGTCAATAAAATACACAGATGACAGAATACAGGACATATACCAGCACCAGTAAATAGTGAGGACTGGCTGGTAAAAAGCGTTCATGAAAGCAAGTGCAAGAAAGGCTCGTTAAAAGAAATGGCAAGAAATAAAGTGAGAAAGTAGGATAGGGCCGAGACACAGAATGCCATGAATGACTGAGGGGTTTAGATTTTCAATGAGAGACCACTGAAGACTTTTTTTTTTTTTTTTTTTTTTTTTGAGATGGAGTTTTGCTCTTGTTGCAAAGGAAGGAGTGCAGTGGCCCGATCTCGGCTCACTGCAACCTCTGCTTCCAAGGTTCAAGCGATTTTTCCGCCTCAGCCTCCTGAGTAACTGGGATTACAGGCACCTGCCACTATGCCCGGTTAATTTTTTGTATTTTTAGTAGAGACGGGCTTTCATCATGTTGGTCAGGCTGGTCTCAAACTCCTAACCTCAGGTGATCCGCTCACCTTGGCCTCCCAAAGTGCTGGGATTACAGGCGTGAGCCACCGTGCCGGGCCCACTGAAGACTTTATACAGCAAAAGGTGGCTTGAGGAGACTAATAAGAGCCCCCTGCTCATATCAATCAATCAATCTACCATGGCTTCACCCAAACTGCCTGCAATTCTACCATTAGAAATTTTTATTTTAGGCCAGGCGCAGTGGCTCACGCCTGTAATCCCAGAACTGTGGGAGGCCTAGGCGGGAGGATTGCGAGGTCAGGAGTTCAAGACCAGCCTGGTCAATATGGTGAAACCCCATCTCTACTAAAAAATACAAAAATTAGCCGGGTGTGGTGGCGCGTGCCTGTAATCCCAGCTACTCGGGAGGCTGAGACAGAAGAATCGCTAGAACCTGGGAGGTGGAGGTTACAGTGAGCCGAGATTGGCCACCGCACTCCAGCCTGGGCAATACAGTGAGATTTCGTCTCCAAAAAAAAAAAAAAAAAAAAAAGAAAGAAAGAAAGAGATTATTATTTTAAGGCATATCCTCTGTACGAATCTTCCTAATATCCAAATTATCCTGTGAGGCAATAGAAAATGTTGTCGTCATTCATTTATACTTCTGTGTAAAACGGATAATCAGTTTGCCCTCTCCTGGCTAGCGAGTAGCCACTAAGGAGATGGGAATTTTGAATGCAGATGAAAGTTTAACTTTTTGACTTCGAGGCACTGCCTTGGAAAGATAAAGTCTGGAGTACAAAAAGAAAAAAGAGGTTAACTGGTCCATGCCTTTCCTTGAGAGCCAACCCTGTTCTTTCAGCAAGCAGAATTGAGTAAAGATGAAGAGAAGACATCAGAATCTCCCTTAGTGAGAATTAAATTTTGATGACCCAGAAGGTAAGAAATAATATGATACACTGAACATTTTTCAGAAATTAAAAAAATGGTTCTGTAGCATGTAGACACTCATAACTTTATAATCTGTTTAGTTTTCCTCAGAAATGGTAAAGACTTTACCTAAATCACATCCAATCACTTCATGAACGGTGACTGACAATACCAATTCAAGGAATACGATGGGGCAAGAAGAAGAAGAAATTTATAAAGACAATGCCGAAAATCCACCCAAATGGTGTTACGAACCAGAAATGATCATCAGGATGGTACCAGCCACACGATAACCCTGAGAACTCCATCCAGGTTTAATGGAAACCGGGTCCTCCATCTGGACGGGTTTCAGCTTGGTAAATCCTGATTCTAGGCCACAGAGGGCTCATCTTGCCGGCTAGCTGGGCGGCAGGCTGCGCGGAAAACGCCAGGAAGTATTTCCCGGGGCGCCCACAAGGGACCCCCGGCTCCCTGCGGAGCTGGGGTGGGGCGGGCACTCACCGCTTGTCGATGGCGTCGATGTTTGAATGGAGGAGCCACAGCTCCTCCGTATTGTCCTGCCGGGAGGACAGGATCAAGTGGTGGCCCGTCAGGCACAGGGTGCCCTCGACAGCCGGGTAGAAAGGCCGGTGCAGCACCACATTGTCCACCCGCGGGGTCTTAATCAGCTCCGCAAACTCCATGCTCCCCCGCGGCCGGAGCCAGGGAACCGAGCCCGGTAGGTGCGAGGCGGTTACCCCGCCGCAGGGAAGTAGCGGAAACACCCGGCGCGGGGCTGGCCCGTGGGGCGGGGCGGGCCGGGCGGTGAGGCTGGGCCCGCCCCAGGCTGGGTGGGCGCGGCGAGGCCTACAGCCGCCGGCACCGGCCGCGGGGAGACAGGGGCTGGGGCTGGACGAGGCCCAAGCGCCTCTCCCGCACCGCGCGGTTCACCAGGCCTAGGACTCGGCCACAGAGAACCCCTCTCCACAGGCCCAAGGACCGCCGCTGCCGTTGGGCTCCGGGTCCCGCGTTGGCAAGCGGAGGGCAGTAGGAGAAAGCCGCCTCAGAATCCGCTTCCACGCCCTGGCCGCTAGGGACTCCTAGCGGAAGTGGCTACTCGCTGCTGGAGCCCACAACAACTCCGGGCGGAAGCAGCAGGTCTCGAAACTCGGAAGACGCGGAAGTCGCAGCCGGAAGTTGGTCCTCGCTAGGTCCTCTGGAAATGCCTCCGGAAACACAGCCAGACCAGAAGATGTGTGTTCCTACGAGAAAAAAAGCTTGTCTTTGCCTTCACGCCCTCCCGCTGCCTTTCTTAACCACCTACAAATATTCCTTATCAGAAGAGGTCCGGGAAGAGGGAGGAGGTCCCTGTCTTGCCTTCCTCCGCTTGAGTAGTATCCCCTCCAGAAGCTCTTCAGAGCGTGGGGCTGCTGTAAATTGTGATAATTGTTATGCATTAGCCCTGAAGACATGGCAAGTAGGGGATGGAGGCGGTGACTGTGACCTTACGGAATCCTCCAGGGGTCAGGGAGGGACACAGGGCCACTCCACAGGCTCTCCGAGAGCGCCGCGCCACGAGGTGTAACCTGGAGCAAGAAAGAGGAAAAACAGGAATACCTGTGAGAGGAACCCAAGTACATGCAGTGCACAGAAGAGCAAGTCACTTGACTTGCTGGCGGCCACCCCGTTAATCTGCAGCAGAGCCTGGACTTCAGTCTGCATCTGTGAAACCCAGCGCATGGGTGCGTTGGTCACCACCGCACAGCCTCCCCGTCAGACACCCACGTTTCGCCAAAAATTTATTCAAATAATTACTCCTTTGCTTGTTCCTTTCCCACCGCCCACTTCTGACATTTTTATTCAAAAGTAGGAAATAGAAGAGAAATATGTTTGAGTGCTGGTCTGCTGTGACTTCATTGACCTTTTAAATCCTCACCATCTAGTACCTAAGCACAGCGAGTTGGACAAACTCTCACAGTATTCACAAAGTAAATTGCCACAACCTCATCAGCTCATCCAACACTTGTCCATGCTTTTGATTTTGTCCTTCTTAAAATGTACCCTTCTTAAAATAAACCACTTTATAGACTTGTTTTAAGTGAGATACGTAAATGCCTACCAACTTTCCTTGGTGTCTTTGTTGCATAGTTACTGTAGACTGAATAATAGTTGCCATTTTTTATATTTTTGCAGTTTAATTGCTTTCGTCCAAATAGATGGAATCACTTCCTTTGTAATATATGAAGTGTTTTAATTCATTTTTATAACTAGCATTCCTGACAGCACAGGTATCCACCCCCTGAAGTTCCCATTCTATAGAACAAAATAGCAAATAAGTATTTTTTTTTTGTTCCATAATGGACACCCAGTATACACCCAGTATACACAGGGACACCGCATACAGGGAATCAGCTTTATTTTACAACAGAGCTTCACTTTACCCCTCTGGCAATTAATAGATTCTGGGTATTTATTAAGAACTTTAAATTTAATGCAAAGACTGTTAAATACCACCAGCTCAGCTCTGGCAAAGGACTGTTGGCTTTGTTTATCTCCTATCTTCATCCAGATACACTGCCATCCCTATCCCAGCCCGATCTTGGGTCCTTGAAAAAAATGACCTATCATTCCAACTACCAGGGAGGAACTCCCTTTGAATTAATGAATCTGGATGACTTATAAGACTTCAAAAGTATGGAAATGACAAAGGTTAAAATGACAGGATGAGCAGTAAACCCTCTCCAGTCCAATCAGAGCAACCTTTTTGAGGGTGCATTCCCACAGAAACCCATTAGGGGCCCAACATCAACATACACAGAGCTAAAATTCCAGATGCCACTTTGTATTGAAAGAAGCCAAAATTCTGTTCAGGTCGTGGGAACTTGAAGTCTTCAATGCAACCACACCCCAGAAATTAACCCTCACACAATCATGTAAGCTATGCAATTAACCAAACTGCATCGTTTAGAAAACCTGTATGCTTTTCATGGAAACCATCCCTAGTTAAGGGCACTTTAAAGGATGCACAGTCTAAGTACTGTGAAGGTGGGCCCACTAGCTGGGTTGACATTTTCGCTTGGCCACTTTAGTAGGAAACTTAACCACTTGGGAAAGTGAAAACAACAAGCTAACCCACATGTTCACCATGGAAAACAATTTTTGTCTTGAAAAACAAGGAACCTTTTCCCTGTGCAGCACCAGTTCCTACTGTGTTTACCAGCCAATTGGACTGGAACCTGTACACTTGGTTTTTAGCCTCCGAAATCAATATAGCTCCCGGCCGGGCGCAGTTTCTCACGCCTATAATCCCAGCACTTTGGGAGGCCGAGGCAGGCGGATCACCTGAGGTCAGGAGTTCGAGACCAGCCTGGCCAACATGCTGAAACCCTGTTTCTACTAAAAATACAAAAAATTAGCCGGGTATGGTGGCGCACACCTGTAATCCCAGCTACTCTGGAGACTGAGACAGGAGAATCACTTGAACCCTGGAGACAGAGGTTGCAGTGAGCCAAGACTGAGCCACTGTGCTCCAGCCTGGGTGACAGAGGGAGACTGTCTCAAAACAAACAAACTATATATATATGTGTATATATATATATATATTTAGAGAGAGAGAGGGAGAGCTCTCAACAACCAATCCCTCATTATACCTTTAACTGCAACCGCCAGACACAAATGAGCAATCCAACTCAAACGCCTTTTTGTTGGGCTAGGAATAACAGTGAGAGCAGGAACGGGAGTTACCGGGCTTGCAACTTCCCTATACTGTTACCAGCACTTTCCAAGGATTTTGTGGAAAGCTTGGATGACATTGCCCAAAGTATCGTCACAACACAAACTCAAACAGACTCCTTGGCAGCAGTTGCTTTACAAAATAGAAGGGGACTGGATCTCCTAACTGCTGGAAAAGGTGGCTTATGTCTTTTTCTAGAGGAAGAATGCTGTTTTTATGTCAACCAATTAGAATTAGTAAGGGATGCCACCCAGAAATTAGCTGACCAGGCTTCTAAGATACGACAACAGCTGTCCAAGTCGTGGTCCTCCTGTTCAAAAATGCTAATTAGGGGTTCATGAGTCCTTCCTCTGACTGGCTCGTTGTTAATTATACTTGCCTTGGTTTTTGGACCATATTTATTAAATACATTAACCAAATTAATTTCCTCTCGCCTAGAGACCATCAAGCTTCAGATGATCATGCAACAAGGTTTCCAGCCAGTTCAGGTGAAGACACCACTACTGGCCATCAAGAAGCTACCCTGTATCCACTAGACAGAGCAGAGTGAGAGTTCTGTGATCCCAAATAGGTAGGCACCGCACCCCAAGTCAGCATGAAGCAGTTACAGAAGAAAGACCATTGGTCCCTCTGCCTCCCATAAAGATTTATGGGGATCATGTCTCACAGCGGGAAAATGAGACAGGAGAATAGGGTCTAGAGGCAGGGAACCTAAGGCCAATTCTCACTGACTTCCTAGAACTGAATCAGAGGGGAAACCCCACCTCTTCACACGAATGTAACGAAAGGATCAGAGGCTACTCCCTTTGCACTGCACTGCAAATGAAAAATGGAAAGTACCTCTGATTGGTCCCCTCCCACAACCATTCAGACTGGTTGCAGGCCAAGTCTTCATGTGTAACTTTGTAACTACCGTCACTTCAGACTCTGATTGGTCACCTCCCATGATCAGTCAGACTTGTGACGGGCCACTCCTTCATTTACATAGGGTGTAACCAAGTAACCAATGGGAAACCTCTAGAGGCTATTTAAACCCCATGCTGCACGATGGCTCACACCTGTAATCCCACCACTTTGGGAGGCTGAGGAGGGTGGATCACAAGGTTAGGAGTTCCAGACTAGCCTGGCCAACCGACATGGTGAAACCCTATCTCTACTAAAATTACAAAAATTAGCCAGGTGTGGTGTGGGCCTGTAATCCCAGCTATTGGGGAGGCTGAAGCAGGAGAATTGCTTGAACCTGGGAGGTGTAGGTTGCAGTGAGCCAAGAATGTGCCACCGCACTCCAGCCTGGGTGACAGAACAAGACTCCGCCTCAAAAAAATAAAAAAATTAAGCCCCAGAAAATTCTGTAACCAGCGCTCTTGAGCCACTTGCTTGAGCCCGCTCCCGCTCTGTGGAGTGTACTTTTGTTTCAGTAAATCTATGCTTTTGTCGCTTCACTTTTTTGTTGCTTTGTTTGTGAATTTTGTCCAATTCTTTGTTCAAAATGCCAAGAACCTGGGTGATTTGTAGTCAGTACTCTCCACCAGTAACAATAATATTGTTGCACCTGAGAGTCCAGTCTAAAAACAAGAACCAACAGAGTAGGGAAGATGAGGGGGGATGATTTACAAAGTTATTTTTTTAAACTGGAGTTTTTGACTTTCTTCATTTATGTGGATAAGTTATAACAATTACCAATTGTGGAATGAAGAATTTAATTACAGAGTGAAGAATCAGGGAACGTTTTATGGAGAAGGTATCATTTGAAAACAGGACCTTGAAGGATGAGGGTCACACTCTGAATGGAATGTGGCCGACAGAGATGTCCAATTTAGTGATATCTCCTAGAGGTGGGGATGCATTTTTCAGTAATTCCATTACCTTTTTCTTTTAGTTTCTTTATGTGGGGGGAGGCACATGAAAAGCTCATGGTTTCATTAAGTGAAAAATGTTTACTTTTCTATAACACCATGAACTTTTTTGCCCATGAAAGAAAATTGTCAATATCATGCTGGATTGTTGTAACAAAACTATTTAAAAATTACATCTACTTGTGTTGAAGCTCAAAGCATAGAAAGCCCTTGAGATCTGAGGAAAACAAAAATTCACTTGTAAGGAATAGAGCATAGAGGTGAGTTTCGGAGATTGAGAGCACAATATGTTACTTTATTATACGAACAGTAGATGGCAGTGGAGTTTAACAGTAATGGATAGGCTTCCATTCTATTAAAATAATTCAATGAAGCTGTAGTCAAACACATTCTTATCCAAACTGCCTGGACATAAGGATCTGAGAGGAGTCTGATAACCCAAAGAAGATGGTGGCATTTATAATGCACGTAAAAGAGTTACTCAACAACTTACAGATGTTATTATTATAATCAGTCTGTGAGATAACAAATGGCATTGATATGTAATCATCTAGACGTTATTCTCCCAAATAGTCAACCAGCTCTTAGTGCCTATTTGGTCATCAGCACTGTGGGGAATGGAAACAATAGGTTTGACATGGCCATTGCCCTCAAGGAGTAATAGCTAATTTGGGAACGCTAACACGTGCCACACTTGGGGAGAAAATACAAAAATTACTGTTGAGTTTTGAAGTACAGATTTACTTTCCTGGTTTTGTGTTGCCCTACTAGGCCGTGAGTACTTAGTAGAAATTGAGGCCTTTTGAATGTGGTTTGAACAAAGCAGGCCGACCGTGTCCAAAATTAGCAGGAATAACTGAGACGGAGAAGACATGGCCTGTGTATGCTCCTAATGAACAGCCATTCTCTGTGTACTTAGTTGTTTTGTATTGACAGTCAGCAGCTGAAACCAACCCAATAACCTCATTCCAGGTCTTTCTTATGTCTTCCCTTCCCTTCATCTCCCCCAAGCAAACCAGTCACCAAATGGATGATTCTGTCTTTTCATATCTCTTGAATTCCTCCACTTCTCCCCATGCCCAAGGCCACTATGTTAGATCAGACTACCATCATTTCTCATCTACTTAACAGGAAAAATATTTTAGTTGGTTTTCTTTCTTCCAGTGGGGCTCTCCTTCAATCCATTTTTCCATTTGGAAGCTCTTTGGTTGTCTTTGGTGCTCTAAATTCTCTCTCTCTCTCTTTCTTTCTTTCTTTTTTCTTTCTTTCTTTTCTTTCTTTCCTTCTCTCTCTCTCTCTTTCTTTCTTTGCTTAACTTATAAGGCCCTTGGTGATTTAGCCTTTTAAGCAGAGATCAGCATCACAGGTCTCATCTCTGCTCTTCTTTCCCTATCCAGCAGTCTCTAATCTCCACCCATATGCAATTTTCATGCCAGCTATCCTCAAATAACTTGCCTTTTCCTCCTAAGATTTTGCACCCAGTTATAAACTTGTTACTACATGGAGGTGTGGAACAGGGACCAGCATCACTGTCATTCCCTGGGATCTTTGTTAGAAATGTCTCACTCTGAACCTGCTGAATCAGAATCTGCATTTTTATAAGATTCTTAGATGATTTATACACACATTAAAGTTTAAGAAAGCAGTACTTTAAATAATTTTTGTGTTCTTTCTGCCTGGTATATATTTACCTCACTCCCAGCAACTTGTCTGTCAACCCGCTAATGCTACCATCCTTCAGATCTCCTCTCAGAGATCACTGCCTATGGGAAGCCTTCCCTGATTTTCCCTCACAAATATGAGTTTCACAATACATAGGCTTCATAGCACCATATAATAATAACTCATACTAATTGAGTGTTTACTCTGTGTTCTAGACATTGGCTAAATGCCTTACATGTAGTCTCATGTCCTCCTTCTACAGTGTTCTGAGGTTGATCTTGGGAGGAATTATGTCTCTCCCTCCGCCAAATTCATGTGTTGATGTCCCAACCCTCAGTACCTCCATAGGCTATTTGGAGCTAGGATCTTTAAAGAGGTAAGTTAAATGAGATAATTAGGATGTCTGTAATCCAATATGACTGGTGTCCTTATACTAAGAGGAAATTTGGACACAGACACATATGAGAGGTGAGGAGAGAGGGTTCAGGAAACTCAACCGTGCTAACGCTTTGATCTCAGATTTCTGGCTTCCAGAACTGTAAGAGAAATTTCTGTTGTTTAAACCACCAGGCTTTGATACTTTATTATGGCAGCCCTGGCAAACTAACACGGTTGGTTATTGTTCTCCTTTTATTGAGGCACAGAGAACTTAGGAACTTTTTTTTAGGAACTTTTCCAAGGTCGGGAGTAAATGGTCCAGATCTAGACTCAAGCAGTCAAGTGTAGACCCCACGATCTTTACCACCATGCTTTGCCAACCATGCACACTGAGTCCACCTTGGTTACTGATATGGTTTGGCTGTCTCCCCACCCAAATCTCATTTTGAACTGTAGTTGCCATAATACCCATGTGTCGTGGGAGGGACCCAGTGGGAGGTAATTGAATCATGGGGGCAATTACCCCCATGCTGCTGTTCTTGTGATAGTGGGTGAGTTCTCATGAGACCTGATGATTTTATAAGGGGCTTTCCCCCTTTGGCTCAGCACTTCTACTTGTTGCCACCATGTGAAGAAGGACATGTTTGCTTCCCCTTCTGCCATGATTTTAAGTTCTCTGAGGACTCCCCAGCCATGCTAAACTGTGAGTCAATTAAACCTCTTCCTTTATAAATTACTCAGTCTCAGGTATGTCTTATTAGCAGCATGAGAACAGACTAATACAGTGACTCTCTCTAATTTTACTGATGGTGGACAGGCAAGCCCCTAAATCGGGACTTAGCCCGGGATGGTTCTTGGCTTTGCCCATGAAAGAATTCAAGGGTGAGCTTGTGGTGTTAAACTGTAACTTTTATTGAAACAGCAGTGCACAGCAACAGCAGAGGCACTGCTCTTTGCGGAGCAGGGCTACCCCATAGGCAGTGTGCCCAGAGTAGCAGCTCAGAGGCATTCTGCAGTCATATTTATACCTACACTTTTTTTTTTTTGAGACAGAGTCTTGCTCTGTCACCCAGACTGGAGGGCAGTGGTGCTGCCTCAGCTTACTGCAACCTCCCCCTCCAGGGTTCAAGCGATTCTCCTGCCTCAGCCTCCCGAGTAGCTGGAATTACAGGTGCATTAACCTGTGATACCAAAGGCTAACTTTGGTATTTTTAGTAGAGACTAAAGGCTAACTTTGGTATTTTAATAGAGACAGGGTTTCACCATGTTGTCCAGGCTGGTCTCGAACTCCTGACCTCAGGTGATTCGCCCTCCTTGGCCTCCCAAAGTGCTGGGATTACAGGCGTGAGCCACCGGACCTGGCATATACCTACTTTTAATTACATGCAAATTACGGGGCAGATCATGTAGAAATATCTAGGAAAGGTGGTAACTTCCAAGTCGTTGGGCTGCTGCTGTGAAAAGGAGCAGCAACTTCTGGGCATTGCCATGGCAATGGTAAAATGACATGGTGCACTGGTGGGCGTGTCTTATGGAAAGCTGCTTCCACTCCGTTTTAGCTAGTCCTTAATTTGGTCCAGTGTCCAAGCCCAGCCCCTGAAGTTGAGTTCAGGCTCCTACTTCATTACTACTTAATAAACTGTATTAAGAGAGCTTTCTGTGCCATAATGTTCCACTAGACAGTAAGTTCCTCAATGGGAAGGGCCATTTATTGCTTTCAGTATGTCCACAACCTACCTTGGTGCCTGTACATAGTAGCCACTCAGTGTTTGTTTGTTGAATAGATACCCATTATTTACTTAACATATTCCACCCTGACCTCTCCTCCCTACACCCCAATCTGAGTGACTTTAGTTATTATTGCACATATTTATAGCAGTGTCTTGATGAGAATAGGGGAAAGGTCATATTATATTGTCCCCACCTTGCAGATGAGGGAATTAAAGCAGATAAATAACTTCTCAGTGACAATTATACTGAAAATCTCTTGCATTTGGTTAGTGTATTACAGCTTACAAAATGTTTTCAAGTATGCTATCACATACGACTCTCTCAATACGACCTGGTGAAGTAGACAGGTGAGGTATTGTTCCCAGTTCAGAGAGGAAGAATGAAAGCTCAAAGGGACGGTGCCATCCTTTCAACAACAAAACCAAGCAGTGAGGCAGAAACCCAAAGGCAATACTTCTAAGTCCAAGGCCCGGGCCCTTGCTGTCACACTAATTTAAATTGGACTTATTTTGCACTGCTTTTGCCTGTTAAGATTCAGAACTGTGGATATTGGGAAAAGATAGTCTCTCTTAACTAGTCAAAGGGGGACTAAGCTTTCCTTGTACAGAGCAACAAAAGGAAAGTTCTGGGGACAATAATATAATCAATGGGTCTGGCTTCAGATATTGCAGTCTAACAATCATATTTCCTATGTCTGGGTTCTGTGTCTTCAATCCCTGGGCCACTTCATTTTTGAGACCAATCAGAAGAATAGGAATCTAGCACCTTACAAGAAAGTGGAGTAGTGAAAAGAGGAGGCCCTGTTGGTATTGCTACATTTAAAAATACCCCAAACAGAGTTGCTCAAAACAACGCCCATCAGTTGGTGGATGGGAACTGGAATAATGGGGGGCTGGTGGAGAGAGGCTGAAGCCACTAGGGCTGTCCAATCAACTCTCTCTCTCTCTCTTCCTGTCTCTCTGCAGTCTCAGGGCCACTCTTCATGGTCTCCTGGGGAGCTGGTTTGGTATTCCTGCTAGTATGGTGACCGCAGGGCAGTGAGGCTGCCTACATAGCAGAATTTGAGGGCAAAGTGAAACCTGGGTCATTTTTTATGACTTAGATGCCACATAATGTCGCTTCCACTGTGCTCTGCTGATCTAAACAGTCACGAACACCCACCCAATTTCAAGAAGACATAGGCCCCGCCTCTCAATAGCAGCAGTGTCTAAGGGCGTCTGTTGAGGGTGGGAAACATGTCTATACAAATTAACTTCCCCTATCCACACTGGCCACTGGAAAGAAGAGTAAACAGAATATGTGGAAAGTCAGCACACTTTCCGGGCAAAGTGCTTTTCTGCTCATAGCCATAATGAAATGAACTAAGAATATGCAATTACATATAATTAGGTATAATTAAAATACAGAGACACATCTAAAATAAAGGCCTAATTAAGAAGTAGGATAACTAGGTGGGAATGTCAACAATGATAATTCAGTGATTACTGTTGGGGATTATTTTGTTGTCATTGACCCTAAATCAGGGTCAGCGTCCAGAGAAATAGCGAAACAATCTCAGTCTGCTCTCAAGTCTTAGTCACACCTCCCTAGCTTCACATTTCTTATTTCTCCACACTATTTAAGTGAAGCTTTTTATTTTATTTTATTTTGAGACAAGGTCTCACTCTGCTGCCCAGGTTAGAGTGCAATGGCATAACCATGGCTCATTGCAGCTTCAACCTCCTGGGTTCAAGCGATTCTCCCACCTCAGCCCCCTGAGTAGCTGAGATGACAGGCAGGCATGTGCCACTATGCTGAGCTAATTTTATTTTATTTTATTTTATTTATTTTAATTTATTTTTATTTTTATTTTTATTTTTGTAGAGAGGAGTCTCACTATGTTTCCCAGGCTTGTCTCGAATTCTGGGACTCAAGTGAGCCTCCTGCCTCAGCCTCCCAAAGTGCTGGGATTATAAGTGCGAGCCACTGTGCCAGGCCTGTATATAATTATAAATGTGATATATAGTTATATTTTCAATCTTTTTATTTTTTAAATGGACTATGACATGCCTTCCACATGCCCTTCCTTACTTACCTTCTCCCCCTTTTGTGTTCTTTTCTTTCCTGCTCTACTTTTCTCAGAGATGTTCACCTTAAGAGGACAGATCTGCAGGTACCACCCGATCCGTAACTCGGTGATTCCAAAGAGAAGAACATACCTTTCTAATGGAGATGTCTGGTGATCACCACCATAGCCGAGGGATAGCAGTGCGGCACCCGGACGTGCTGAGCTGCAGACACAATGACAGGTGCACTTCCCCTGGGAGGCGGTCTTTCCCAGCACCCTTAACTCGAATCTAAGCATGAGGAAGCCATCGGTCAGGTCCTCAACGGAGGAGTGTTGCAGGGAGATTTTCTACAGGCTAGAGGCCTGGACTCTCCTAATAATCCAATGCCATGTAAAACAAAACAAAAGCAAGAAGGCAGGAGGACCACCGTAGACTAAAAGAGGCTAAAGCGATGTAACCACCAAATGTGAGACATGAAAACTGATTAAATCTCCAATCAGGAATAACATGCCACAGAAGACATTTGGGAAGAGACATGAACATGGTTGTACAGGAGATGACATTATTGAGTTAAGTTGATATTCTTAGATAGGATAATCGTGACGGTTATGGAGGAACACGTCCTTTCTCTCCACAGTCGTGTATTGAAACTTGGAAGATTAACTGTTATAATAGCTGCAGGTTACTTTCAATTGTTTATGACAACCTGGGTGTACCTATATTTATTATATGTACTGTGTGTATGCATGTGTTATGTATGTGTATGTATGTACACACTGTATTGGTATGTTCTTGCATTGCTATAAATACCTGAGACAGTGGAATTTACAAAGAAAAGAGGTTTAATTGGCTCACGGTTCTGCTTGCTTTACTGGAAGCGTGGTGCTACCATCTCCTTGGCTCCTGGGGAGAATTCAGGAATGTTACAATCATGGTAGAAGGCAAAGGTGGGGGCAGGCACGTCACATAACAAAAACAGGAGCAAGAGGGAAAGGGGAGGTGCTACACACTTTTATATGAGAACGAAATCACTATCACGAGCATCAAGGGGATGGTGGTAAAGCATTCATGAGAAATCCACCTCTGTAATCTAATCACCTTCCACCAGGCCCCACCTTCATCATTGGGGATTACAATTCAACCTGAGATTTGGGTGGGGACACACTTCCAAACCATATCACACACACACACACACACACGGAGAAAAAATGTGGCAAATTGTTGACAATTGGTTAATCTGAGTGAAGGGTTTAAACATGCTTATTGTACTGTTGTTTCAACTTTCCTGTAGTCTGAAATTTTTTTCAAAAGTAAGATTTTAAAAAGTGAAATTAAGAAAAAACATATCAAATTTTGACCTGCTACAGTGTAACAGGCATTAATGTGGATTTCTGGAATTTGACAGCTAAACACCCAGTATGAGTGGAGGTTTAGCACCACACGTGGTCTGGAATGGCGGGGTTGGTGGATCAATTTTAATGGGCCTGACACTGGGAAGCATAGTCATCTACCAGCTTGAAGATGATTAGATCCTAAGGTCACCAAAAGACTAGGCAACAGCAACTGCGGCTGTGGACTTGATTGTTGCGTTGTTAAGGGGTTACCTGTAGGAGTTCAAATGAGAATTGTTGAATCACACATTCATAATTTAAAGTGTGCACTGTCATCTTGTCATCAAGAACTTTTATGCATCTGAAATGTTCAAATCCTGAAATTCCACCTTTTGACTGCGGTTTCCTTTTCCTGAATTTCATTCAGTATAAATCTGCCCTTCTCAGGGAGCCTTCGGGTCTCCATGGTCCTTATTTAACATCATTTCCTTCCCTGCCCAGGCTCCATCTACGGGCTAGTAATTTTCATTATGCTCTTTCAAGCACTCATAACTCCTTTACCCGTGTGAAGGCAAGAGCTGGGGTTCATTTATCTTTGCAGCTGGTACATAATAAGCATTTGATAAATACACATGCATGGAGTTGGAGTTGGATCTTCCGATTTAACCAGCTTGTTTTACAGGTGAGGAGATCGAGATTCAAGGATATGAAATGACTCAGCTAAGAGCACACAGCTAGTTAGTGGCAGGACAGAGACTAAAATCCTTTTTTAAAAAATTTAACCCTCAAGTCTTTTTTTACTCTTTTTTTACAGCCAATGTGTCCTTCCCCTTTATTTGCTTAGTCTAGCTCAGTTTTTACTTTTGAGTTGGATTGGTGACAAAGATTCACTGCTTGGCGAAGCTTGAGTTAGAGTCTTGAAACTTCTTGTAGGACCATCTGTGCACTTCCTTGTAAAATCCAGTTTTGGTAAAGAGCCCTGCGAAGTCTGTTTAGTGAGGACCACCCCCCCGCCGCCGCCCGCATCTTCAATACCTAATCGGGTTTCTCTTCCTCCACCATTTAGCAGGTGATGTGTGGTCACTCTTGCCTGCCTTCAGCAGGAATCCTCTTACGTTAGTTCAGCCGAAATTCCTCATATCCCTGATGGTTCCTCTTAGTAATTTTCACCCCACTAACCACTCCCACACCCCACCCACTTGGCCAGGCTGTGTCTGGAGTGGAGCTCAATCTCTCTCCACCACTGCAACATGCAACTGCAGAGGTCCTTTCATCTATCACAACGGTCTTGAATAAAGCCTTCCTTACTGTGCTTTAACAAGTGGCATGGCATGGCTTTTTCCTTAAACAGTGAGTGAGAAACAGGGGAAGAATGAAAAATCAGCGAACTGCCCAACACATGTACCCCACAGGCTGGCCTCTGGTCTCTGTTTTCTACAACTTCCCATTCCCGGGCAATGGAGGAGCATGTGAATAGACACCAGGAGAGGAGTTCCTTGCTCTGCTGGCTTTCTGCTGCATTTTCAGTCAATTCTTCCCTGGTGAGAAGTCTTTAGTCACTGGAATCACTTTCACATTTTCTCCTTGGTTCAGACGTAACTGTGCATGTGTGTGTATCCCTGTGTTTGTGTGTGTATCCGTGTGTACCTGTAGGTTTTCACTTTGAATGAACAATGACAGTCTGTTTCTCATAACTTTGAATTTAGAGCATCTCCTGGCCTAAGGTTTCAGCAGGCATTCTATCAGCATCAGTGTCAAAAACAAGCAAAGCCAGACACCAGTTAAATTGGTCTGGACAGGTCTTCATCAGTAATGTCTATTGCAATAGGAAAAAGAGTCCAGCATGAGCTGAACTCAACTGTGATTTGTACACAGGGCATTTGAAAGGGGGAATGGGGGAGTACAGACGCTGACTGGAGGAGGATCGGTAGATTCCGGGAAGTGAACAATTGCAAAGGCTTAGTGTCAATGCGATTAGATCCTCCGTGTCTGCAGCAGGAGACGGGGCCCTGTCCTTCCTGATTGTTACATTTCTTTTATTTTTAATTTTTTATTTTTTTTGAGACAGAGTTTCGCTCTTGTTGCCCAGGCTGGAGTGCAATGGTACGGTCTTGGCTCACTGCAACCTCCACCTCCCAGGTTCAAGCGATTCTCCTGCCTCAGCCTCCCACGTAGCTGGAATTACAGGCATGCACCACCATGCCCGGCTAATTTTTGTATTTTTAGTAGAGATGGGGTTTCACCATGTTGGCCAGGCTGGTCTCGAAATCCTGACCTCAGGTGATCGGCCTCCCAAAGTGCTGGGATTACAGGCATTAGCCACCACGCCTGGCTGATTGTTACATTTCAAGGGAAGCACTTTCAGGTCCTTGAGACTCTTTTGAGTCATATCACACACCTGTACCTCTCAAAGATGGAGGAAGATTCACAATTATAAGCTCCTTTTGGTAAATGCTCTAAGAAAGGGAGGTAAGAGACCTATGTCAGATACTGGATAGAACAAACAGTAAACTCATTTGGCAGCCTTAAATTTTTGTGTTTTTTTTTTTCAAGGAGGCACTTTAAGGGGAACTAGGGACATCCTAGGGTTGTGGCCTTGAGCTGTTAGAAGCTGTGTTAGCATTTGCTCAAGTCTTTTAATTTGCCTGTGTCTGAAATGCAGGAGGCAGGGCTTGCAGGTGCTAGGTTGCTTCCCACAGCCTGTTAGACTACTTTGGCTCCAGAGCCTCCTGATCATCAGCGTCCCCTTGGGGTTACCTCGGCAGCGACAGCCAATCATTACTGACCCTAGGCAGTGTTTCTTAAACTATGGGGTGAAAGGCATTCACATCAGTATGTCCTGGGTAAGCACAGGGGAACATGCAGATTCCTGGACCCAGACCCCAACCAGCGAATCAGAACCTCTAGGAGCCAGCCAGGTGTGGTGGCTCACACCTGTAATCCTAGCACTTTGGGAGGCCAAGGCAGCCAGATCACTTGAGGTCAGGAGTTTGAGACCAGCCAGGTCAGCATGGCAAAACCCCACTTCTACAAAAAAAAAAAAAAAAAGAAAGAAAAAAAAATTAGCTGGGCATGATGGTGCATGCCTGTAGTCTCAGCTATTTAGGGGGCTGAGTTGGGAGGATTGATTGAGCCTGGGAGGCAGAGCTTGCAGTGAGCTTAGATCATGCCACTGCACTCCAGCCTGGGCAGCAGAGTGAGACCCTGTCTCAAAAACAAAAAAAAAAAAAAAAAGAGGAACCTCTGCGAGCCTAAGCTTGTTCTACAAGCTCGCCAGTTGTTTCTGAAGCTGCAGCTGTCACCATGCCTCTATACGGTAACAGCTCAATGAATAGTGCCCAGTTCTAAGACCTGCCATCTTGCCACTGCGTGAGATTATACCATGGCGACTTTTAGAGAAGCCCCACCAGTCTCAGTCTGTGAGTCTTTCAGGTATCTGAGATGATCACTAAAATGTTTCCAATCCTTGTAATGCCATTCTCAGTTCCATTCCTAGATACAGGTGAGAAGTCTTCAGCTTCAGTATTTCAGTGGTTTATTCGGAAAGCAAGTATAGGCAGATAAGTTGATGTCAGCTCCCTGCCAAATTCTTGGAACAGCTTGGGAAAACATAAAATGATTAGCAAACAGCCCTCCCACCCAGGCTGGAGTGTAGGAATGCAGTGGTGCAAACATAGCTCACTGCAGCCTTGAACTCCTAGGCTCAAGCAATCCTCCTCCCTCAGCTTCCTGAGTAGCTGAAACTGTAGGCATACATCACCATGCTCAGCTAATTTTGAAACTTTTTGTTGTAGAGTCAGAGTCTTGCTATGTTGTTTAGGCTGGTCTCCAACTCCTGGGCTCAAGTGATCCTCCTGCCTCAGCCTCCCAATGTGCTGGGATTACAGATGCACATCACCACACCCAGCCCAAGCCCCGCCCATTCTTTGCATAAAAGCAACCATTTAATTAGAGGTTCTATTATGGTCTGACATTTTAAGTAAAAAAGATTATTTGGGGAAAACATCCAGGCATGGGTCTTGAAGACAGCCTCTAAAAGCCTTCTGCTTCTCGTTAGACAATGCCTCTGAAGCTTCTCTGATTCTGTACAGAATCAGGACACGAAGAGGGGGAGGAAATACTGTGATTGCAACTGTAAAAGCAATCAGAAGTATACAGTTATTGGAAGGTCTACAAGTTAGGACTAGGGAACCCCCCCCCCCCGAAAATGCTGTATAATTATCAGCAAGATGGCGAGAAATAAACAAGGGAGATTTCATAGGAGAGAAGCAGAGTATCAGAAAAGAATATCTAGGCTTTGCTGCAGGAAAAAGTAAAAATAGAATATTGGAACTTCTACCACATAGATATAAGTTATTTCTAATATTTGGATGGTAATAAAATACAGTGTCCTCAAAAAGTAGACAGAGCAAACTTTTCTGATCAAAAGGTAGGAAGGGATTAAAAAAAAAAGGCTAGCTATTTTAACCTTTAAACAGTGGATAGTCTTCATTTAATGTTCTGTCATTTCTAAAGAGGCTGTCTGGAGCCAGGCATGGTGGTGCGAACACCTACGGTCCTAGCTACTCAGGAGGCTGAGACAGGAGGATTGTTTGACGTCAGGAGTTCAAGGCTGTACTGTTCTGTGACCTCGCCTGTGAATAGCCATTGCAGTCCAGCCTGGGCAACATAGCAAGACCCCGTTTCTGAAAGAAAATGTGTTATGCTTTAAATCTCTCTAGAACAAAGTAGGTTTTGAAATCCTAGCCAACCGCTTACTTATTTAACACATATTTGATACATCAAAGAATTAGGATAGTTCTTTGAAGCTGATTGCACTGGGATTTATCCTGGCATTCTAAGTTTTTGTCTTTAGATGGGATAAGATTTGCTGATCAACTTCTCTACACTTACTCTTATCAGCAGCCCTGGGTTATCTTTATGTGGACCCAGACTCAGTCCAAAATCCTTAAGTCTTCCCATCCTTCTGATCTTTCACTTTTTTTCAGGTCCCACCTTACCTGGAAGAACCATGAAGATCAAATAGAAGGTCCTTGTGCATGAAGCTCAGCGGAAAAAAGCTCGGGTATGAGGCAGGGGAAATGTAGCGAACAAAGCACTGGGAAGAACAGTCACTTTGCACCTTTTGTATCAAAAGGAAGCAGGTCTAGGGTGGATAGAAGACATTCATCAAAACTGTGAAAGCCAACTCTTTATTACTTGATCTTTGCTTTCGTGTGTCATTTTGCCCCTAAAGCTGAACTCATGAAAGTGCCTAACAGAACGCCCATTCAGGGCCCATTTTACCTTTCCTTGCACTGTTAGAATCTGCAGAAATGAAATTTAGCTCAACCTCAAACTAATCAGAAAAATAAGTTCCAGATGAGATAGAGCTCTCAGTATGAAAAATCATTATAGCCTTCCATTTTTAGCAATATGGCAGACTTAGGAATCATAATGAGACTTTTGATTTAAAAAAACCTATAATTGTGTAAATATTTTTTAAACAACAGATTATTAAATATATTGCTGGCCTGGCAAAAAGTAAAAGAGAAATCCTTAAAGACCACAAATAATGGAACATATGAATTCAGAAAGGTAAGCAAGGACATTGAAACGGTTTTGCTTAAGGAATATCTGCCAGTCTCTGGGGACCTGGAGATTCCATTTACGTGGTTTAGTTCAGGAGAAAAGGAGACAAAATCTAGTGCCCACACTTGATAGATTTTTCTTTATTTGTATTCTCTATTTCATTAATTTCTCAGGTATTAATGAAGGTGGGAAGTCTGACTGTAGACCTTTTTATTTTACATAAGGCTTAGACCCTGAAAGTCACACACTGGGTAATACTAAAAAAAAAAAAAAATCCTGCCTTTCTTAACGAGTTAGTAAGGAAACTTGTCTACCTTGATTTTGCCTCTGAGTAAACGGGAGAAAAACATGTTTAAGAATTTGTATTTTACCATCACACAAGTTTAGGGACAGAATTTCTACTCTCCAAGAATTCTGGAAACACCAAACTGATAACATAATTTAAAGACATCCTGTACTGGATGTGGTGGTTCATGCCTGTAATCCCAGCACTTTGGGAGGCTGAGGCAGGGGAAACACTTGAGCCCAGGAGTTCAAGATCAGCCGGGGCAACCCCATCTCTATAAAAAAGTTTTAAAAATTAGCTAGGTGTGGTGGTGTGCAGCTCTAGTCCCAGCTACTCAGGAGGCTGAGGCAGGAGGATTGCTTGAGCTCAGGAATCCATGGTTGCAGTGAGCTATGATTGTGCCACTGCATTCCAGCCTGGATGACAGAGCAAGACCCTGTCTTTAAAACAACAACAACAAGAAAACAAAAACAAAAAAAGATATTCTGGATTGCTAATATATCCAGTACCTGCAAAAGCAACTGTCAATCTTCTCTCGAGGAATGCACCTCAAATTAAAAAATTATTACAGATTTGTTCCACAGCACAGAATTTCACAACAGCAAGCTGTAAGACACAAGAGGAAACCATCATTTGAGCGAGAGTTGGGAGGAAGAAGAAACAGAAATGCATTCCAAAACACTGAGCATATTGGAATGGAAATTGAAATAAAAATTTAAATATGTCTAAAGAAATAAAAGGGACTGTTAGACTTTGGAAGAAATATGAATTTTGCAAGCTTTACAAACAGTAACTACCATCTGCCATGATCTCTACTTAACTAATAGCACCCAAACAGAAAACTATAGAGTACCTGATAACCCGACAACAAAGACACGCTAAGATCTGGCTTCAAAGTCATGCTTCGACAACTGCCAACCTAAATGACAGACAGAGAGGCTCTCTAATAGAAAATGATATTTATGTGGGAATGGACACTGCAATGGGAATATGTGTGTCATAATAAACTAAGTGCATATTCAGGAGGTAAAAGAAGACAAAGGTTTTTTTGAAGAAAAATGAGGAGGGCTGCATAATTGTTTTAAGATAATTATGTTTGGCAACAAGGAGCAATAATAAGGGTTGTGCCAGCCTGAGGTCAGACAGGCAGCTGCTGGGCAGATGTCCTTGCAGAAGTATATTTGTATGCAAGGTTGTGATTTTTGCAGACTTGTGTGATAATTCCTCTTATCAGGCATTTGTGCTTGGGAATCCTCCTCCCTTCATGCCCTGCGCTGGGTCTATTGTTTAGATTTTTAACACAAGCAACTCCATTTTCATTCTGACAACTTTCACACAGTGTAACATTATAGAATCATTTTGACCAACAACCTAATTCTGCACTAAAAATCCTTCCGCCAAGATCCTCAGACAATCTGGTATTTGATTGTCTACTATGCATACCATAAAATTTTGACAAGCCTCATGGATCAGTCCCTTCTCACACTGCTAGAAAGAAATGCCTGAGACTGCATAATTTATAAAGAAAAGATTGGCTTCCTTGGCTCATGGTTCCAGGCTGTACAGGAAGCATAGAGGCTTCTGCTTCTGGGGAGACCTCAGGAAGCTTTTAATCATGGCAGAAGGCAAAAGGGGAGCAAGGTATCTCACATGGCCAGAGCAGGAAGAAGAGAGTGAGTGGTGAGGTGCTGCGCACTTTTAAACAACCAGATCTCACCAAAACGCACTCACTATCACGAGAACAGCACCCAGGGAACGGCGCTAACCCATTCATGAGAACTCCACCCCCACGAGCCAATCGCCTCCCACCCAGCCCCACCTCCAGCACTGGGGATTACAATTCGACAGGAGATTTGGTAGGGACACAGAGCCAAACCCCATCAGCTCAACTGTGTTGACTTTTTGTCTTTTACAGTTTTGGAAGTCCAATACTCAGAACTTGCTTTTCACCTCCTGACCAAAGGACACTGTGGCAGCATGCCAAAATGTCTTTTTGCCTTTAAACTTTCTCACCTGAAAGTCCAACATTGACCAGAGGGTCCGTGTTGTTATAATGCCTGGGAGCCACTGAGCTCTGGCTTGTGGTGAAGATACAACTGGCTGAAAGGTCGTTGAATCTGAGTGCTGAGTACGTAAGTGTTTTCCATAAACAGAGTGGCTTAAACAATATAATTTTTTTTTTTTTTTTTTTTGAAACTGAGTCTCACTCTGTTGTTCAGGCTGTAGTGCAGTGGTGTGATCTCGGCTCACGCTAACCTTCACCTCCCAGGTTCAAGTGATTCTCCTGCCTCAGCCTCCCAGGTAGCTGGGATTACAGGCACCTGCCACCAGACCCGGCTAATTTTTGTATTTTTAATAGAGACAGGGTTTCGCCATGTTGGTCAGGCTGGTCTCAAACTCCTGACCTCAGGTGACCCATCCACCTCAGCCTCCCAAAGTGCTGGGATTACAGGCGAGAGTCACTGCACCTGGCCCAACAGAAATTTACTGTCTCACAGTTTTGGGAGCTGAAAATCTAAGATCAAGGTGTCAGCAGGATTGGTTCCTTCTAAGGGACAAGAACCTGTTGCATGCCTCTTCCCTGGCTTCTGGTGGTTTGCCAGCAATCTTTGGCGCTCCTTGCTTTGTAGTTACATCTCCAAAATCTCCACCTTCATCTTCACATGGTGTTCTTGTGTTCATGACTGTCTCTGTGTCCAAATTTCTCCCATTTTAAATGACAGCCATCATATTGGATAGGGCCCACCCTACTACCTCATCTTAACTTAATCATGTGCCTCCTCCCCACAAAAAACCCTTTGTTCACAGACACTGGGGGCTAGGAATTCAATATTTTGGAAGAGGAACACAATTCAACTCACAATTATTATATTATTATCTCTACTTCTGCACACATTTGAGATTTTCCTGAGTGAGTTTCAAAAAATCTGCTATAGCTCTAGAACACTCTATCAAACAATAGCAAAATGTATGTTCTTTTCAAGTGAATATGGAATGTTCTCTAGGGAAGGCTTTATGCTAGGTCATAAAACAAACCTCAGTAAATTTAAAAGGATTGAAATGATACATAGTATCTTCTCCAACCACACTGGAATTAAATTAGAAATCAAAAACATAAAGTAATTTGGGGAACCCACAAATATGTAGAAATTGAACAACATACTCCTAAATAGCCAGTAGGTCAAAAGAAAAATCAAACTGAAAATTAGAAAATACTTTGAACTGAATTAAAATGGAAACCGCAACATTCCAAAACTTATGGAATTCAGCTGAAGAACTGCCTAGGAAAAATTATAGCAGTAAATGCCTATATTAAAAAAGAAAAAAAACTCAGAACAATTACTTCCATCTTAAGACACTGGAAAGAGAAGACCAAACTAAACCTAATTCAAAAAAGAAAGGAAATAGTAAATATTAGAATGGAAATTAATGAAATAGAGAATACAAAATGGTAAAGAAAAATCAGTGAATCCAAAAGCTGGTTCTTTGGAAAGGTAAACAAAAATAACAGAATTCAACCAAGACATAAGAAAGAAGACTTAAATTATTAGAATTATAGAAACGATATCAGTTTTTCACAAACTTTTCCAAAAAACGGGAGAGAAGGGATGCTTCTCAGCTCATTCTATGATGTCAGTATTACCCTGATTCCAAAACCAAAGACATCACAAAAAAAGAAAACTACAGATCACTATCTCTTATTACTATGGATACAAAAATCCTCCACAAAATCGTGGCAAATCAAATCCAGTGACATATAAAAAGAATCATACACTATGACCAAGTGGGATTTATTCCAGGAAGGCAAGGTTAGCTTAACACCTGTAAATTAATTATTGTAACAGACCCTATCAATAGAATAAAAACCGAAAGCCACATGCTCATATTAATAGATGCAGAAAAAGCACTTGACAAAACCTAACACTCGTTTTTTGATTAAAAACCACAAGAAGATACCTCTTAGCACCTACCATGATGGCTATAATCAAAAAGATAATAAACTTTGGTGAGGATATGGAGAAATTAGAACCCTCATACATTTCTGGTGAGAATGTAGAAACGATGCAGTCACTTTGGAAAACAGTGTGGCAGTTTCTCAAAAAAGCTAAACATAGAGTAACCATTTGAGCAGCAATTCCACTAGTAGGTATACACCCAAGAGAAATGAAAACGTATGTCCATATGAAAACTTGTACATGAATATTTATAGCAGCATTAGTCATAAAGCAAAAGATGGAAACCCAAATATTTATGAACTGTGAATGGACAAACAAAAGGTGATATATCCATAAAATGAAATATTATTTGGCCACAAAAAGAAATGAAGTCCTGATACACGCTACAACATGAATGAAACTTGAAAATATCATGGGAGGTAAACAGTCACGAAAGACCACCCATGACATGATCCATTTATATGAAATGTCCAGAATAAGCAAAATAAAGGGACAGAAAATAGATTGGTAGTTGCTTAGAGCCAGGAGTATGGGGGAATTGGGGAGTGAAGACTAAAGCAAATGGGAGTCTCTTTTTGAGGTAATGAAAATGTTTACAGTGGATTATGGTGACGGTTGCACAGCTCTGTGAATATACTAAAAACCACTGAATTGTACATTTTACACTGATGAATTGTACAGTATGTAAACTGTACCTCAATAAAACGGCCACAAAAAGAAAAGTAAGGAGGAGTGAAGCAGGATAAGGAAGGTTAGGAGGCCATACTCACTTACTGACTTTTCCCCTGGCGTAAAGCCTAGTGGGCTCCGCATCCCTTGCACCCTCTTACGTCAGCGCCTGACTCTTTTGCAAGATAAACAGTCCTGCAGGACACCAGCCAACTGCCTGATGGTTACAAGTTCCTAATAGCTAGCACAGCCCGGGAAAGAGACTTATTCATAATGTAGCTTCCCCAGTACCTAGCCAATCAGCATCCAAAACCCAAGAAGCTATTAGCTGCAAATTACTGCCTTGGGGCAGGAGGGCTGAGGATTGCTCCAGGGTCCCACCTGTGCAGCTAGGCTCAAGGTTTAGCTCATAGTAACCTTTTCTTCATTTTAATAGTAAAAAAACACACCCCTAGGCGGAGATTTTATATGCTAATGATACATGCATTGCATGTTACAGCATGCAGATGCTGAGCGCATGTGTCAACCGCAGGTCTGTCTTTACGTACTTGACCTCACCAGTATTTTATGAATATATACGAACAATTCCCGCAAAAGGAATTCCTCTGAAGGCACTAGTTGCTGTCTCTCCCTTTAAGCAGCCCACTCAGCCTCTCAGAGGGTACTTTCGCTTTACAATAAGCTTCTTTGGCTACTCTTCCTTTGGAGTCACTCTCAAATTCTTTTGTGTGGTGAGATCAAGAACCTAAACTTACCTACCGACCACGGGAGGAGGAGGCGGCCTTCGTGGTAGCAAATAGCAGCAGCAGCTACTAAAAGCAGTCATACACAGAATCATGGGGTGAATGCCTAAGCGGTGTTTCAGAGAGTATGGTGTAAACCAGCACGGCCCAGTAGGTATTTCCATGATGTCAATATGGTCACCACTAGCTATACGTGGATCTTGAACACCTGAAATGTATCTAGAGAGACTGAGGACATCAATTTGCAAATCTTTTTTATGCGTTTGCATTATGGGTTGTTCTGGTTCTAAGGAAACAAATTTTTTCACCAAGAAATTCCTGATTTTTACATGTCCATGCATTATAAGAAAGAGTCTTAAGCTAACTCGACTAGACTAGTTCACTAGTTAACCCAGACTTGCCATCGCTTTCACAGACAGAACTCGATATGATCAAAATGAGACATTTTCAAGAGGCTCTTGAATCTGAGGATGTAAAAAAGCCCAATGTCCAATGGTTGCCTACGTCACATCAGGAACCACTGTTCCACCTGCATTGATTCCCATGCCCCTTTTCCACGCTGCTAGAAGGAAATTCACCCCACCCACTACTGCAATCAGGACAGGAAGTCCGACTGATCCAACAACACCCTTTCTCAAATAACTCTTTCGGAGATAGGTCTCTGTTGTCAAATGTCACTTCCCCACCTTTAGGAAGAGAACAAGTAGCAACATACAAATACTGGTTATAAGCAAGTTGATAGCTATTTTTAAACTAATTAAGAGCCCTTCAATTTCAAAAATAAAAAGTGTTCGTAGTAATTTGTGAAACCTTTAACACTAGCCAATCCATGCGATACCAGATGTGTGAACTGATTACATCCCTACCACAGCTAACAAAATGGTGCAGAAATGAAAATGGGAATAGTTGGGATAGTCTGTCTCCCAAGGGAATTAGCAAATACAGTTGGAAAGTCTTGCAAATTCAATACAGCTCCTATTTTGATGGTTTCTAGAAGTTAAAAAGAACATTAATGAATAAGATAAAGAATCTCAGACCCCCCAAAGCGCAAAAAAGTTTAAGAAATTATGCCAAAACACAAAATGCTTTAGACACGTGGCCCTTTAGGAAAACCTTTCCACCTGACAGAAATAAAGTGTGAAATTTGCCTAAATGCACCTAGCTGAAAAGCTATATATTGTAATGACACGTATGGATATTTTAAAGGGTTTAAAGAAATCTGTCTTCTGGAAACTGAAACATCCAATAGTTTCCTTCTTGGAAAAGGAGATTTTCAAATGAGAACAGATTTTTTCAAATTAATTTAATTATTAAGACATTCATCAAAAGTATATATCTTTCAAAACAATGTGAATATACTTAACATCTATAACTATAAACTTCATAATGGTTAAGATGATAAAAATAAAGGTATATATTACCCTAATTAGCATAAAATTAAAAAAATTTAAACTATGTATAAACAATTAAGTCATTAATAGAACTGTGAAAAGTGTTCCTGTTTTCTAATATTAAATTACATCTCTCTCTAAAAAGCTTTTGGATCAGAAAAAGGAAAAATGCAAATGTTAGTTTAATAACATGGACTTCCTACTGTTGAATTACAAGAGAAGAAAGAGGTGTAAATAATCATTAAGCCACCAATTAGTAGTCAGATGACGGCTTCACAAAACACCCTTCCGTGTTAGAAATTTAGGTAAAATGTAAAGGAATTCAGTATTACTTACTAAAAATAAATACAGAAGAATTATATAAAAATCCATCATGCATACTTAATGAATTATAGATCTTGGCAAAATAGATAGCTACATATTTTCTCTTTGATTTTATCACGGTGTAAGAACATAGTATAAATGTAACTCTTTATGCATAATTTTGGAATTATCATCTTATCTCAAGCTTAACTAAATAGAATATCCTAAGGTCCTTCTACTTGTCAGGTAGGTTATCAGTGCTAACACCATATATTTAAGACTAGAAATGTAAACGTATGTATTTATTTAATGAAAGCTGTAACAATTGATGTCTTCATATAAAACACTGCTAGTTAGGTGAGCCTATAGAATCACTTCACCTTTACTGTGGGAGTTTTAAAGAGTTTTATTTCTAATAATTACAGTGATTATATTTTCTTTAATGTCAAATTAAAATAGATGTTCTAAGATGCCTAACTGACTTGAGACCTTTAGCTGATTATCAGCTGAAGTAATTAGAGAATAGTCTTTATGTATCTGGAAATTTTCCAAGGAAAATATTTTAAATTATAAACAAAGAGAAAGAAAGTACATGCTCGTGGTTTTGGCTTATGTCTTTTTGCCCATAGAAACATATATATATATTTATAACACTCAAATGAAGATAGTACAAATAGACCTAATATACTTGATAAGATTAGTTCTGTTTAGAAAATTCAAATTTCAAAGGGCTGAGTAGTGTTGTCATTTTAACATTGTTTGGTGTGACACATGCCTACACGTACAGGTTTAAATGCACTTAAATGTGTCTCTTCCCCTAAGCAGAGTCTGGGGTGAAGACTTGCATTCAGGACTTTTTCTGGGAAGTCGTCCTAGGGAGCAGGAGTGAGGGGTAGGAGGAGTGACTCAGAGGAAGGTAGAAAGCCAGCCCACGGCGGGGGGTCATCAAGGCAGTCACAGCCAGTGCAGTTGCTGCTCAAACTTTCAGGACCTTTGGAAGAGATTCCTGAAATGCATTGCAGATGGCAGGGGAGGCATTTCCGATCCACTTCACCCCAGTCACTCAGGGGTAACCGCAGTGGCCATCCTGGGCAAGGCATCAAGCAGTCTAAGGGTGCAGGACGTGGGGGTAGCCCATCAGAGCCTGCTGGCAGGCGTGGCCACTGAAGAGGCTCAGACCCTGCGCTGGCACTAGCTAGCAATGTATGGTGGCGCCACCAGGACCCTGACACAGGTGTGTGGTATGAATGAAGGAGAAGGAATGGGCACAGCCATGCCCACTGTGTCTGGGCCAGCATCTTACATGATTCTCCTCCGTGAGGCATGATTTGTAATTTTTTAGGGCAATTTTGGGCTTAGAGAAGAATTGATTGGAAAGTATAGAATTCCCACATATCTCTCCCTGCCCAGGCTCCCCCCTCACATTTCCCTATTATTTACATCTTGTATTAGTGTGGTACGTTTGTTATAACTGACAAACCAATTCTGATACGATCTAGCGTTCTATACGAATGATGATAGTTAACAATAATATATTGTTTCAAATAGCTGAGGGAAAATATTGAACATTCCCAATGCAAAGAAGTGATGAAATGTTTCAGATGATGGATGCACTAATTACCGTGACCTGATGTCTACACGTTGTATTTATGAGAACATCACTACATACTCCATAAATTATTTGTCATATTTGTGTAATTATTATTTATCAATTGAAAAAATAGAATTAAAATATATTTCAAAAAGATTTTCACCAACACTATCAAGAAAAAAATTTACAAATTTAAAATTTAAAAAGTTACCAATAAATAAAATAAAAATACCAAAAAAAGATACAGAATTATTATTAACTAAAGCCTGTAGTTTATATTAGGCTTCACTCTTTGAGTTGTACATTTGCTGGGTTTTGACAAATATATTATGTGTATCCATTATTATTGTAACATAGGAAATAGTTTCACTGCCCTAAAAGTTCCCTTCCTCTGGATTTTAGTTTACTTTCTGATGCTGTTTCCAAGATCTAGCCCCAAATTCACAACCTGACAGATTTTTTTGAATCTCCACCATGTTTGATTTTTCTAAAACAGCCCCTTGGTGGTGCCTAGACCAATGCACGTGCCCGTTGCTGGGGAGACATACACACGCTAGAAAGACAAGAATCAGGTCTGGCGCAGTGGCTCACACCTGTAATTCCAGCACTTTGGGAGGCCGAGGTGGGCAGATCACATGAGGCCAAGAGTTTTAGACCAGGCTGGCCAACATGGCAGTATCCTGTCTCTACTAAAAATACAAAAATTAGCCAGGCATGGTGGTGCACGTCTGCAATCCCAGCACTTTGAGAGGCCAAGAAGGGCAAATCGCATGAGGTCAAGAGTTCAGGACTAGCCTGGTCAACATGGCAACACCCTGTCTCTACCAAAAATACAAAAATTAGCTAGGAGTGGCGGTGCATGTCTGTAATCCCACCTATTCAGGAGGCTGAGGCACAAGAAATGTTTGAACGAAGAGGCAGAGGTTTCAGTGAGCTGAGATGGCACCACTGCACTCCAGCCTGGGTGACAGAGTGAGGCTCTGTCTCAAAAAAATAAAATAAAAACAAAAATAAAAAAAAGACAAGAATCAGCACCTGGGTACAAAAACACTGGAGATAAATTTTATTTCATGTTTATTTATATAACTAATTGTGTCACCTGCAAGCAGCATAACCCTGGAATATCTGTAAAGGTGTGGCAAAGGCATCAGGGAGCGTGCCGGGTCCAGATGACTTGGATTTCAGACACTTAACGAATATGTCCTACTGTGTTTTCAGAGTGGTGGAGCCCTCTTTTGTTGCAAAGCATCTCTTTATCTTTTTGCAAAGACATTCATACAGCTTTTCCTTGGTTCCCACCTGGAGAATGCCTTCAACCCGTGCCAAGCTCTTGTGGCTATCAGGGGCTACTGAGTCACTGAAAAATGTTACTATCTGTATCTATGTCTGCATTTCCCAAACCTGGAAAATGTAAAATAGATGGACAGAACTGTCAAAACCAAACTGTCTAATCTAGTGGGTGGAATTGGAATGTCTTGGTCCTTTCACTCATCTTTCATACTCATCAAAATTCATTCCCCTGTGCAAGAAAAGCACTGAATCCTTATGAAACAGCTCCTGGCAGGCCTGTGCATCTCAACGCCATATCCCCATGAAGGGACTCCACTTGGCGTGACCATACGTCCTAGTTTTCTCAGGGCAGTCCTGTTTTTTTTTCTTTTTTTTTTAAGGCTTGTTTTATTTTAATGGCAGATCTATGTAATCACAGTGGCCAGGATGTGCAGAAAAAGGGGAAGCTTTTTTTCTTGTCTCTTCTTCCTTGGACAAAGTCTTGATGATCTCCTTCTTTTTGGCCTGGAGGCGCTCTTCACGGAGCTTGCTTGCTTTATTGGTCTTAGAGCTGCGGGCTTCAGCCTGGTCAGCCAGGAACTTCTTGTGGGCCTTGTCTGCCTTCAGCTTGTGGTTGTGTTCCATGAGAATCTGCTTGTTTGTGAACATATTCCCCTGCACCTTCAGGTACAGGCTGTGATACATGTGGTGATCAGTCTTCTTAGATTCATGGTATCTTCCAAACAACCAGTGCAAAATCCTCATTCTCCTCATCCAAGTGACCTTCTCTGGCATTTGGAAATTGGCTGTACCCTTGCGCTAACCTGTGCCCATGTGCCTGCCCTTCTGGTGGGCTAAGGTGCTTTTCTGGCATCCAGCCTGGGAATGGACAGTCACAGGCTTGTGGATGATCAGCCCAACTTTGATCAGCTTCCGGATCTGCTGATGGGAGTTGGCGTTGACGATTTCACTGGTCTCACTGGGGTCCAGCCAGACCTTCTTGCTACCGTGGAGGCACTCGTGGCGAGCCTCTTCCGAAGCCTGAATATCCTCATGGCTTCGGCCACAGCAGTGACAAAGGACAGTGTTGGTTTACGCTTGTGGTCCCAGTGCAGCTATTCATACTCACCCTCTCCCGCTTCCCTCACTCTCTAAGGTATTCCAATTGGGTGATAAATTATATGGTCACTCTAAGTTGTCACATTCTGATATTTCCACTTTTGTAAAAAAAAAAAATCCAGACTGCATTGTCCAGTGTTTGCATCAGCATGTCATCACTTGCTTGTACCTGACTCCACTGAAAGCTGGAGCCATGAAGGACAAACCCCTGATGAGGAAAACCAGCATTCAAATCCCAGGGGAAGGACTCTTGTTCTGTGTCCTCTTCATCAGCCACTGCAGCGACTCCACTGTAGAACCTGGGGTGCCCCAATTTATATGAAATAATTTGTATTTGGGGATCCAAATTAATTTTGTATCCCAAAAGGAACACTTCTGAAAGGTACCACCTACAGAGTTTTTCGTTTGTTTGTTTTTTCTTTTTGTTTTTTTTTGTTTTTTTTGGGAGTCAAGTTCTCTCTCTGTCACCCAGGCTGGAGTGCAATAGTGAGACCACAGCTCACTACAGCCTCCAATTCCTAGGCTCACGTGATCCTCCAGCCTCAGCCTCCTGAGTAGCTTGGATTACAGGCATCCACAGATATGCCCAGCTAATTTTTAATTTTTTTATAGGAATGGAGTCTTGCTATGGTGCTCAGGCTGGTCTCAAACTCCTGGCCTCAAGTGACCCTCCTGCCTTGGCCTCCCAAGTAGCTGGGACTACAGGCATGAGCCACCACTCCCAGCTTAAAAAACGTTTTTCAAGATGATTTCAGTCATGATGCAAGCATATGATTTACCAAGATCATCCAGAACAGAACTGTTTTAAGTTATAAACAATCTAGCAGAAGAGACACAGAAGTTGTTATTCATTTAGGGCTGTTTCTATTCTAAATATTCTATCTGATTCTACTATCATGATACTCCATCATTTATATTCACTGTTAGTTCTGATCGTATATGTGTTGCCTCAAATTGAGATGCCCATCTATAGATAAACATTTATAAAAAGTGGGCATTAAGTTTCAATGCTACATTTTGTACACGATATTGGGACCCTGGTAAAGTACATTTCATTGGCAATTTCAGCAAAGACTATGGATATATGTTTTTAAAGGATGACTCTTCAAATTTTCTACAGGACACAGTACAAGCCTTTGTGTATAACTACAAAATCAAACAGTTATATTTTACTTTTATGGCACTGGTCTTGGCAGTCATACAACTAGAGACTACTAAGGTTAAGAATTCTGCCTGTGTCCTGCAGCTAATAAAAGGCAGAACCAGGATTTGATTCAGTTCTGTCTGGCTGTCAAATCTACCATCTATGGGCTAAACATTCCTTCTATTCTTTTTTTATAGAGTATGATTTTTAATTTTTAATTGACAATAATTGTACATATTCATGGGGTACATAGTGATGTTTCTATACATGTAATGTATAGTGATCAGGTCAGGGTAATTAGCATATCCATCATCTCAAACATTTATCATTTCTTTGTATTGGGAATGTTCAATACCCTCCTTTGAGCTATTTGAAACTATGTATTGTTGAGGATGTAATTTTGAATGCCTTTACCATCCAGGTCCCTATGGTCAAGATGTACTTGAATAACCTCTGAGTGCTTAAGTGCAAAGCCCAGGACTAACAGGGCTGCCCCATGAGGTGCCTCCTGCAGATCACACCAGCCACCTGCTCCACCCACCCCATGCAGCCTGAGATCACGGGGTGTTTCTGCAGGCCCATCTATCCCACTGTGAGCTTCCCACCATTTTGTAGCTTCCAGGTGTTTGCTAGTTGTGCAGCTGCTGTGAAACAACTTCTTCCTCATCCTGTACTCAGTTGTGCTTTTGACCCAAGTGCAGCCTTAGCACCCGTGCTAAGCTTCATCTTAGTCATTTAGCCCAGCATATCGACTCTCGAGATCTTGTGGGAGCTTCATTCCATCATCAGTCGCCCTCAATTCTACCACCTCTGTCAATTTCACCAACACATCCGTTGCATGGCGTTATCCATTCATTCTTTGTTGGACTCCTCTTTCCTGAATTCTGCTATGGGCCACCACTATTCTAGGCCCCAGGGAACACAGCAGTGAGCAAGGCAAAGGCCCTGACTGCATGGAGCACACACTCCACTGGAGGAGACAAATAATGAACAGATAAATGAGTGGTTAAGATAATCCCAGGCACTGATGAAACTCATGAAGAAAAATAAGGTGTGCTATGGGGTTGAAGGGATGTGCCATTTTAATAGGGTGGCCAAAAGCAGTGAGGATTGAGCAGAGTCCTGAGTTAAATATGGGAATGAGCCGTGCAATGGCCAGGGAGAAGAGCCTGCGAAGGGAACACAGAGTGACTGCAAGGGGCCTGGGGCAGAAACATGCTGGGCCAGTGAGACAGGAGGGGCCGTGTGGCTGGAGTGTGAGGCCTGCTCCACTGAGGAAGGAACTTGGATTGTATTCTGAGTGAGGGCTGAGAGCAGGTATGTCACACAGTCTGACTGATTTTTTGGGGGTATGTGGCAAACACACACATAACATAATATTTGCCATTTTATCCATTTTTTCAGTGTACGTGGCTTTAAGTACAACCACACTGCTGTGCAGCCCCCACTGCCATCATCTCCAGAACTTTTTCATCTTCCCAAACTAAAACTCTGTTTTCATTAAACGCCAACTCCCACTCACCTCTCCCCAGTCCTTGGCCACCCCTGTTCTACTTACTGTCTCTATGGATTTGACTACTCTGGTGCTGAGTATTAGTGGAATTATACAGTGTTGTCCTTTGGTGTGTGGCTTATTCCACTTAACATAATGTCCTTGAGATTTATACATGTTGTAGCTTTGGTCAGGATTTCCTTCCCTTTTAAGGCTGAATAATGCTCCTTGCATGGACGGACCAGATTTTGTACATCCATTCATCCATTGATGGACACCTGGGTTGATTCCACCTTTTGGCTATTATGGATAATGCTGCTGTGAACACGGGTATGCAAATGTCTCTTCGAGACTCTGCTTTCAGTTCTTTGGGGCATCTCCCCAGTAGTGGAATTGTTGGATTATGTGGTAATTCTATGTTTAATTTTTTGAGGAACCACCGTACTGCTTTTAAGAGCAGCTTAATCATTCTGCATTCCCACTAACAGTGCATGAGGGTTCCAATTTCTCCACGTGCTCAACAATGCACAGTATTTCTGTTTTTGGGGTAGTAGGCATCCTAATGATATGTGAGGGTGTGAGGTGATATCTGATTTTGATGTGCATTTCCATAATGATTAGTCGTATTAAGCATCTGTTAATATACTTGTCGGTCATTTGAATGTCTTCTTTGGAGAAATGTCTATTCAAGTCCTTTGTCCATTTTTTAAAAGGAATTGTTGGTTTTGCATTTTTGAGTTGTAATATTCTTTATACACACTAAATATTAACTCCTTATCAGATATATGATTTGCAAATATGTTCTCCCATCCCATGAGTTGACTTGTGGAGTTTGGTCTGTTGATTGTGTACTTTGATGCAGAAAAGTTTTACATTTTGATGGAGTAAAATTTACTCATTTGGTCTTGTGTTGCTTGACTTTCAGTGTGATCAACCAGAAGTCATTGCCCAGCAATATCATAAAGACATTATTTTGCTGTATGTTTTCTTAAAAAAATTTCATCATTTTAGGTCTTATATTTTGGTCTTTGATCTGTTTTGAATTAATTTTTGTGTGCGGTATAAGATAACAGTTCAACTTCATTCTTTTCTATGTGGATATCCGGTTTTCCCAGCACCATTTCTTGAAAAGACCATGCTTTCCCCCACTGAATGGTCTTGGCACCCTGGTCAAATAGTATTTGACCATCTACACAAGTGTTCATTTCTGGGCTCTCTATTGCATTCCATTGGTCTATATGTCTGTCTTTATGCCAGTACCACATTGTTTTGATTGCTGTGGCTTTGTAGTAAGCTTTGAAATGAGGAAATGTGAGACCTCCAACTTTGTTCCTCTTTTTTGAGTTTGTTTTGGCTGTTTAGGGTTCATTGAGATTCTATATGCATTTTAGAATAGATTTTTTTATTTCTGACAAAAACAATGTTGGAATTTTGGTAGAGATTGCATTAAGTCTATAGATTGTTGTGGGTAGTATGACATCTTATCAATATTACGTCTTCCAATCCATGAACACAGGATGTCTTTGCACTTTTTGTGTGTGTGTCTTTTTATGCCTTTCAGCAATATTTTGTAGGTTTTAGTGTACAAGCCTTTTGCCTCCTAGATTTTATTCCTAAATATTCTTTTCTTTTTGATACTATTACAAATAGGATTGTTGTCTTAATTTCCTTTTTGGATTGTTCATTGTTGGTGTATAGAAATGCACTGATTTTTGTGTGATGATTTTGTACCTTGCAATTTGCTAAATGCATTTACTAGTTCTAACAGGTTTTTTTGCTGTTGTTGAATCTTTAGGGTTTTCTACATATAAGATCATATCACCTGTAAACAGGGATAAACTTACTTCCCTTTCTTTTTCTGAGACAGAGTCTCACTCTGTCGCCCAGGCTGGAGTGCAGTAGCATGATCTCCGCTCACTGCAAGCTCTGCCTCCCGGGTTCACGCCATTCTCCCGCCTCAGCCTTCCCAGTTGCTGGGACTACAGGCGCCTGCCACCACGCCAGGCTAATTTTTTGTATTTTTAGTAGACACGGGGTTTCACCACGTTAGCCAGAATGGTTCGATTTCCTGACCTCGTGATTCGCCTGCCTCGGCCTCCGAAAGTGTTGGTATTACAGGCGTGAGCCCGGCCACTTCCCTTTTTTTTCATTTGGCTTTTTTTTTTTTTTTTTTTTTGCGTAATTGCTATGGCTACAATTTCCAGTACTGTATTGAACAGAAGTGGCAAGAGTGGGCATCCTTGTCTCATTCCTGATCTTACAGAATCTGGTTGACAGTTTAGAGGCTGTTTCTGGCTGCCTGTGGAGAATAGTCTGGGAGGTAGCAGGGTTGAGGGGCCTGTACAGGTGAGGGACAATAGGGCTTGGGCTACGGTGGTGGAGTGAGCAGAGGTCAGTGGTGGAGTTTATTTTGGGTAAAATAAGGTGTGCTGATTAAACAGATGTAGAGTTTTAAAGTTCTTTCTCTTCTAGGTTGGCTTTCAAGCTTACATTGGTCAACTGGGGAAAAATTCTCTTCTTATTAAGTCCTCTCATAGTGAAGCTGCTCTTCCTCAGGGCTATTCATTTTAATGGCTGAAAATAGGACCAACGTGCCAACATAAATAAATAAGTATCTGTTTATGGGGGAGGGGGTATGCCATCTTCCTAGCACCCCTTCCTTGAACACAGGTGCTAAGTAAGGGTCCAGCTCAGTCTCCCATTCTGTGTTTGATAGAAGCTGATGGAGGTGTGGAGGAGGAAGTTTTCCTGCCTTAGCAGCGCTGGCCCAATGGCAGAAGAGGGGCTTTCTTAGCAGTGACAGGGAGCACAGGCTGTTCCAGCACAGACTACATCCCCCCAGCTATGTGCAGCTGAGCAAGAACATCCCAGGTGGGCCTAGCCTGTTATCTGCTGGCCAAAGGGCAGAGTTCACTTCTCTAGTCACAGGCAAGCTGGAACCCACAGGCTGCACTCGGGACTGAGGGGAGAGGACCAGAGCTGCTTTTGGATGTGGATGGGACCAAGGACAGGGTCACTGCTCTAATCTAAGAGGAGGTGCAGGCTAACCATCCTGGGATCCAAGCGGTCTCAACACAGAGCCCCCTTGGCCTTTACAAGGAAGAAACTGCAATTTGCTTTAACTTTCTAAGCTACCGTTTCTACATCTTCTAGATAGGCTCAACAGCAGAAGAGACAACACAGCACAGTTCTGTGAGGTGTGCCTGAGGCCGCACAGTGGTTGAGGCCATGACTTCTGCAGCCTGACCACCTGGCTTTGAATCATAGCTCTGCCACCAACCAGCTGTGATCAGGGGAAGTTATTGAATCTCACGATGCCTCCATTCCCTCATCTGAAAAATGGGGATGGTGATAATAATACTATCTGCTTTATACTTAAGATTTGGGAAAGAAGAAGAAGAGAAGATTGGGAGTAATTGTTTAATGGGTACAGAGATTTAGTTTTGTAAGATGAAGAGTTCTGGAGATGGGTGGTGGCGACGGTTGTACAACAGTGGGAATGTGCTGAAGACCATGACATTGTACACTGAGAAATGGTTAAGATGGTAAATGTCACTTTATGTGTAGTTTACCACAATTTTAATTTGAAAACTTAGAACTTAAAAAAGGAGGCCAGGCGTGGTGACTCACACCTGTAATCCCAGTGCTTTAGGGGGCTGAGGCGGGTGGATCACAAGGTCAGGAGATCGGGACCATTCTGGCTAACACGGTGAAACCCCGTCTCTACTAAAAATACAAAAATTAGCCAGGCGTGGTGGCGGGCACCTATAGTCCCAGCTACTTGGGAGGCTGAGGCAGAAGAATGGCATGGACCCGGGAGACAGAGCTTGCAGTGAGCCGAGATGGCGCCACTGGACTCCAGCCTGGACGACAGAGCAAGACTCTGTCTCTCCAAAAAAAAAAAAAAAAAAAAAAAAAGGATTTGGGCGTTGGGGGAAGAATAAGCTTACTTCTTTCTTTCTTTTTTTTCTTTCTTTCTTTCTTTTTTTTTCTTGAGCCAGAGTCTCGCTCTGTTGCCAGGCTGGAGTGCAGTGGTGTGATCTCAGCTCACTGCAACCTCTGACTCTCTGGTTCAAGCGATTCTCCTGCCTCAGCCTCCAGAGTATCCGGGACTACAGGCATGCGCCACCACGCCCAGCTAATTTTTGTATTTTTAGTAGAGATGGGGTTTCACCATCTTGGCCAGGATGGTTCTTGATTTCCTAACCTCGTGCTCCGCCTGCCTCAGCCTCCCAAAATGCTGGGATTACAGGCCTGAGCCACCACGCCCGGCCGATTGAGCTCATTTCTATACATGCCTGGAAGAATGCCTGGTGCTCCAAGATACAAAGAGGGCTGGCTCCTTGTATCATTAGCTGGGTGATGTTTTTGCAACTTGCTTGAAGTTACTGCAAGAATTAAAAATAAAGCAGACAGAACAGTTTGATTTGGTGTGTACTTCTACTCTTAATAAATGGTATGAATTGTTACTAGCTTGGTAGCTATTGGGGGAATGGAGTTGGCTATGTTTCTAGAAACATGTACTATGGATAGGAAAGAATGTTTTTGCTTTCTTTCATCCCTCTAATTTGGGGATGGGAATGTGAAACACTGCAACAATGCAAAGGAGAAGGGAATAGAAAAGTTGTCCATTTATTTTGCTGGATAATAACTGACCAAGTTCCATGGGAGGGTAGCTCATGCATTCTTGAAGCGTAGGTCTGTGTGTAATAACATGCATATATCATGGTGTGGTCATAGCCAGAACACACTCAAAGCAAGGCTTTCAATGGGGTTTCCCTTGCCTGAGCCTGCCCCTTCATCTAGGATACAGAGATTGAAACTTCCTCCCACTTGTAGACCAAAGTTGGTATTTGTAAAGTGCTCTGAGATCTTCCCAAATAGGGCCTCCTTAAATAAAAGGTCTCCAGGGGTGCAGGAGTGGAAGAGACAGGGCTTGGAGGGCTTAGGAGTCCAGGGGCAGTGTGTATGCTCAGGAGAGCAGCCAATCCCATCTGCCCACAACTAGGATTCTTCTCAGCGCATCACTGGGGGCTCTCCCAGGGCAGTCGGCCTTCCTTTCTTGGATGTGCAAAGCGACTTAGTTGGGATTTAAGACAAAAGTAGACCTAGAACAGTTGACACCTGGAGTGGAGAGTTTTTAACACCCTCCCCATACATCAAAATTATTTTTATAGTGATAATCATGCAATCATTAGCAATCATTATTTTCTTGAGTCAGTCTGTAGTTTCTTCATTTTTAAAAAATTGACCAGTTGAACAATCTCTAGTTTCAAAACACAATTGAAAGAAAGAGTACTTTTTCATTTGAATATTATTCAAATTTAGGAACGCATCACATATGAACTAAATTTGCAGTTTGCCAGTAAAAAATTGACCTCATGATTCTCTGCCTGTTTTGGTTTTAAAGTTTAAATACAAATTTAAAATTTTTTATCACATAAAATGACAAAAGTAAGATAACCCAAGGTCTACTCCTTTCATCATTACAATCACAGTTATTATGGTTTGTTTTGAATTTACTATTTAGATGTAGGGGTTGGAGACAGTTGTCGCTCAAGGTGCAAACTCCGGGCTGGCGCTGTGTGTGAACAGATAACAACAAAATGTATGTGGCTGAGTCCACTAGGAAGACGCTTCTGTACCACATGGAGTTCTCTGAATTAACTTCCAGATATATTAAAATTATTAATGGTAAGTAAGAAATGTATCAAATTGAAGCTTACATACATATTGCTAAGATGCCATCATGTCTGCAGAGATTATTTGGAACTTTGAACAACAAAAGATTTTTTTTTTTTTTTGCAGAACAGTATTTTATCACTGATGTTATTTAGAGTTGCTAGCACTTGGTGATATCACAAGCGAACTGACTTTTAGTCAGCTGTGTTATTGTGTTTAAATTCTCTACAAACATCCCTCATTGCCTGCCTCAGGGGCAGGCGGCCCCTGCAGCTCTGTCTTGTGTATGCAGCTGATTTAAAGCCATGGCAACATCACAGTTAACACTATCTATGCACCTGTAAGAAGTGTTTAATTAAAACTAACAGTCTTGAAGTTGAGCGTCTTTATTTTAGGTGTAGGACCTCTCAGGGGTGAAGAGGAAAGCAAATGGAGAGTCTGCCAAGTCTTTTTGCTGACACCAGTGCTTAGGATCTTGAGAGCATGTTTTACAAATTGGGTGTTTGGGGCAGGGGGAGTCTGGACAACAGTTTTTCCAAGTTTCAGGCTAGTGTTTGGCACCCTCTAGTGGAAAATTTGAAAAGAGAATGATCCGATACTGTATAAAAAATGAATAGTTTATCATATAGCTTATTCATCCTTTATTAAGTACCATGCACTGAGCTAAGTCCTTTGTGTGCAATATCTAATCCTTACAACTACCTATACATTAGGAATATGAGGTCAGCGTTACTAATTATAGAATAAGCTCAGAGAGGTCAAGTAAATTGACCACAGCCACACAGCAAGGGGTGGAGCTGCTTGTCTTTCCTCTCTCCAGAGACATATGGAGTGAGCATACTTGGCATATGTAGCACAATATTTCAAGCTCCTGACCCCCATGGACACACTACCAGCTCCACACCTCAGAGCCTGGGGGCTCGAGGAGTGCCCACCCTGAACCATACTTCCAGAATTATAGTTACTTGCACAATTCTGATTGTAAGATCTAAAAGTAATTTTTTTTTTATTTTTCCCTTAAAGCTTGTGATTTGCCCTCAAAAGTAAATGCCTTGGCTTGGTTTGCCATATTTCCTTCTTAGATTCATGTTCCTTTGTGTCTTATGTTCTGGTCAGGTCACGGCAATGGCCTGCGATAGTAACTCCCAGACTTTAAATCTCATTGGCAATCTCCTTTACCTGTGACACCCCAGAGATCTTAGAATCGAAGTGAGCTCGTTCTGGGAGTGCTTTGGGAGTTATCCAATTTAGTGGTTTGTCATCATGGATCTCTTGAAAATCTTTGAAGGAAGTTTTGGTTGCCATGATGATTGGAGGGCACTAGTGATGTTTAGTCGGGAGGACACTGGATATCCTGCAATGCTCAGGACAGGTCACACAAGGAGAAATTGACCCAGGACTGGTAAGACTTTCCATCATCCTACCGGACATGCTGAGACAGAAGGCAGGCTTCAACTTGTGGTGGGATTTCAAGTTCAGAGACACATTTGCTGTGATGTGTCATTATTACTGCCACATCCCATGTCGTAACAGCAGCCCCTTTGGGGTAAGCAACGTGTGTTCATCCATTCTCACACTGCTATAAAGAACTACCTGAGACTGGTAATTTACGAAGAAAACAGGTTTAATTGACTCACAGTTCTGCAGACTTAACAGGAAGCGTGGGTAGGAGGCCTCAGGAAACTTATAATCATGGTGGAAGGTGAAGGGGAAGCAAACAAGTCTTTTAAACCATCAGATCTTGTGAGAACTCACTATGGTGAGAACAGCAAGGGGGAAACCCACCCCCACGATCCAATCACCTCCCATCAGGTTCCTACCCAAACATGTGGGGATTACAATTTGACATGAGACTTAGTGGGGATACAGAGCCAAACCATATCACAAGGCCCAAGTGTCAAAGCATGAGAATTCAGAAAGTAAAAGACATGGTTAATATACTGCCCAAGTATTCACATACCGAAATACATATTACTGTATTATAACTTACTTTTACTTCAACTTCTGATTGATTTACATTTTTTTCTTTTAATTTTTGAGACAGGGTCTTGTTCTGTCACCCAGGCTGGAGTGCAGTGTTGTAATTTCAGCTTATTGCAGCCTCGACCTCCTGGGTTCAAGTGATCCTCCCACCTCAGCCTCCTGAGTAGCTGGGACTACAGGTATGCATCAGCACACCCAGCTAGCTTTCATATTTTTAGGAGATGGGATTTCGCCATCTTGCCCAGTCTGGTCTCAAACTCCTGGGCTCAAGTGATCCGCCCACCTTGGCCTCCCAAAGTGCTGGGATTATAGGCATGAGCTGCAACATGCCAATGACATAGAGTTTGTGTTCCATGTTTTCGTTCAACTGAGTCAGCACACTCTTCATTCATTCCCTAAATCCTTCTGCCTCTCCATTACCTCTTGTGCTTCTTCATCAGTCAAATAGGGGCGGTGGTTTGTTTTCTGCTTTTTCTATCCGCTGAAGATCCCAACTTCTCCATAAAGGCTTTCCTGATTAACTAGCAGTGAGATCGTCATTCTCTCCCATGTACTTCACCTGGGCCTGTGGATGCCCTCAGCCAGTACTTCTCAAGTTTCCACGGGCTTGAGAATCCACTGGGGACTCTGTGAAGATGCAGGCTTGGTGTGTCTACAAGTCCCCAGGAGGTGCTGAAGCTTCTGGGATGGAGACCATATTCAAAAAGCAAAACTCTCAGATTAAACCGATGGTTCCCAAACCAGGTTTTTCATCACAGGGACCTGGGCAACTTTTGAAAAATACCCTCCCGAGCCCACGCCAGACCCATCCTATCGGAATCTCTGAAAGCAGAGCCCTAGAATGGGATTTCTAGACGCACTCCAGACAATTCTGGAGGCACTCTCCCAAACACCAGCCTCTGACCTAATGCTTAGGTGAACTGCAAGGTGTTACAATAACTTAATTTGAAATTCGCCCCCAGAAGTAAGCACTTTGCAGACTGTTGCTAACCTAGAGTCATTGTGACATGTTTTCATGCTTAGGCCAGACTCCAGGAACTATGCTTTCTCAATTACAGAACCAAGGCAGATGGGCAAATGATCTACAACGATCTTGTGATTTTAATGTCTTATATACGTGTACTTATACATCTCCTAAGATGATCGTAGTAGTTTCCAGAAACCCAAATTAAGACATTTTACTGCAACAAGATTTAAAAACTAGGGCTTTGACGTCTATTTTATGAGAAGTTCATATTTGCATAATTAGGAGTGTCCTACACTTTCTTGGGCAGCACGTGTCAGTCAACAGCTGCAAGTCATTCTGGCTCCTTGCCCAACGGAAGAGAGAGCATTGCTTAAAACAGTCTCTGCCCTACCTCCAGAGAATGTGATAGAAAGCGAGTGACAGACTAAGAGCAGAGGCGAATCCCCAAATTAGATGCCCTTCCAAGCTACAAAAACACTTTAACAACTTTTCCAAAAGATCAGAGCAGAGCATCACAGAGATGAGCTGAGCCACCTGCAGACACAGTTTCTCCAATGTGACCAAGAAACGACATCTGGGTCTTCCTGATGGAAGATGCACACAGGCTGCTGAGAAAACTCTGGAGATGCCTCTGACAGGAACAAGAAGTTCCAGAAGGCAGAGTCTTCCCTCCTCCCCAGGCTGCCTCGTGGGCAGAGATGTGCTGTGTCTTCAGGCCCACATGTTCCCCCAAAGAAATGCTCCCTTTATTTGAGAAGACAAGTGAATGTTGCTCAGGTTGGGGGCAGGGGTTATGGGCTCAGCTTGATCCTAAGTGCCATCAGGCAGGGCCAGGTGTGTTTGGTTCCCCCCATCTCCCCAGCACCCCCTACCATGCCTCACTCACAGCACCCACTCGGGACACTTGCTGACTGACTGACCAGCTATGTAGTGAGATGCTTTTAAACTCTGGAAGTGCCTTAGCTGATATGCTGCCCAGCTACCTTGGATTAACCGAGAGGGCAGAAGGCTGAGTGATGATGTCAGGCAAGGTGTTTGGTTAGTTTTCCACATTCTTCTGGAGTTAGGTCTTCACAGTGAGGTGTAGTTTTTGTGTGATGTCGTATTAAGCAAGCCTTTTTATTCTGAGGCTTGGCCATATTGGGGACTTGTTGATGCTGGAGGGACTGCCCCACCCAGGGTTAGCCAATTCTTAGTGGAAGCAAAGAGCTCTTCTGTGAGCATGCCTTTGACATGCGAACCAAGCCACCCAGACCCCACCTCCCAACCACCTCCTTTGTGGGGCTCCTGCACTCTGGGCCACCATCACTGCAAGGCTACGTTCCAGGCAACTAGGAGCAGCCTTTATGCCCCAGAGCCCACTGAAAGGATTCACACTAGCCAATCCTGAGCCTGCTCACCTGCCTCACCTATTCTTTCCTGCAGAAGTCACAGTAAAGGCTATTACCCACACTTCTCCTCTCTACCTTTGCCTCCTGGTCAACCCCAGTGCTTCTCCATGTGTCCCCCACTCCCACCATCACGTGGTGTGGCATGCCTTGCCCCTTCTCTTGGGAACTGTGAGTAACAAACTATCTTTTCAATGGCAGTTGCCTTCTGAATCATGTTGAAACCTACATTTCACAATAGACATATTGTCAAGTTCCAGGACACCAGATATTTATGTTTAAGTGTAGGTCCCAGGACCATTTCCATTATCTAGAAGGAATATTTCCTAGGGATAATAAATAGCATAGCTTATTGAAACGGATTAGGGGCCAGTGTCGATCAGAGTTCAATCAGAGAAGCAGAGGCACTAGCATACACATCTCACTAGATACACCACCAGGGTACTTGTATGGCAAGCAGCCTTGTAAGAGAGCAATAGGGTTTCCATCAGCAGCAAAGGGCAGGCTTGTTTACTGTCTAAAATGATAAAGATTTCGTCTCCCTCCAGAGCAAAGTTCATACAAGCTTACTGCCCAATATAAAAGGCTTGGGCTTCCAAAGCTTGAGCTTCTTCTCTAGGAAAGTCACCCACTGCCTCTGGAGATAACACCTGGCTCTTGTCACATTAGCCTGCAGGAATTGGGACTGGGGAGATGAACACAAATGCTGACACTTGGTTACTGCTATTGCTATGAGTAATGAAGTCCTTTGTCTCTGCCTCTGTTGTGTCTTCTGCCAGCAACCTTGAAAGTGTGGCAGGCTAACTTGTTAGACTGCAAGTAGGGTGAAATCTCAAACCTTTCCCAGCTCTTGATATTTCCTAACCAACACCAGTCTCATGGGTCAGGAAGGAAAGGGGCTTGTTCCTCTCTCTGTCACTGGTCAGTGATAATGGCCTCCTTAAGGGATCACTCTACATCCACCTCTGGAGGGACAGACATCAGGAGTCCAAGCCAGGATGCTCATACAAAGGAAGAGTTGCTGATGAATGAGCCATGCAGGTCTCACTATCAGCAAAACCAGGCAAAACATGCAACTCCTTTTGGGAAAGCCCCTGTGTTCGTCTGCTGAGGCTGCCATAACAAAATGCTATAGACTGTATAACTTAACAGAAATGTATTTTCTCACAGCTCTGGAGCCTGGAAGTTCCACATTAAGGTGCCAGCAGATTTGGCTCCTGGTGAGGGCTCTCTTTCTGGCTTACAGACAGCCACCTTCTTGCGCCATCCTCACATGGCCTTTCCTTTGTGGGTAAGTGGAGAGAGAGCCCTCTCATATCTTTTACTCTTCTGGTAAGGACACCAGCCCCATCAGATTAGCGCCTCACTCTTTTTAAACCTTAAATCACTACTCTAAACGTTCTATCTCCAAACACAGTCACATTAGAGGTTAGTGTTTCAACATATGAATTTGGGAGGGGACCCAATTCAGTCCATGGAAGCCCCTATCTGGGGAACTCACTCCCAATATTTCAATGTAAGTTATTTCTATTTTCCATAAGTGTTGGCCAGCTGAGAAATAAAGAGAAAGAGTACAAAGAGGAATTTTACAGCTGGGCCGCCAGGGGAGACATCACGTATCGGTAGGACCGTGATGCCCACCTGAGCCTCAAACCAGCAAGTTTTTTATTAAGGGTTTCAAAAGGGGAGGGAGGGGGTGTCATAACAGAGAGTAGGTACAAAGATCACATGCTTCAAAGGGCAAAAAGCAGAACAAAGATCACATGCTTCTGAGGGAACAGGACAAAACGGCAAAAGCAGGACTACTGATAAAGGTTTATGTTCAGCGGTGCACGTATTGTCTTGATAAACATCTTAAACAACAGAAAACAGGGTTCAAGAGCAGAGAACCGGTCTGACCACAAATTTACCAGGATGGAATTTTTCCCCACCCTAGTAAGCCTTTGGGTACTGCAGGAGACCAGGGCATATCTCAGTCCTTATCTCAACCACATAAGACAGACATTCCCAGAGTGGCCTTTTACAGACCTCTCCCCAGGAATGCATTCCTTCCCCAGGGTATTAATATTAATATTCCTTGCTAGGAAAAGAATTTAGCGATATCTCTCCTACTTGCACATCCATTTATAGGCTGTCTGCAAGAAGAAAAATATGGCTCTTTTTGCCCAGCCCTGCAGGCAGTCAGACCTTATAGTTGTCTTCCCTTGTTCCCTAAAAATCGTGGTTATTCTGTCCTTTTGCAAGGTGCACTGATTTCATATTGTTCAAACACACATGTTTTACAATCAATTTGTACAGTTAACACAATTATCACAGTGGTCCTGAGGTGACGTACATCCTCAGTTTATGAAGGTAACAGGATTAAGACACAAGTAAAGACAGGCATAAGAAATTATAAAAGTATTATTTGGGAACTGATAAATGTCCATGAAATTGTCACAATTTATATTCCTCTGCCACGGCTCCAGCCAGTCCCTCCGTTCGGGGTCCCTGACTTCCTGCAATAAGGCCCCAAATAGCTGTGAGTGAATTCAATCCCATTCACACTCAACTTAAAAATGTGATCATATATCTTCAACCATCTGCTTGAGGGAGGAGGAGCAAAAGGCAAGTTCTGAAGAAGACAAAATGGAGAGAAGGACTTAACAAAGTGCAAGTAGCCCTTTGGCTTCCCAGGCAGGTTTCTCACAATTTTCTCCATGGTCTTTTGCTGCTCAAGTCAACATCTCATGCCATGGTGTTTTCCTGTGGAAAGCTGTTGCCCACTTTGTACCTTAGAGGAAGTGTGTGAAGAGCAGGTCATCCAAGCTCCATTCACATCATCATGTGGAGAAGGTACATAGAGGAAGTGGCCAAGATGGGGGAAGAGCTCTGAGGCAGAGCTGGTGGGAGTCAGAGCTCCAGCAGAAGCTGCTTGGAGTGGAATATGGGGGTCCTTGTTACCAAGCCAGGGAGTCACGAACATTTGTGTGGGATGCTGAGCAGGAAAGCAGCATGCTCAGACGTGTGTTCGAGGAAGATTGTGGTAGAAGTACCATGCAGCTGGACCAGAGGGTGAGGAAAAAGGCACAGAGAGAAGTTAGGAGTCTAACACAATAGCTCATGTTATGGGCTGCATGGTGTCTCCCCAAATTCCTATGTTGAAGCCTTGACCCCCAGTAACTCAGAATGGGCCTGTATTTGGAAATAGGGGTTTTAAAGGGTAATTTAGTTTAAATGAGGTTATTGGGATGGGCCCTCATCTAATATGACTGGTGTCCTTATAAAAACAGACTACGGGCCGGGTGTCGTGGCTCACACCTGTCATCCCAGCACTTTGGGAGGCTGAGGTGGGCTGATCATAAGGTCAGGAGATCGAGACCATCCTGGCTAACACAGTGAAACCCCATCTCTGCTAAAAATACAAAAAAAAAATTAGCTGGGCATGGTGGCAGGCACCTGTAGTCCCAGCTACTGGGGAGGCTGAGGCAGGAGAATGGCATGAACCCAGGAGGCAGGGCTTGCAGTGAGCTGAGATCGTGCCACTGCACTCCAGCCTGGGCAACAGAGCGAGACTCTGTCTCAAAAAAAAAAGAGATTACGATACAGCCATGCACAGAGGGATGACTGTGTGGGGACAAAAAAGAAGACAGCCATCTGCAAGCCAAGGAGAGAGGTCTCGGGAGAACCCAACTCTGCTGATATCTTGAACTTGGACTTCCAGCCTCCACAACTGTGAGAAAGAAATTTCTCTTGTTGATAAGCCACCCAGACTGTGCTGTTTCATTATAGCAGCCCAAATGGACTAAGACATCATCTCTCTGCCAAAAGAGAAAGGGGAGTGAGTGGATTCCAGGACTGAGGAGAGTCAACCTGGAGAGGTGTCTAAGGGATGCCAGGCAGCCAAAAAAAGTACACTGGGGCCTTGTCAGTAAGACTGGTGGACTAGACAGCAGTGGAGCCTGAGAGGCAACAGGTTAGTGCTCCAAAACTTGTGAGAGGGAGGCAGGTGAGAAAAGGGGGACTCGGGATGCAGCATTAACACCAGCAAATGCAAGGCTCATGAGACTGGAGAGAACCTCAGACACCATACCGAAATCTTTGGTTAGCTGGCTCCAGTCTTGCTTGGAGATGGGGTCAGCAAGGTCCTTCAGAATGCCAGTGAACACAGGTCTCTAAGTAGCTCCCATCGCGGGCTCCAAGTCCTGTAGAAGAGAAGTCAGCAAGGTCAATGCATGAAGCCCCTTGGTGCATATCTGAGATATTTTCTCTACTACGGTAGCAAAGATGTAGTGCATCTGTACTTTCCAATATATATCTACGACTTTTGGTACATTCGACAGACATCTGTTCCGTGCTCTTAAGCACCTGCCAGCCATGGAGTTTCAGATGCATTTCTTAGATAAGCGAGCTTCTTTCCCATTGCAAATCACAGAGTGACAAAAGCACAGATCCTTGCTAGGGCTGCAGGCTGCTGGCAGTGTCACCCAAAGGCTGCTTTCTAAGGAAAACATTCTGCTGGGGTTTTTTTTTTGGACAACACGGTTTCATGTGCTCATTTATTTCACACCCATGTTTTAAAAATTATTCTTTTCGGCTGGAAATATATCTTCACCCATGATAATAGATGGAAATTGTGAGCTGCTTACAGTTCCCAAGTGACATTAGCATATGTACTGAGTTTCTTCTTGAATCCCACCCCTCCTCGCCTTTTTGCTTTTCCATCTTTTTCTGGTTCTTAGGAGGAAATTTTTAAAAGAACACACTGCCTGGATAATATATCTCATACTCACCTTCCTTCCTCCAACCTTCTTACTGGAGAAGGTGGAGAAGCTTCAGATTCCAGTCCTTCAACTTTATTTTCGGCCTGTAGGAGCATCCTATTCACACCTGTGCCCTCCTCCCCCTTTTCCTGACTTTGCCTAGCCAGCCCATACCTTCTCCTGCCTGGACAATTACAATGTCCTTACCTTCTCCAAGAGGCCCTGCAATCTTCAGTGTTTCCTTATAATCCATCATCCACACTGCAAACAGAGGTATCTCTCTAAAATTGTAAACTGGGTTGTGTTAAATTCTACTTCATGCTTCGGTGATCCTGTTACCTACAGAATACATCCAACCTCCTTACCACCATACTCATCTCTCACCCTCCTGCCATTTTACTCCAATACTGCATGTGATTTCAAGTCATTCTGCTGAGGCACATGGTTCTTTTCTCTTCCCCAAATACCCTTTTCTTCCTTGTCCAGCTGGCCCACCCCCAGTCACTCTTTGGGTCATGGCTCAAGCGTTGCTTACTCTTGGAAACATCTCAGCCCTCCTAAGCTGAACTGATCACTTCATCAGAGGCTCCTAGACAAACCCTGGCATGTGCCCCTGCGTGTCTCCAATGTCTGCCGCCTTGATGTCACCTGCTTGACCAAGTACCTGGCTACAAGGGCTGACATTCCTCTTCTTTGCAACTCCAGCATGAGCCCAGTGTTGGGCTCAAAGTAGACTCTTTTAAAATATATTGAGGCCAGGTGCAGTGGCTCATATGTGTAATGTCAGCACTTTGGAAGGCTGAGGTGGGAGGATAGCTTGGGTCAAGGAGTTCAAGACCAGCCTGGGCAACATAGTGAAACCTTGTCTCTACAAAAAATAAAAAAAATCAGCCAAGCATGATGGCACATGCCTGTAGTCCCAGCTACTCAGGAGGCTGAGATGAGATTATCGCATGAGCCCAGAGTAGTTCATGATTGCAGTGAACTGTGACCATACCACTGTATTCCAGCCTGTACTCCTGGGTGCCAGAGTGAGACTCTGTCCCCCAAAAAATAAATAAATAAAAATAAAATAAACTATTTGAATGAAAAAGATACATTGAAATGGTTTAGGTGGCTGATGGCAGTCGTAGGTCCTACTCTCTGTGTTTATTGGAAGGGTCACTCCAATTAAACAAATACTGATGGACCACTCATTCTGTGCCAGGTTCTCTCTGAGTACTGAAGGTACCCAGATGAACAAAACATCATTCCTTCACTGAGTGAGCACACACCTGAGCAGTGAAGACCAGCAAGGAATATCAATAGCACAAAATGATAGCTGCTATACTTATAGGAGCAGAATACCATGCCAAAGGCTCCCGAGCATAGCTGCACATCCAAATCTAGGAGTTTTAAAAAAATGTATGTCTTGATCTTATTGTTTATGTATTACTGCTTCACAAATTACTCCAAAACTTAGCAGCTTGAATCACAAACCTTTATTATATCACGACGTTGCTGTGGGTCTAGAGTGTGGCAGCAGTTTTCCTAGGTGGTGTTAGTATTGACACTGGGATTTCTCATGAGATTGCAGTCAAGATGTCAGTAGGGGCTTCTGTTATCTGAAGTCTTGACTGGGGCTGGAGCCTCTCACATAGCTGGCGAGGTGGTGCTGGCTGTTGGCAGGAGACCTCAGTTCCTCACCACGCGGACCTTTCTATAAAGCTTCTTGTGTGTCCTCATGATATGGTGGCTTTCCTCAGAGAGAGAGAGAGAGCAAGATAGAAGCCAAAATGCCATATATGGCCTAGATCCAGAAGTCACATTGCATTGTTTCCACAATATCCTACTGGTTACACAGGGCAGCTCTATTTGGTGAGTGAGATGGCTACACAAGATTGTGGATACTAGGAAGTAAAGATCAGAGGGAGCCATTGGAGGCCGGCTACAGCCTGACTCTTACCCCAGGGAATGAATTCAGTGTGCCTGGGTAGGGCCCAAGGTTCTGCTTATTTTGCCTTTTCTTTTCATTATCGTGGCTTTTTAACTTTTTATTGAAATATAATATACATACAGAAAAGTATACAAGTCACAAGTGTTATCACAAGGTGCATAATTTTTTACAAAAGACACACACCCATGGAATCTATACCCAGATCAAGAAACAGAGCATTGTTCAGGTGCAGTGGCTCATGCCTGTAATGTCAGCACTTTGGGAGGCTAAGGTAAGAGGATCACTTGAGCCCAGGAGTTCAAGACCAGCCTGGGCAACAAAGTGAGACTGTCTCCACAACTTGTTTTTAAATTAGACAAGTGTGGTGATGTATGTCTGTAGTCCCAGCTACTCAGCAGGCTGAGGTGGGAGGATTGCTTGTGCCCACGAGGTTGAGGCTGCAGTGAGCTGTGATCACACCATGCACTCCAGTATGGATGACAGAGTGAGTCCCTGTCTTAAAAAAAGAAAAAGAAAAAGAACATTGCCAGCTGCCACCTCTTCAGGGGCCCTCATTACACTCTCTTCCAATCACTAAACTCTCAAGAGTATGTCTTCATGACTTCTAACAACCTAGAATCATTTGTCTATTTCAAAACTTTATAAACATGGAATCATATAATAGGTACTTATTTGTATCTGGCTTCTTTTCACTTGACATTATGCTCATAAGAGTTTTCTGTATTGTTATGTGTGGCTGTTTTTATTAATTCTCATTCCTACATAGCAGCCCCTAGAGTTAAATACCTATTCTGCTGTGTACAAGTGTTTGGCTGCTATGCCCAATGCAGCCACGAATAGTCGTTTAAGTGTCTTCTGGTGAATATGTGTACCTTTTTATGTGGTGTATACACCTAGGAATAGAAATGCCGGGTCATTACAGCAGGCATATGTTCAGCTTTATGGAGACTGTAGAACAGGTTTTCAAAGTGGTCCTACCAATATACACTCCTATCAACAGTCGATGAGAGTTCCAGATCTCCAATACTTAGTATTTTCTGTCTTTTTGATTTTAGTCATTCTGGCTGGCATAAGGTGATATCTCATTTTGGTTTTAATTTGCATTTTCCTGATGACAAATGAAGTTAGCACATTTGCCTAGGTTTATTGGCCATTTGGACGTCCTCTTGAAGTGACTGTTCGTGTATTTTGCCCATTTTTCTATGGAGCAGCATGTCTTTTTCTTATAGATGTGTAGGAGTTCTTTATATATTCTGTATAAGAGTTTTTGTTAGATATACATATTAAAAATATCTCCTCCCATTCTATGGGTCACCTCTGACTCTCTTAATGGTATGGCTACCACCTTGTGCACCTGGGAGGCAGAGCTTGCAGTGAGCCGAGATTGCACCACTGCACTCCAGCCTGGGCGACAGAGCAAGACTCCATCTCAAAAAAAAAAAAAACAAAAAAAATCTTTGCCTACTTCTAGGTCATGAAAATGTTTTCCCTATTTTTTTTCTAAAATCTGTGTTGTTTTACTTTTAATATTTAGATGTGCAATCCATCTGCAATAGTTGTTTTGTTTGGTGTGAGGTAAGGATCGTGATTTTTTTTTTGCTTCATATGGAGATCTAATTGACATGAACCCATCTATTGAAAAGATGACCCTTCCCCACTGCACCTCCACATCACCAGTACTGTATTCAGGTGACTACATACATGTGTGTCTGCTTCTGGGCTCTCCATTCTGTTCCATTGGTCTACTTGTCTGTCGTTGCACCAGTACCATACTGTCTTAACTGTTACAGATGTACATAGGTTTTTATACTGGTGTTATAAGTCCTCCAGTTTTCTTGGAAACCTTTCCCTCCAAATCAGGAATGGTAAGGTTATTCACTGTCATCCCTTCCACTCACCATTGTCCAGACAGTCCCAGGACATGCAGCAAGACAAAAGGAGAAGTGCTGCAAGAATTGGAAAGGAAGGAAGAAAACTGTCCATATTTGCAGACAACATGATTGGATAATAAGTAAATTTACTGAGGCTATCAGATACAAGGCTAATATACAGAAAGCACATGTATTTCTATATATTAGCAAGACATGGAAAAACAGAAATTTCTAAGTAATACCATTTACAATGGCATCAAAAGCTACCAACTGGCTGTGCAAGGCCTCTCGTACACTGAGTACTACAAAAATTTATTGATAAATTGTATGGAGGGATATACTATGTTCTTGGACAGAAAGATGTAATATTTAATGTTGTCATAATCAAAATCCCAGCAAGGTGGGGTGTGTGTGTGTGTATATATATATATATATATACGTGTGTGTGTGTCTATGTGTGTATTTGAGTCCATCAGAGATAGGAACTCTCCAAGCAGTGGTTAGAATGGAAGCACATCCTTCCGCCTAAAAATAAAGAAAAGAAAAAAGAAAAGGAAGAGCTAGCTCTGGGAGGGCATTCCATAAAAGGGAAAGTGTTGGCATAACATCATGGATGTTAGCATGTGCAGAGCACATCCTAGGAACTTAAATAGCTTGGTTGGAGCTTAGGCTGAGTGAGGGTGGTATAATGAGAGATGGGGTGGGGAATGCCAACCAACAGCCAGAATGTTAAATATTTTAAATGCCAGGGATAATTCAAATTAGAGTATGAGCTTTATCGCTGGTTCCTTGGATTGCCCACACAATCCTTTTAAGCAAGGTAATAACATGCTTTGCACGTGTTAATTCGTAATCTCCACGATTATCCTGACAGGAGGTGTTATTATTATCATCCCCATTTCATAGATAGAGAATCTAAGGCAAAGAGAGGTTAAGAACTTGCGCAACCCAAGGACACAGCTCATCAGAGGGGAGACTTGGAGTTTGATCTCAGGCAGTCTGGCTCTAGCATCTCGAAATATTTTAGTCCCCACACTTTGCTGCCTCTGACTATTAAAACTTTATCAGACGGTGAACTTTGGCAACAGTATGAGGGTTGGTTTGAGGCTGTGATGAGAGAAAATATAGGCAGAGAGACTTCTTAGGAAGCAATCAGTGGCAAGTTTCTGAAATCGAGCAATGCCATTGGGAATGGAGAAGCAGGGATAGAGCTGACCAATGTCACTGAGCTGAGATGACAGATTTGCTAATTGGGGGTCACGGGACAGGAGAAGGGGAAAAGGGAACTCAATGAATAAACCCTGAATAAAGGTGGAAGTTGGCCGGGTGTCACCACATCTATAATCTCAGTACTTTGGGAGGCTGAGGCAGGCAGATCGCTTGAGGCCAGGAGTTCAAGATCAGAATGGTCAACATGGCAAAACCCCATCTCTACTAAAAATACATAAATCAGCCAGGGATGGTGATGTGCGCCTGTAATCCCAGCTACTCGGGAGGCTGAGGCAGGGGAATTGCTTGAACGCAGGAGGCGCATGTTACAGTGAGCTGAGATTGCATCACTGCACTCCAGCCTGGGTGACAGACCAAGATACAGGCGTACTTACACTTAGCGTTGTAGGTATGGAGGCCCTTGCTGTGGGTGTGGGAAAACAGGGTTTTCTATGACAACAGTGCAATAGCTCAAGTGTATATAGTTCTGTTCCCAAAAAGTCCCTAAGTCGTTTCCAAACCATAGCTTCAGCCTCACTTTCTTTAATGCTCAGGGCTCCATTCCTTCTTCTTTTCTTTGTCTCCGATTCATGTCCCATATAGAACAGTTCAGTAATTTATTTTTTGGTCTTAGCAAGGCTAATCCTTGCCCTCTGGACATCACTGTCCACACCAAGAGGCTTATCCAAGAAAGTTCACCTCCAAGAGGAACTATAGCACCAGGTGTTAGGATAATACATTTGCTGCTCCATCATAGCACGAAGGTCTTTCATTACTTCCTACATTTAACTTCAAAGGGTCCACCTTCCACCCTGAAGCCTCCCTCTGGTGTCTTCAACTGTGGGGTGTTATAGTCATGTGTCGACTCTGTGTTTTCATTTGTAAACTGAAACTTTAATCCAGCTCTCTTAAATGTTAGAACGAGTTGAAAAATCGCTTAGGGAGCTTGTAGAAATGCAGGGTCCTGGACTTCCCTCCTAAAAATAGTCCTTTTTACTATGCCTGGAGTAGGATCAAGATAGCTCTCTTTTTGACGATTTTTAAACCCCAGCCTCTGTTCCAGATGGTTTTGAGGAAGGTGGTTCTCACACCACACTGAGAGGCATTGCTGTAGTGGGTGGTGGGGATGCTTCCACCTCCCGTGCAGTAAGCCCTTTCCAACCCCCTGAGTGAGGGCCTGGATAAGCACTTGACATAGTGGCTCATTCTGCCAGCAACTCAGTGAAAGAGACGCTATTATTAGCCCATTTCACAGGGAGGAGAGAGTGGCTCAGAACGATCAACCTGGTCCAGGTTTCACCGCTAGTTCATTGATTCACTCACTCATTTATGCTCCATCATATGCTAGACCCTATCCTGGGGGCCAGTAGGTGTCAGAGGAAAGGTATGAACTTAGAACTCCAAACCTACATTCTTTACCACCATGGCATAATGTCTTCCTGAAGCATTGTGATGTGGAGGCCTTGTGTGACCGGGCAAAGGATGTAGGAAATAGGGAGGCCCCATCTGGCTGACCTGTGCTGGCTCCCAGGGAGGTACTGGGGGGCCTGTGGACCTGCAGAGGGCATCCACGGCCAAGCATACACTCTGCAGGTGGAAGGTGTGGGGCCACTGGGACCAAGGAAGGCACCGCGACATCAGGAGAGGAAGAAACAGAACCCACCCGAGCTGGGGGTGCTGAGATTGAAGGAGAGAGTGGAGGTAATGTTAGAGCCATCTACTTTCCCCCAAATTCCTCTTTCTTTCCGGCTCTTCCTTCCCGAGTCCTCTCTGCCTCCTTCTATTCATCTTCCTTGTTCCTTCTTCAGCCTCCCCTTCTCACTCTTCCTTCTCTCTTGATCATCTCTTCTCTCCCTCTCTGGCTACCTGTCCTGGGAGGTCTGAATCGCTGTGGTAACAGCTGTATCTCCCAGCCCCTGCAGCTCTCCTGCAACTCCCCTCCCCACTGCTGGGGACATTTTAGGACTCTCTGAGGTCACCCCTGAGTCCCTGGACCAATCATGACAGAAGACAATGCCAACCCTCACCTGAGCCCAACTTGTGTTTGAAGGACCAGGCAGGGAGCTAAGAAGTACAGAGGGAAACGAGGTCTGTGTCTCCAAGACCCCATGGACACAAAATGCAGAGGGTGGGGATGGGTCATGGTATAAAGTGGGAAAATGGTATGAGATAGGTACGAAGGATTCCACCCAAATGTCCTCATATCCCGCCAGGTTTTCTACGTCCTGACTGTCATTGCCTTGGTCCATTGTTCATCTGGACCGTTGTCCACCTGGATTCCTGCAGAGACCTCCTTTAGACCCTGGGTGTGCATCAGTATCCCTGGAGGGCTTGTCAAACATAGATTTGCTGGTGCCACCACCAGCATTTCAGATCCAGTAGGTCTGGGGTGGGGCCTGATCATTCACACTTCTAATAATTCCAGGTGTGGCTGCTGCCCCTGGCCCAAGCACCACAATTAGAGAATCTCTGTTCCAACTGATCTTAGACCCAGCTCTCACCATTCTAGCCACTACATTATAAGCGGTATGCATTATTATTATTTTTTACTTCTTTATTTTTTTTGAAACAGGGTCTTGTTCTGTCGCCCAGGCTGGAGTACAGTGGTGCGATCTCATCTCACTGCAGCCTCAAACTCCTGGGCTCAAACAATCCTCCCACCTCAGCCTCCGGAATAGGTAGGACCACGCCTGGCTAAGTTTTTAATTTTTTGTAGAGATGGGGGTCTCACTATGCTGCCCAGGATGGTATCAAACTCCTGGTCTCAAGCAATCTTCCTGCCTTGACCTCTCAAAGTGCTGGGATTACAGGCGTAAGCCACCACATCCAACCAGAGTTATTATTAGTTTTTAAATAGAAATCTGATCATATTTCTCTCCTGCTTAAAACCAGTTAGTGTTTTTACCTTTGTTTGCAGGTTCACCTCAGGCCTTTGAGTCTATCCTGCCAAAAATTCTGGCCCTGTTCCCTGGAACCCAGGCGAGCTGCTCACTGACGGGCTCTCCGCTCACTGACAGGCTCTCCACGGCTGTGCTGCTTTGTTCTTGCCGTTCCTTCTCCCTGGGATGCCCATCCCCTTCCTCTGCCTGCTAACTCCTAGCTGTCTTCAGGACCTCCTTGGCTCCTCACCCCTGGAAGCCTTTCTTGCTCTCCCCTTCTCTCCACACCCCCATGCATCCTGAGCACCCCTTGCCCACAGTTGCTCGTCTCTACCATACTGGTACATCCTCCTTGCCTTTCTGACCCCCTTCCTCCTCCACGCACACACTGGGCGTTCAGCAGTTGATACCTGTGCCCAGATCACCCGTTGTCTGTCTTATAGTCCCCTCCAGGCTCTCATGGTGCATGCATTCCTGTGTTCATTTGTTTATTCATGACCCAGATCACTTACACAGCTGTACACCCACTTCCTTCTGAAGCACCAGCCTCGAGGCACTTCTGTTGGAGTCTCACCAAGACACAGGCTCTGGATCTGAGCCTCTTCCTTGGGGCTCATTTCCCTTCCAGCCTTCTGTCTACTGATCTGCCTTGACCACAGTCCCCTTCTAGGGGATGCGACAGTAGATGCTCTGGAACGTTTGCCTCCACTTCCATGTTTTCAGCGTTGGTGGTGCCATCTATAAAAGCAAATTTCCCAGCAGAGTGAGCCCCCCTCATTGGTCCAGGTAAACCCTGCTGGGCTCCCAGCCCTGTGAGAGTGGGAATTTCAGCAAAAGCGGGGCAGAGCCGTCTATGTAAAAAAGGCAAATATCTGTTCCTTAGCGCTGTCAGCAGCACAATAGCAGCAGTCCCTATTTTAAACCCTTGGAGAATTTGATCTTAATTATATGGTGTGCAGAGGCACTAATAAGTTTACAAAACTGCCAGCAACACTAAACACATATGTCTCAGAAAACGCTACCCCTTTCTTTGCTTATTGTAGGACTCGGAATGTGGGTAATTGTGAACAATTAAGAGGGAGTGACCAAACGGTGATTCAAGGGAAGCCTCTAGATAGGTTGGTGGAAGCAGCAAGTCTGCAGGGGGAGGAAGGGCACTTGGAGGCTAGGGAGGTGGCCCGGAGCCTACAACGGCAGGAATTGCAGTTGAATGGGATCCAGAAAAGCTCATCAAGAAAGCCAAGACATGTCTGTAATCCCAGCACTTTGGGAGGACAAGGCGGGTGGATCACTTGAGGTCAGGAGTTTGAGACCAGCTTGGCCAACATGGCAAACCCCTGTCTCTACTAAAAATACAAAAATTAGGTGGGCATGGTGGTGGGCACCTGTAATCCCAGCTACTCAGGAGCCTGGGGCAGGAGAACTGCTCGAACCCGGGAAGTGGAGGTTGCAACGAGCTGAGATCGCGCCACTTCACTCCAGCCTGGGCGAAAGAGCAAAACTCCATTTCAAAAAAAAAGGCAAACCAAGATATTGTTCTTTCTTACTTCAGATGGGTACCAAGAGGCCCAGTGATAGGTTTGAGGGTTTCAGAAAAAAAAGGCTGTGTAGCAAATCCAAGCTTCTGCTACCAGCCCCTTGTACCATGGTGGAGTAGAATCAGCGTGGGCCTTGGAATCCACAGTTTGCATGACTCCCAGCTTGGCTCTGCTGCTCGGCAGCTAAATGCCATCGTGCTGGTTACCGTGGCTGTTTCTTGGCTTCTTCATCGTAGAAAGGGGGAAATCCCTGCCTCCTGGGAGTCATGGTAGCACTAACAAGCACGTGTGAAGCCTTAAGCAGATGTCTCGGCGCACAGTAGGTACGTGAATCACATTCATTCATTTCATTCTCTGCCTCCTTTCTTTGCAAGCAGATAAAATGCTTTTATCAAGGTCTTCTATGACTGGTACATTTCCAGGCCCATAGGAGGTACTTGATCAATATTTACTCAAGGAAGGAACGAATAATCAGTAAATACTGTTTGCTACTAAGTCAAGGAACTCAAGCACAGAGAGGTTAAGTAACTGGGCTAAAGCACACAGGAAGTAGATGATAAGCTGGCCTTTAGTCATAGCGGGGGTCCGGATTCAGCACAACTCAAATTCAATCTAGGGCAGAACCCAACTACAGCATGAGGCTGGGCTATATTCCCTGATCTTTATCCTGAAATTGCAATATTTTACAAGAACACTTATTTCACAGAGGAAAAAAGGAAACACCCCAAAAGCTGAGGGAGTGTGAACGCCTGATTACAGGCTTCTTTGGATAGAATACAAACTTTGCTTCTGTGATACGTGTGTTTAGGCAGATTAAACTCATGTTTGATTACAAACCCCAGGATAAAAGGAAAATAAATATGTTCATAAAGCCGAGGAATTCTCAAAGGGAGGAAGACAAAAAATCATCAGTTAATACTCTGATGGCTGCCTCTAGAAGAGTCTAGGATAGATCCCACCGAGGCATCCCTGTGCTCAGAGCCCCCCTGTGTTCCCCATTTCCCCCACACTATTCACTCTTCCAAGCATGGTGTTCGTGACCCTCTAGTTGTGTCTGAATCCAGGACACGTTCTGGCTTCATCTCTCCAACTTTCCCCTCCCACACCAAGCCTAAGCCAAGCATCAGACTGCCTCCTGGGCCCTGAAGACCTGAGCTTTGCTGCCCAAAGGCCTTTGCCCCTCTTCTCCTTAACCTGTTGGGAAATACTAATCAGTCTTTAAAGCCCAATTGAAATGTATAAATTCCCTCAAAGTCCTCTCCTAGCTCCTTGACAGGAAACAATTGTTTCCTCTGCAGTCCTAAAGCACTTGGTAGTTTTCCTGTTCCATTCATCGAAATCTGCCTTTTATTAAAATATTAAATTTATCTGGGCATGTGTCTGATTTACCCCTGAATGTGTAAACACACTCTTGTCCCCTACCTTCAGAATCCTGAACACTGAATAAGTGTTCAAAGAATGTGACTGGATGGGAACCTCTTTAAATGAACAAAATAGAGGCCCAGGTGATTCAGGTATGTCATGCAGTGAGGTTTTATGCAGTCATTCCAAAAGTCATGTGCATATTTAAAGATACAGGCATATAGCTGGTAGCCTTTAATTTCTACTGCTCTGGCATGGCCACAGCTACTCACTGAACATTCCATCTGCTTGTATTTTTCCTGTCCCCTTGCAGTGAGTTATGCAGGATCATGTGAATATTCTAGCCAATGGAACATCAGCACGAACCATTTGCTAAGGCAGTGAAAAGTCCTTGTGTGACTCTCTGGGTTTCTTTCTTTTGCTGCAGTGACTGAGACAGCCAGATAGTCCAGCTACAAAATGGCAATACCTCCATCACCTGGATACCTGAGTGACCACACGGAGCAGAGGCACATGTAGGCTAATGTGCCAATCAAGTGATATTACACTGTATACATACAGTGCCTAAAACAGCCCTTGGCTTATTGTAGGTACTTGACAAATGCTAGCTCCCATCTTCCCTTTCATTCTTCCATGTGGCAGACTTAAAACCGTCCATTTGTAAACCCAGTTATTTAACAGAAGGAGCCCAGGATAAATAAGTTGAGATGGAGGATTCAGAGGTCCACAGCATGAGGTGTTGCTGTAAGAGTGGGCCAGGTAAGCTGTGACGGTGGAAACTCTGGGAGGACCTGCGTGGATGAAGAAACGGGGAGCCTGAGGGTGCCCCTAACTTGGTAGTTTGACATTTGGCTTGCCTGTCCTCTCTTACGTATTGATAGCGTTCAGTCCTCGCCCCGGTGGGGCAGAGGATAAGGGAGACAGAGAGGAATCTCTGGACTTCCACCATGACAGCAGAAGAGAGATCTAGAGGGTGGTGTGTAGGGATAAAAGGTTATAAAGGGAGTGAGGTTTAGGAGCCTGCAGAGAAAGAAAAGCATCCCACTTAATCCTATTTGTCCTATGGGAGTTTTCCAAAGCCAGACAAAGAAAATTCTATCTAACGTCCGGTCTCCACGCGCACACTGTCCAGGACAGTCTTTATGTTCTTTTTTAACTCAGCATACACTTGGCTGCACAGATTTTAAGAAGGAAAAAGGTTGTTTTAATAGTGTTAATGGGGGGTGATGGGCGAATCATAATCTTTAACCAAAATGGCTCACTCATTTGTGCAGCTATTGAAAGCTAAGGTTCTTTGGTAGGGATAGAAGAAAAGGACTGGAAATAGCTTGCCGCCCACCTACTCTGCAGGAGTGCTGTGTGCATTTGTGAGGGGATGCTTGGCGCTGTGAACTCCGGGGAAGGAAGTTGCTTTGCCAATCCCAAATATTATTGTGACTTGCTTAGGCAGAGATGAAGGAGCGATGGGGGTGGGAGGCTGGCTACAGCATGGGGTGTTTTTCTTTTGGGGCTCCCAAGATACTTCAGAAGCAAAACTCCTGCTGAGAAAGACCCCAAGGAGAATGGAATATATACTCTGGAATCTTATTCCTATGAGCCCCTGGTCGAGAAACAGTGCCTTGTTGTGGCTTCATGTCTTCATGTATCCCAGCTGCTGACTTTTAACCTTATTGAAGGAAGGACACATGCGGATCTTGCAAATAACTTAAAGCTTGTTAGAAAAATGGAATGAAGTAAATAACATTAGAGTAATAATGTAATGAAAGCAGAGCATGAACATTTTGTATCGTCATCCTTGCAAAATAGCTTAAAGTGCTTCTCAGGAAGGACTGCACTGGTATAAAGCTGTGCGTGGAACTACTGAAGTGCAGTTGGGTGGCAGAAAATAATCACAATAATTATCACTGTCTTGCATTTGGAAAGCAGTTTAGAACTTACAAAGCACATTCCACATGCTTCATCTCCCGTTAATCCTATAGCACGGCATTTAGGAGAACACTCGGGATGCTCTCCACTTCAGAGGCAGGAACCATGAGGCCCACCCAGGTGAAGGGATTGGGCATCACGGCTAGTAAAATCCTCCTGCGTCCAATCCATTTTGGTTCCACCAAACAAAAATTCAAAAACAAAATACACCAAGAAAAAGAACAAAGACGCATAATCAGTGATTTAAAAAGCAGCTTGTAACATGGTAAGGAAAGGCTTTACAGAGAGAGACTTCCACAGTGATTTCTAAACACATTTTGTTTTGTTCTTTGCTTAAGGAAACCATGCTATGGTTTGGTGGAGGAGAGAGGAAAGTAGGCTTTTTTTTTTTTTAATATACGTAGAAAAATGGAATTTAGAGAGCTCGAAAGGCAGGAGGGAAGATGGCATTGCACTGAGCTGAAGAGACAATAGACCCAGGAGGTGGGAAGACAGGCCTCTTAGATAAATTAGTGGAAATGTTAATTTAACTCAAGAAGAAATTAGGCCAGGCATGGTGGCTCACACCTGTAATTCCAGCACTTTGAGAGGTCCAGGCAGGAGGATCAATTGAGCCCAGGAGTCTGAGGCCAGCCTTGGCAACCTGGTGAAACCCATCGTTACAAAAAAATACAAAAATTAGCCAGGTGTGGTGGCACACATCTGTAATACCAGCTACTTAGGAGGCTGAGGTGAGAGGATTGTGTGAGCCTGGGAAGTTGAGGCTGCAGTGAACCAAGATCACACCACTGCAGTGCAGCTGTCTCAAAAAAAAAAAAAAAAAAAGCCATTAGAAGCCCATGTAGGTTTCTGAGAAAGGGCATGACAGCAGCAAACCGCTTGAGAGATGATTCTTATGGCACCCCAAAACATGAAAAGGGGAAATGTGTGTGCAATTGGAGAACATTATGGAGGAAGGAAGGACAGACAGGACTTTGTGACAGAACCAACTAAAAGGAAGACAGGGAGCAGTCACACCTGACAGAGTCCAGAGCAGTAGGCTGGGGATGGGGCATGCTGGAAGCTGCCAATCAGAGTCGCCTAGAAGCTCATCTGCACCACAAGAACTCATCCTCTTCACCCACCTGTGCTCGAACCTACCCTTCCAATTCCACATAGACTCTCTGGAGGTAAGGTGTTGATATGGTTTCGGTCTGTGTCCTTGCCCAAATCTCATGTTGAATTGTAATCCCCAAGGCTAAAGGAGGGGGCTGGTGGGAGGTGATTGGATCATGGGGGCAGATTCCCCCTTGCTGTTCTTGTGATGGTGAGTCAGTTCTCATGAGATCTGGTTGTTTAAAAGTGTGTAGCATTTCCTCCTTCTCCCTCTTCCTCCTGCTTCAGCCATGTAACACGTGCATGCTTCCCCTTCAACTTCTACCATGATTGTAAGTTTCCTGAGGCCTCCCCAGCCATGCTACCTGTACAGCTTGCAGAACTGTGAACCAATCAAACCTCTTTTCTTTATAAATTACTCAGACTCAGGCAGTTCTTTATAGCAGTGCAAGAATAAACTAATACAGGTGTGTATTGGGAAGAGCTCCCCGGGTAATTCCCCCTTGGGTTACCAAGGCATGGGATAAAAGGATAAAAATTAAGACCCCAGTGCCAGAAGAGCTTAGGTCTAACACGAGTAGATAGGAAACATGAACTGCAACTGGCAGTGCTATGTGATAGGGTGGGGTATGTAGAGAAGGCTCTAGGAACTCACATGACAGGGATGGTTCACCCTACATAGAGAAGGGGAGAGTCAGGAAAAGAGACAGTTGAGCTGTTCTCAATCCTAGCTGACTATTTCAAATAACCAATTAAATCAGGCTGGAGGGCTCCGGGCGTGGGGTGGTGGTGGGGGGACGGGGCGGGGTTGCCTGGGTAATGAGCTGTTTTTTTGCACGTGGTTCTAATGGAACCAGGGTTGACAACAGCTGTCAGATTTTTTTTTTGAGACAGGGTCTCGCACTGTTACCCAGGCAGGAGTGTGGTGGCACCATCACTGCTCAATGTAGCCTCAAACTCCTGGGCTCCAGTGATCCTCCCACCTCAGGCTCCTGAGTAGCTGGGACCACAGGTGCGTGCCACAGCACCCAGCCAATTTTTTTTGGGGGATGGAGTCTCTCTCTGTTGCCCAGGCTGGAGTGCAATGGCGCGATCTCGGCTCACTGCAAGCTCCGCCTCCTGGGTTCGCACCATTCTCCTAACTCAGCCTCCCAAGTAGTTGGGACTGCAGGCGCCCGCCACCACGCCCGAGCTAATGTTTTGTGTATTTTTAGTAGAGACGGGGTTTCACCGTGTTAGCCAGGATGGACTCGATCTCCTGACCTCGTGATCCGCCCGCCTTGGCCTCCCAAAGTGCTGGGATTACAGGCGCGAGCCTCGGCGCCCGGCCACTTTTTGTAATTTTTTCTAGAGATGAGGTTTTTGTTTTGCCATGTTGCTCAGGGTGGTCTCAAACTCCTAGGCTCAAGTGAACCACCCGCCTCAGCTTCTGAAAGTGTGGGGATTACAGGCATGAGCCATTGTGCCTGACCCATAAACCATTTTTTGGAAGAGAGCTATGACACAGCTATGTTTTATAACAATTCTGGTGGGGGAGTGATCTGGTTAGGCTTTGTGTTCCCATGTATGGAGAGAGGGGAGTGATAGGATTGTGAGGGTGGTTTCCCATGTTATTCTCACGATAGTGAGTGAATTCTCACGAGATCTGCCGGTTTTATAAATGGTAGTTTTTCCTGCTCTCTCACACGCTGTTTTTCACCTGCCACCACGTAATACGTGCCTGCTTCGCCTTCCACCATGGTTCTAAGTTTCCTGAGGACTCCCCGGCCATGTGGAACAGTGAGCCAATTAAACCTCTTTCCTTTATGAATTACCTAGTCTCAGGTAGTATCTTTATAGTGGTTTGAGAATGGACTAATACAGAGAGGATGCGTAAAAAGAGATGCAAAAATTTCCAACATTTGGCTAAATTTATTCGGGCTATGGGGCCCCCTTTTGCCTGCAGTGGTGATAAGGCAATGGCCAGTGAATCTTAGAAAAACGGTATGTTTGAAAGCCACAAAAATGATTGTCTTACTTCTCCATGAGATTTTTGTTTGTTTAAATAAAATGAAAGCTGATACAGTACACTTCCCTTCCAAATTCCAAAGTCTGGAGTTGCCTCACCTCTAGCTAATTGAAGGTTATGAAAATAAGTGATTTCAAAAACACCTGTCCTTCCAATTCAGGACGTAAAATCCATCCCATCCTCAATTTTTGTAAGAGTTTCAGGCAGTGTAATCATATTTTAAGTATCGATCCAGGCACTTGGAAAAGCAGTTCTAGTAAATGAGGTAGGTCTTTGCCTTTGGACTAATGTAAGCACGGAGGGCGGCTATTTTCTTCCTCTTCCTGGCCCTGTTCCTGCCTTCCTTAAGAAATCTTTGTATTAAATTGAAGTTTCTTTTCATTGTTTATAGTTTTTAATTGAAAACCTTTAGTTCTCTTTTCATATTAAAATACGGGTGAATTAAAGTTTATATTTAACCCTTTTACACCTGTAATCCCAGCACTTTGACAGGAAGATCGCTAGATACCTGGGCAACATAGCAAGACCCTGTCTCTACAAAATTTTAAAATTAGCTGGGTGTGATGGCATGCACCTGTGGTCCCAGCTACTCAGGAGGCTGAGGCAGGAGGATTGAGTGAGCCCACGAGATTGAGGTTACAGCAGCCATTTCTGTGCCACTGCACTCCAGCCTGGGCAACAGAGTGAGACCTTGTCTCAAAAAACAAACAAACAAAACAACAACAACAACAACAACAACAAAACACCCTTTTAAAAACCATTAAATTAAGTTGATTTTTACATGTATGTTCTTGGATTTTACCCTTCTCTTCTCCTTCTATGAATACAAGATACTCATAGATATCTCTTAGTACAAAGTACACAAACACAGACACCGTTTCCAGATGGTCGTACAAGTTTAATGGTGGGTAGGAGCACTGTAGACCTGAGTTTACAGACGCTTCATTTTATTTTTAGACTCCTCAGATGGATTTCCTTCCTCAATGTAATCCAGCATTCATTAAATGCCCAGTAGACCAGGCCTGGGGGTGAGGGGCAGAGAGATGAATAAGCTAGGCTTTGCACACTCCTGATCTTCCTACTAAATTTAAGATATAAGTATGGGAACGAGATTATTTTTTCTATTTTAGTGTAATGAAACTGGGGCCCAAAAAGGTTCAGGGCATCGATTGAAGCTTATAGGAGTGGATCCAACAAGACCCTTCTGCCTTGGACCCCATCCAATCGTTCTGTTACATGATGTGTTTCAAGAATGCCTGAGTCAATGGGGAGGTGGCAGTAATTCATCATTTACTTTACTCTTACAGAAAAATTGGCATTTCCGTTATGTACTGTTTTTCTGAGCTTTTTAAGCATGGACTAAAAAAAATGATAGAACCTACCTGGTAAAGTGCTTATTAAGTGTAGGGTATCAAATATTATACCTTTAACTGTTTCCCATTAGAAAAGACCAAAATGTTTTAATAAAACATTTTAATAAATGTTTTTTAAATGTTCAATATTTTACTTAACATCCTTTTAGACTCATTACAGACCATTAAAAAGTATTAATTGACCAGGGACTATTAAATTCCATATGATTTGTACTTATGTTTTTAAAATTGTGTGAGCACTGACAACAGTGCTGACGATTTTACATTTTCACATAACTACCCTAAAACTTTGAAGTTTCTTAACTATTAAACAATAAAACACTAAAATCCTATAATAAATTCTGGCAAAACCCAAACCACTGTTTTATACCTTAAAAAATCCTAAAGGAATCCTATAATTATTATATTTTTTTTTTTTTTGAGATGGAGTCTCGCTCTGTCACCCAGGCTGGAGTGCAGTGGCGCAATCTCGGCTCACTGCAACCTCTGCCTCCTGGGTTCAAGTGATTCTCCTGCCTCAACCTCCTGAGTAGCTGGGGCTACAGGCACCCGCCACCATACCTGGCTAATTATTTTTGCATTTTTAGTAGAGACAGGGTTTCGCCATGTTGGCCAGGCTGGTCTTGAGCTCCTGATTTCAGGTGATCCACCCGCCTTGGCCTGCCAAAGTGCTGGGATTACAGGCATGAGCCACCGTGCCTGGCCAGAATCCTCTAATTCTTTATGTCTCAACTCACTCTTGAACTTCGTTAAGAAAAAAAGGCAACCATAAGTTTCTGAGCTGTTAGACACATAAATTGTGGTATTGTCCCTTTTTACTTATTTCTTTGTTTTCTTCATGCATGCAATAAATCTTCCTTTTTCTGTTAGATAGTAGAAGTGACTCCTAAAACTTGCTTAAATTAATCTAAGTAAAGTGTAATTCATTAGCTTCATATTTTGTGTTTTCAAAGTTGAAATTTTAGCCACAGCAGTATCAAGGATTCCACTCTATTTCCTACCCCAACCTTGACAGGTTCTCTTATAATTATACTTCAACTGCTGGAAATACTGGAAATAGCATGAACTTTATATTAAGGTGGGCCTGAATTAAAGTCCCAGCTTCACCACTTTTTGGCTGGGTGACTTGGGCAAATTACTTCTCTGGGTCTGTTTCCTCATGGGCAAAATGAGAATACTTTATCTTCAGGAGAGTGGTAAAAATTAAGTAATAATGAGTGTTGAACTCCTAGCCCAGTGCATGGTGCAAGTAAGTTCACTGAGGTGAGTTTTCTTGTCTTTTTCTGGTAAGCAAAGAAATAAACAGACAAACAAAAATCTTACCTAGCACCTGTTTCTTCTAAGTCACAAATCACATTCATAGACTTTTCATCCCAAATCAGACATCTTCAAATGTGCACTCTACAAGAGCTGGCTCTTATCTCTATTCTCTAGAAAACGAGGAGCTTTGTTAACTCTCCTCTCCTTTGGGAAATGCTAGCTTTCACTTCAGAAAGCAGAATCTTAGGAGTTTGAAATAAACATTTTAAAAGCCAGTTTGGTTGCAATTTTAAGTACATTAAGAGTATATTTTATTAATTTTTTTTTTTTTGAGAGACTGAGTCTCACTCTGTCACCCAGGCTGGAGTGCAGTGGTCGATCTCAGCTCACTGCAACCTCTGCCTCCCAGGTTCAAGCAATTCTCATGCCTCAGCCTCCCAAGTAGCTGGGAATACAGGCATGTGGCACCATGCCCAGCTAAGTTTTGTATTTTTGGTAGAGACAGGATTTCACCATGTTGGCCAGGCTGGTCTCATACTCCTGATCTCAAGTGACTCACCCACCTTGGCCTCCCAAAGTGCTGGGATTACAGGTGTGAGCCACTGTACTCAGCCAAAAAATTTTTTTTAAATAATAGTGAATATTGAAGATGGATGTTCTTATCAGTGGAGACCCATCAATGGGTATAAATGGTAAATCTGTTTGTTCTGGAGTTTTATGAAATTTCCTGCCCAGAATGCTCCTTCTCTTGGGGGCTGAACCTTCCTGGAGCCTTCCCTGAAATGTTCTGACCAAACTCATCCCCCACTACCCCAACCATAATTAACTGGCCCAAGAGAGGGCACCTGGAAGCGGAGCCAATGAATTCTTTCTCTACAGTTTTTGACCTATGGGCAAAAGAGGTCAATTAGCATCTGGTGTTACAAACTACAACATGTGAAATTTGAGAACAATATGGACACACTTCCTACCACATGGATAAATCTGGTGAAACAAGTAGAGATGAAAGATGGGTAGGGGGCCAGGCATGGTGGCTCACAGGTGTAATCCCAGCACTTTGGGAGGCTGAGGTGGCCGGATCCCCTGAGGTCAGGAGTTTGAGGCCAGCCTGGCCAACATGGTGAAACCCCATCTTTACTAAAAATACAAAAATTAGCTGGGCGTGGTGGCAGGCGCCTGTAATCCCAGCTACTGGGGAAGCTGAGGCAGGAGAATTGCTTGAACGCAGGAGGCGGAGGTTACGGTGAGCTGAGATCATGCCACTGCACTCCAGCCTGGGCGACCGAGTGAGACTCTGTCTCATAAGAAGGAAAAAAGGATGGAGAGTGAATCTTGGGAGTCTCAGTGCCAGTCGCCACATCCTCCCGCTCTCAAGTGAACTTGTAATTCTTCAGTAGCTGCCAGCCTGGAGGATTTGCTTTGAGACAGGGTCTCACTCTGTCACCCAGGCTGGAGTGCAGTGGTGCGATCATGGCTGGCTTCAACCTCAGCCTCCTGGGCTCAAGCAATCCTCTTGCCTCAGCCCCCTGAATAGCTGGGACTATAGGACTATAGGTATGTACCACCATGCCTGGCTAATTTTTGTATTTTTTGTAGATTCAGGGTTTTGCCACGTTGCCCAGGCTGGTCTCAAGTTCCTGGGCTCAAGCGATCCACGCACCTTGGCCTCCCAAAGTGTTGTGATTACAGGCGTGAGCCACCACACCCAGCCAAGGGTTTGCTTTTCTTTCTTCCTGAGATAAAGCATTTTGAGTGTGAAAGTGGGAGACAGGGGAAAAGAGGGAAAGTAAGTTCTCTCTTCTTTAGGAAAATCTTCCAGAGAGGGAGGTGGTTTTAAATCAGTCAATCTACCCATAACAGAATCTAGCATCACCACGAGTTACTGGAAAGTTTGCAGATTACAGCCTGCCCTAACTGATTTACTGGGTAGTCTTCCTTATATATTATTCATGGCTCCTCCTCTTTGGCTCATTGGCTCATGCCATTGATAGTGTACTCATTTGGGGCAAGGATCAGAAGACTAAAAGTGTGTGTTTCAGGACATGTGTAGCACAATATTTAAAAATTAAGTAAATTACAGCTAATACTTCTTGTGTGCCTACTATGTTCTATGCACCCTTGCAAAGCTTTCTACATTTCAGCTCATTTCTCTTTTACAACCATCTATGTCAAGGTCATTGTTGTCATCCTTATTTTATAGTTGAAGAAACTGTTGCACAGAGGGGCTAAGTAGCTTGTCCAGGGTCACCTAGGTGATGTGGGGTAGAATCAGAATTCAAATCCAGGCAGCCTGGCTCCAGAATCCTGGCTCTTACTGCCCATGGGATATGGTATATGTGGTTTTCCTTTAATGACCAGATACAGGATTTGGTGCTTCATGACAGTACTTCCTGAGCCCTGTGGGATTGCTGGATTCCTCCTGGGGAGAGAAGGTGGTTTTAGACCTGCTGCCATTATCTGCCTATGGTGGTTCAAAAGCTCAGGGATTTGTCCAGCCACTGATAACTGAAGTTTGTTGGAATAACGTAAGCTGCGGCCCTAAGAGCATTATTCCAATTATTCTGTATGAAATTCTGTAGAATTCTATAAGAATTTCCTTATACACAGTAAACATCTAATACCTAAGCAATGAATTAAAAATGGAGCAACAACTAGTTATAAAGACTATCTCAATGTATAATAGGGATTGGACATTGGCCATTTCTGGGTGGTAAGAATACTGATGATTTTTACTTTGTTTTTCAAGTTTTTGTTGGTTTGTTTGTTTGTTTGAGATGGAGCCTCGCTCTGTCGCCCAGGCTGGAGTGATGTGGTGTGATCTCCACTCACTGCAACCTCTGCCTCCCGGGTTCAAAGAAATTCTCCTGCCTCAGCCTCCTGAGTAGCTGGGATTACAGGCAACCACCACCACGCCCAGCTAATTTTTGTATTTTTAGTACAGATGAGGTTTCACCACGTTGGCCAGGCTGGTCTTGAATTCCTGACTTCAGGTGATCCACCTGCCTCAGCCTCCCAAAGTGCTGGGATTACAGGCGTTAGCCACCGCACCCAGCCTGTATTTCAAGTTTTTAGCCAATTACGTGTATCCTTATTTTCAAATCAGAAAAAAAGTATTTTTTAAAAGAAGACATTTAGATGCAATAATTATCTTGTGTCAGTTTTTGTTTCATTTTTGTGTTTTATACTCCAAAATAAATGTTTTACTTTGCATGTTGCATGTCCTAAGTGTAAAGTTTTATGTAAAGTCAGTAAATACCTGTTGCCATATTTGTCAATATATTCCATTTTCATAAGACCCTGTCATTCTTGATTTTTAAAAAATCATAAAATTTAAAAATATAATAATAGATGAAACTCTTAGAATAATGGAATTACATATACGCATTAATCATATGTAACTAGTAGTTTAAGACCCTAATTTTTCTTACATTTTTTGTTTCTTTCAATTCAAGCAAATGCTTCATCACCCCAGGGAAGCTTTCTGCAGGCAGGAAGCGGGAAGAATCTATCAGCTTTCCAGGCCTTCATTTAGAAATGGCTTCATTAAGAACTATAGGGTATGAAGAGCAAGGGCCTTTCCAAAACAAAGAAGACCTTCCCATATGGATGACAGAAGTGAAGACTAGGGGTGTTAGAATAGCAGAGGCCTCTGTCACTCCCCTAGGGGTGCAGGGAGACGTGGTGCTATCTTGCATGGGGTATGGTGTAATTGGAATGTGGGGCCCTGGGCACTAGAGGGTCCTGGTCTTATAAATGAGTCCTGATAGCCCAACACTGCCTAAAAACAGCAGAGAGCAGTAGGCGCGCAGGACCTGGCACTCGGTGGTCAGAGATGAGGCTCTTATCTCTGTGTGGATGACTGGCTTATGGCCAGAAGGAGAAGCCCCGTACCAGCCTGTTATAGACTGAGATGTTACCTCTTAAAACCTATGTGTTGAATACGACTGTGTTTGGAGATCAAGTCTTTAAACAGACTTTTAAATTAAAAGGAGATCATATGAGTGGTCCTTCGTCCAATACAATTGGTATCCGTATAAGCAGAGGAGATTTGGACACAGAAGCACATAGAGGGATGATCAGATCAGGACACAGGGAGAATATGACATCTACAAGCCAAGGATAGAGACCTTAGGGGAAACCAACCCCACTGACACCCTGACCTTGGACTTCCAGCCTCTGGAACAGTGAGAAAATAAGTTTCTGTTACCTAAGTCACCCAATCTGTGCTAATCTGTAGTGGCAGCCTTAGCAGACTAATGCATAGGCACTGGTCCTATGTGAGACCCCAGAACTCTCACATCCTTAGGTGGGCAACCCCAGGAAGACCGAGGCAGAGAGCTTGCCACTCTCGTAGCATTAGGGCCGGAATAGCAACTCAATTGTTTAATTAAAAATAAAACAATGCCTTATTTCTTCCACATCTAAATTTGCACCCTATAATTCAAACTTATTACCCATGTTCTTTTGTTTCATGTTGATTTGGCTGTACTATATTTTGAGGAATCTGTTTTTATTTATACTATTTGTTTTTTTTAATGTATCTCTCTTAGAACTCATTATTTTTTTACCCATTGTAAGGTTGTTCAAAATTGTCTAATACATTTCTTACTTTTCTAGGAAGATTGGCTATACTCATTTTTGTCTTAAGTGTTCAAAACTGCATACACATGCTCATATGCATGCACACACGCACACACAAACACACATTTTCTTTTATAGGAAGTCTTCAGAGGGAAGTTTCACTATAGAGGAGAGACTTAGGAGAAAGAACTGGAAGCCAGATCTCCCAGTTTTCAGCTGATTCAGCTGATAGGAGGCAGAACAAACCAACAATAAACAGGAAAAGCATTGAAAAGGACTTTGAGACTTCTGTGATTTTTATCAGCAGATGGCAAGTGTAATTTAATCTAAACAAACTAATAATTAATTGGGGAACAAGAAGGTTGGTGGGCAGAAAATAATCCTCCAGCACACAGATCAAGAAAAGGATTTAGGGATTATTCTTGAAAAATCATTAAAACTATCAGTCTAGAGCATAGTTCTGGGAACAAAGGCAAACAGCATTAGCAGAGAGAAAGCATAGAAAACTGGGGGTGGTACCAGTTATTTTGAAAAGAACTTGTTTGATCTAGTCAGGAATATCATCATGGTAGCAATTGTTATGTAAGAAAGTCATATAAGAATGACAAAACCCAAGAATCAAATGCATCCACTTACACAGGGGACTGCAAACTCCAATGCCTTCAAGGACCAAGCACGTAGGTGAATGTGTGAAGTCACCACGGGAATGGTGACTTTTAGGAATGGTGGGAACTGAGTTAGAATGGAGGGCGCTTAAAGGTTTTCAGGTTTTTGCACACACACCCACACATGCACCCACCCACCCATCCACCCACACATTGTATTTGCCAAACAAAACCTGTCTGCCTGCTCGGTTCAGCTCTTGGCTGCCAGTGTAGATCTGGGACTAAGAGTTTTGTTTGGTGCCTCTCTTCTGCCTCCTCCCTACTTGGAGGGTCCCTGGAGGGCAAAGCTGTGTCTTAACCTTATATCCTGGCTGCACTGCATCTCCCTTGTTACTTTGCCCAATGAACACTGGTTGCAAGTGCTGAAATGAAGAAGGCACTCCTGCTACATGTAGCAGAAAATGGCTACTGACAATCGCTGTACCTGTTATTCAGTGGCCATGACCTCTGAAGTTGCACATCAAAAAGAGCCCATGTGTGGGCCAAAAATGCCAATTCTGTGCTTGATTCAGCCTCCCTAAACCTACTTTGCATGTGATGTGTAAATTATTTTTCTCTATATTCCATATAATGCTGCACTTTTTTTTTCTCTTCAGTCTATTCCTCCCACCAAGCTTGACCTTTCTTCATCCCGATCTTTCCCTTCCTGTCTTTAGCATTATAAAAGGGAATTTCTCTGTTGGTTTTTCGTTTTCTGCCCTCTCGACTTGGTTCCTTTTGCTCTTTATCCTTTCTTTTTTCTCACTTTTGTGTTGCAACCTCAATGAATGGTATTGTCAGGGAGCATGATCTTCTGGTTAGTAGAGTTTGTGTTGTTTAACTGACATTCTACTCTTTCAAACAGTGCAAACTTTTTCTGGTGGGTAATGTTTCTGGAATAGATAGGTAGTGAAGAAGTACTTTAGGTTGATCTTTATTTATCTGTTTAAATTCTGTACTATGAGATCTATATAAAAGAATCTACATGACATATATGTAATAAATATGTAAATGATATATATATATAAAAATTATAAAGCATAATAAAATGAATACCTCTGAACCCACCTTCCATCTTAGGAAGTAGAACATTGAAAATGCTGTTAAAATCTTGTATTCTACTCAGTGTTTCTTTGATGCCTGCCAATCCTGCCTTAGGATCACCATTATAAGCATCAATTATGACTGTACAATATGATGGATGCATAATGTAATGCTTTAGTCAAAATATAAAATAAGCCTCTGAGTTGCTTCTTGCATCTGTCATCTCTTCTCCTTCCCAGATGTCGCTGCTGTGGCATGGGCCTTGAGGAGCTCATCTATACCATGACAAGAGCACCCTCATTTGTCTCTCGGTCTCCTTTTTCACCCAAGGTTGAACCAGGAGCTGGATACAGAGGCAGGCCTCTAGGAGGGTATGAGTAGGGGGGGATTCAGTCCATACAGACAAGAAAATATGTGTATCAATTAGAAATATGCTGTTAGTTCAGTTTTCATATAACTCCAAATAACTAGCAAAATATGAATTGATTCTATTTACCTGCCGCACTAGTTTCCAATTGTTCTGTGACAAATTACTACAAATTAAGCATCTTAAAACAATGCACATTTATTATCTCATAGTTTGTGTTGGGCAGGATTTCAACGCAAAGCTTGGCTGCATCCTCTGCTCAGCCTCTCATATGGCTGCAGTAAAGGCATTGGCTGGGATTGCACTCTCATCTGGAGGCTCAACTGGGGAGGAATCCACTTCCAAGCTTATTCAGGTTGTTGGCAGAATTGATTTCCTTGTGGTTATATCAATGAGGGTCTCACTTTTTTTGCTGGCTAGTGGCTGGAGGCTGATCCTGAGTTCTTGGGGTCACCTGCAGTTTTTCTTGCCACATGGGCTTCTCCATCATGGCTGCTTGCTTCATTGCTGCACGGAGAGTCTCTGGCTTCTGTCTGCTAAGGTGAAGTCTTATGTGATGTAACATAATCAAGGAGAGTGACATCCCATCACCTTTGTCATATTCTGTGGGTCAGAGGACCTGCCTACACTCAAGGGGAGGGGATGACACAGTGGCATAAACACCAGAAGGGGAATCACTGGGGGTCATCTTAGCAGTCTATCTACTACATATACCTAAGTGGATAGTGCTTTGGAGCAGGAAAAAAATCCTCATCAGGCAGATAATTTTGTTGGGGTTTCTTCCCAAAGATTGTGTGATTATAATTAACTGAAAGTTGGCGTTCTACTGAAATTTTAAAACCAAATGATGCATTATGTGGTGCTGAGTATTTGGAAGGAGAGATTTATTTTATTATTTAAATTTTAAACCCTAAATATACTCCCCAAAGTGCTTTAGTTAAAAAAAATTATAAAGTAGATCTGATGAGAGAAAAAGTATATAGTAGAGGGAACTATTTTTCCAATTTTAGAAAGGACAATTGATTCTGTTTGGGCTAGGAAAAATTAATCTGGTCCTGAATATGATTTTTTCAAGAGAAAATTCATTTCTCCCTGTTTACATTAAATAAGTGTTGAACCACAAAAATCCTGGTTTACAGGGATACAAGTTAATTAGTCAGCCCAGCGTACTTGTCAACTTTTGCCCTAACTTTCACACTGTCATTAAAGCTATCTGTCTTAAACACAAACTTGGTTTTGTCACCTTTCTGATAAAAGCCTCTGAGAATTTCCCATTGCCCATAGGATCAACTTTGTCTTTTTTTTTTTGAGACAGAGTTGTGCTCTGGCACCCAGGCTGTAGTGCAGTTGGGCAATCATAGCTCACTGCAGCTTCAAACTCCTGGCCAAAAGCAATCCTTCCACCTTGGCCTCCCAAAGCTCTGGGATTACAGGCAGGAGCTACTGTACCTGGTCTTAAATCTTAAGCCTGATATTTATGAATCTTCAAAAATTGGCTCCCTTCTACACTTACCATCTTCCTCTCCTTTCATTCCCCTTGCTCCATCCAATGCTGTGAGCAAACCACACAGTTTCATAAACCTCATTGTTCCTCTTTCTTGTCCCTGCCTCTGCACAGGTTATGCCCTCTACTTGGTGTGTATCTACTCACTCTTTCGGAGTTCCAGAGACTTTGCTTCTAGGCCCCAAGGAGAGATGTATCTATTTCTCTTACCAATAGATTCCTTGGGGATAGTGCCTGACACACAGTAAGTACTCAAGTATTGCCTGAATACGTAAATCTCAGATTTGTCTTATTTAAAATGAGGGATTAGATGAAATGATGGTTCCTTATAGCTCTAAATTTTAAAAAATCATCACATGGATTAAGAGAATGTAAGACTGCGTATAAATAAACTGTGTGGAACAGATTCTAAATGCTACAGGGTTTCAGAGGAAGAAGGTATTATTCTGTGCTGGAATAGTCAAGAACATTTTTTGCTAAAGGAGGTGGAATTTGAAATAGGTATTGAAAGATGAGAGGGAGTTTGAGCCCTTGCTAACATGATGCCTTCTTTATAGTAGGCCCTCATTAAGTTTACTGATTTGAATTGAAATGTAGACAAACGAGGAGGAGGAAAGACTTTGCAAATGAATTAAAGTAAGACCAGGAGCTCCAGTGCAGGAATGAGCACTGGTAAATGTGGACTAGGAGGACATTTTCCTGAGCAAAGTGTGTTCTGGCCAATAGTGAAAACTAATAGTGGCTCTGTAGGTTGAAGTGAGATTATGGAAGATCTGAAAATGAAGGAGTGCAGTTTGGATTGGTATGGTAGGCAATAGTGAGCCATGACATCTCCTCTAAATAGGATGATGTTATAGTATTTTAGGTTTATTAGTCTGATGCTGGTAAGCAGGCTAGATGGGCAAAGAAGAGGATAGTCGGGGAGATTCGGTAGGAGGCCTTAACTTGGATAAAAATAGTTCCTAAAATTTTTACACCTCTCTGATTTAGAAGATACCCACTAAGCCTACAAGAGAGGTTACCACAAGCCTTGTAGGAAGGTAGAGAAGATATTAATATTTTAGGAGATATTAATATTCTTATTTTACATGAGAACTGTGATTCAATCTGAATTAGCCCAAGGTGATATAGCTGGTAAATGGTACATGGTAAACGGTGTCACTGGAACTCATACCTACTTTTTTTCTTAACTTCTGTGGATGATTACTTTTATGTGTCAACCTGACTGGACTAAAGGATGCCCAGATGGCTGGTAAAACATTATTTCTGGATATATTTGTGGGGGTGTCTCTGCACGAGATTAACATTTGAATCTGTAGAGTGAGTAGAGGATCACCCTCATCAATACATGTGGGCATCACCCAAACTGCTGAGGGTCTGAATAGAACAAAAGGGCAGAGGAAGGGCAAATGTGCTTCTGTTTCAGCTGGGACATCCATCTTCTCCCGCTGCTGTGGTTCTCAAGCCCTCAGACTCGGACTGGGAGACTGGGATTTACACCACTGCCCGCCTTCCCTCAGTTCTCAAGAAAGAACAGATTAAACCACTGGCTTTCCTGCAGTGATAGGTGTCTCTCTCTCTCTCTCAAGAAAGAACTGATTAAACCACTGGCTTTCCTGCAGTGATAGGTCTCTCTCTCTCTCTCTCTCTCTCTCTCTCTCTCTCATTCTGTTTCTCGGAAGAGCCCTAACTAATACAACTTCTAAGCCCAGTATTCCTGCCATTAAGAAAAAGACATTTCAAACATTAAAACTGAGGAAGCTATGCAACTTTATAAGATATGTGTATCAGCATAATGTAGTGGAAAGAGCCCTGGCCCAGATATCAGGAATTTAAATCCTAGTCCCCAGGCTAAGGCAACCAGTGTGGCCTTCAATAGAAACATTCTTCTGTGGTCAGCTTCCTTTTCCTCATCTGTCACAGGGCAGTTGTGCTCAAGTTCATTCTGGCTCACTCGTCTTGGAATTTATGTGTCATCGGCTAGAAGTTTCAATGACCCAGTGAAGCTGGCATCATGGCAGCACAAACAAAAAACAACGAAAAACTGGAGGAGATGGTTCATTTTTGGGCCAAGGGTGATGAGTTCAGGTTTGCACATTAGGAAAAAGCTAAAGGGTGTGGTAGACAGAATCATGGCCCCTTAAAGATGACCACAACCTCATCCCCCAAATCTGGGACTATGTCGCCTTATGTGGCAAAAGAAACTTTGTAGATGTGGTTGATTTAAGGATTTTGAGATGGGGAGATTATCCTAAATTATATTATGGGTGGGTCCTCATAAGAAAAAATAGAAAGGCAAGTCAGAGTTAGAAAAGGAGATGCAGAGGCAGAAGCAGAGGTTGGGTGAAGCAATTCCCCTCTTTGAAGATGGAAGTGGAGCAGAAGCTAAGGAATGCAGACTATAAAACCGAGAAAAGGCAGGAAAATGGATTTCTCTCCTAGAGCCTCCAGAAGGAACACAGCTCTGCTGGCACCTTGGTTTTATTTTATTTAGTTTTTGAGACATCTCACTCTGTCACGCAGGCTGGACTGTAGTAGTGTGATCATAGCTCACTGCAGCCTTGAACTCCTGGGCTCAAGAGATCCTCCCACCTCAGCCTCCATAGTAGCAGGGACTACAGTTTTTGTAGAGATGGGGTCTTGATGTATTTGCCAGGGTTGGTCTCTAACTCCTGGGCTCAAGAGATCCTCCTGCCTCAGCCTCCCAAAGTGTTAGAATATGGGCGTGAGCCACTGTGCCCAGCCAACACCTTGATTTTAGCTCCGTAAGACCCCTCTTGGAGTTCTGGTCCTCCAAGACTGTCAGATGAACTTGTAATGTTCTGAGCCACCAAGCTTGTGGTACTTTGTTACAGCAGTCATAGAAAGCAAATAGCGGAAGTGACTAGGGAGGGAGGACGAGTATTTTTTGAGCCCTTTGTGTGCATCAGGCATTGAAGTCACAATAAACTGGTAGGGGTAACGGTGTGCTCATCATTTCATATATTAGGAAAATAAACCTAAGAGCAGAAGTAACTTGCCCAAAGTGACATAGTCAGGAATTGAGACTGGGGGCTGTGTGCGTGCTTATGCATCATGCATATGCTGTGCTGAAAGGCAAAAGCCCACAAGAAGCCTACGCAGCGACATCATCACACAATGCTGGAAAACCAGGAAAAAATGTGTATGTGTACAAATCAATGGACCAGGGAGTTGGCAATGGGGAAGACCTTCAAGTGAATGGCCAGGACCAACTGTGTATCAGTAGCAGGTGCTTTTTCCACGTGCTATTTCATGAAACACTCACAAAACACCCTGCAAGGTAAATTTTATTCTGCTTCTTTTTATGGTTAACAAAGGGAGGCTTCAATTAAGAAAGCACCTTGCCCCAAATACTATAGCTAGTTAATGCCGGAGCTAAGATTTAAATATAGAGCCTGCCTCCTGTGATTAAGAAAAACAAAACATTTTTATTTTAAAAAAGGAAGACCCAGAGAAGGGCATAATTTAACCATCACTTGGCAGTATATGACCCCACCACACAGAAAGGATCAAAGTTAGCTTTGTGGCATGAATGTTTATATAATTATTTGTTCTCCAGGTGTTTAGCTCAGTCCTGGACATATTATAGGCACCCAATGGATACTTGTGTAGTGAAATCTGACAGTGGGACAGAGGCGCTTCTGTGTAAGGTTAACTAAAAAGGCTGAAACCCTTAAAGTCTAGATGATGAAGGCTGAGATCTGATGGGGCTCAAGTATAACAAAGTCCATTCTCTCTTTGAAGCATTTCAGCAGGATGAATGAATCACCAGTCTCCTCCCTTTCTCCCCTTCCTGACTGCCCAAAGCACATACCCATAACACCGTGCCCTTGGGCCCTTAGCACTTTACTTCACCCTGCTGTCTTGACTGTAGGGGCTCCCACTGCCTCCAGCATCAAGCATAACTTTCTAGGGTGCCCTAGCCTTCTCCCTACCTGCATCTTCCCTCTCTAGCCTCATCCCTTGTCCATGCAAATCTTTGTCTCCGGTCAGCCTGATGCCCTGATGGGAGCCCGTGGAATCCTTATCTCACACCCATCCCTCCCCTTGCCTACATCTCTGTCCAGAGCTCCAGCATTTTGGTGAACTCGCCCCGCACCCCGTAATGCCTTCTTTAACTCTTCCTGCTCCTCTCCCTAATTATTTTGTTACTATTGCCAGTGCCACTCCATTTGCACTTAGAATAAAATAAAAATTCCTTAGCACAATTGGAATGCCTCTTTCTTCCATCTCAGTCTCCCTTGGATCCCCTCTCCTTTTTGCCTATGATGTCACATACTGGCCTCCCTCAGGTCGAGGAGCTCACAGCTCAGGCCCTGACATGGGTATTTTTCTGCATTTGGACCCTGCCATCACCAAAAATAGTCCCTCCTATTTCAATTACAGCTTAAATGTCACCTTAGAGTTGGCTTCCTGATTCCTCATGTTTCAGTAGATCCCATTTTGTTTAAACCTCTTGGTTTTTAAAAAACCTTTTATAAATGCTTTCTTGTTTTCATCTTTATAATTATTCATTTGTATGTTTAGTTGATCACTATCTGCCACTTCCGCTAGAGTCAGCTCCATGTACAATGTGTTTTGTTTTCAGCACCTAGCATGATGCCTGACATGTAGTAGGTGCTTACATACTTGTTCACAAATGAATCTCTTATGTTAAACTCTCTAATCACTAATTGTTCTGTAAATCTGAGCGTCACTTCATGACTTATCTATAATGCTATTTTGTTGACTCATATTGGTGGGCGTCTATTTCATGTCTTCAATAGGACTGTACATTGCAGAAATGATCTCTTATATTTCTTTGTACCAAAAGAAGTTAGATGCAAAGAATCAATGAAGTTAGACTTAATTTGGTGTCTGTCACATTCTGAATTACTATAACCAGGATACGTGTCTAAACTTGAAGGAGACATCACAGTGGGGTTTCATGTTACTTAGGGTCCTGGTAGTATTGGTTGGGATCTAAGGTCTGCACTGAGCCTAAGAACTGTGTATACCCCAAATTTTCTTTGCACTGGAGACATCATATCACTTGGCCAAAAGGCCAACTGAGCCAGCATCAGATACAATCTTGTATCTTTGGTTGAGGACCAGAGAAAAGACTTGGCTTGAATTGGGAGGGCATGTGGGAAGACAAACACAAGGCTTTAAGTCCTAGAATCCCACTTTGTCTGGGAAGGCAATCATATTAGGAACTAAGGAACAGAGGTCTACAGTGTTCTATTTCCCATCTCACACTCAATCTGGGGACATGTGCTCTATGCTCATTCTCGGAAGTGGCCTGTATGATTTGATTTGCTATTGCTTGATCTTCATTTTCTTTTTTTTTTTTTTTTTTTGAGACAAGGTTTCACTCTGTTGTCCAGGCTGGAGTGCAGTGGTGCAATCACAGCTCACTGAAGCCTCGACCTCCTGGGCTCAAGTGATCCTCCCACCTCAGCCCCCCAAGTAGCTGGGACTATGAGTGCATACCACCATGCCAGGCTAATTTTAATATTTGTTTTTTCAAAGACAGAGTCTTGCTATGTTGCCCAGGCTAGTTTCCAACTCCTGGTTTCAAGAGATCCTTCCGCCTTGGCCTCCCAAAGTGTTCGGATTACAGGCGTGAGCCACTGCACCTGGCGATCCTTATTTTCTTTTGGTTGGGCATGATTAGTTGACTCCACACACGGTAAGTGTACGTATGATAAAGTTACACTGTACTCTGCTCTTTGGGGAGTAAATACATGAAGCTTTTTATCCTTACTTAGACAATACAGTGGATAAAAATATAAAGAAGCTCAAGAAGGGTTTAAATCAATTCACAGATGTCGGAGTTATAACTAGTTTTTAAGAGACAAAAAACTTCACAAAATACTCCTCAGTGATGTTGCTGTTAGAGAATACAGATGTACCTACCCCCGCCGATTCTTACCGATCTCTGTGACACTACATATGGGTGCATATTCCCTGCGACCTCCCCAAACTTCCCCCCAAACATTTATTATCTTTCTCCCATCCTTGTTCCTACTCACAGCATTTCTCTCCACCATTACCACCACCCTACAGGTAATCACTTTGTTTCTTAGGTCTCTTTCCAGAGTTGCTTTATGCAAATACAAACAAATAAGAAAAGATAACCTTATCTCTTCCCCTTTCTTACAGAAAATGCAGCATGTTCTATTGTTTTGCACTTTGAGTTTTGTGTAACAAAGCATCCTGCAACTCTTTGTATATCATTAAAAAGAAAACTATCATTTTTCAACATCACTGCACCATATTCTGTTGTGTGGATGTACCATAATTTATTTAACTAGTTCCCCTTTGGGTGGACATGTGGGTTTTTTCCTTCCATTCTTTCTCTCAATTGTAAGCAATGCTACATGAATAAACTTGTACACACATACTTTCTGACATCTATGTATTTATCTGTAAGATAAAGTCCCATAAAAGGGATGGCTGTCTCAAAGGGTACCTGCATTTGAAATTTTGGTAAGTAGTGCCAAATTCCCTTTCATAAAGATTTTACCATTTTGTACCACCAGCAACAAAGTATGAGAGTGCTTGCTAACACTTCAATTCTTAACATCGAATACAGAAATGTAGCTTCCAGGGATAATGGGTTCTATGAGCTTACTCCTCAGCACTCAAAGAAGTCCTGTTTCTATAGAAGTCAATAAGATACAAGGCACAGAATTGATGAGGATGACATCCACCTACTCTTTTGAAGCTTTATGTAGGCTCAAACTAGGAAAATCTTACGAAAAATGTATAAGACAGCCTCTTTGTAATGCTTTTGCTGAGGCCTATCCCCATATTGGAATTGAGGTGTTCTGTTTCCTAGCTGCATACCAGCATTGTAATAGGGTCCCTACTCTGACTAACACAGTAACACTAATTTCATTTGGAAGTGCCAGTAGCTGCCTGGCCCAGGACAATGGCAGGGTAAGTAGCAGGCTTTGGAATTACACCTGCCTGGATTCTAATCTATGGCTCCCCTTACCCATGTGACTCTGGGTAACTCATTTGGCAGACTCGAGTCTGTTTTCTAGACCATTAAAATGGGAATACTAATCCTCATGCGTTTTTGGACTGCCATATAATTAAAAGGAGTCACGTATGGGAGACTGTTTAGTACATAATAGCATTCAACACTAACTTTCCTTTGTGCCTTTCTGAAAATAGAGAATTGGGAAGAAAAACCCCAAAGGGCTTCTAAACATTTAAAATTTATGTCACAATTTCTGTATGTTAAAGCTTTTTAACTTTACTCATAGAAGAGGCTCTAAAAATCTATTTAGTATTATTTTACATGTAACTCCAACATGCTTTGTTATTTGGCTTCTCTGTCTATATTAAAGTGTAAATACAGGGGCCAAAGTTGTTAATTAACTGAATAAACAAAGAAAGCAGAGATTAAAAAATACTGTTAGAAAAAACCACCACTGCTACCACCACCACCACCAACCTCAACAACAGTTGGTGCTTAGCAGGCCGGCACAGGCACATAAATAGTTAGAGCCTCTTAGCATAAGGCCACTTCAAGGTCAAGTTGTCAAGAAAAGGTCAACTTTCTGCCTGATGTGCAGAGCACAAGCCAATGGGCAATGCATTTCTTTCACTTTCCCCCCACTTTAAAGTTTTGAGGTATCTCCGTAATGATTGAATTTTATGGAGGTTTACATCATAAAACGTAAAATACATTTTTTTTGGCACTTAAAGGTGAAATTTCAGTTATCTGGAAAATTAATTTGCACTAATTTAATCAATACTTATAGAGTGCCCACTATGTGTTCAGCATTGTGCTAAGTGCTGGCTTACTTGGAACAAAAATCACCCCCAAAATTCTAGGTAAAAGTGTGCCATCCAAAGCACAGTCCAGATTTATGTTAACTTTTCAGTGAGTCTTCATGAGAGGTTTATTATCATTGTAACTGATTTTAGAGCCTTCTGGGTTCCATAATGTATCCTTCTTCCAAAGAAAGTAGAAGGACAAAATTGTTGAAACAGCAAATGTAAAGTTGAAGTCACTTGACAGTCTGAGAATCTTACATATCTACTTGAAACTTCAATTGTAATAAACACTTTTGACTCATAAGCTCATTTGTCAGCCTTATATAGCGAGTGTAATTTACTTAGCTAATTTCACTAGTTTATGTTCTTTCAGGGCACACAGAAATAGGAATCATAAATACACCATTACTGCCCGCTTTTGTATCTCATTTCACAGCCTCGTAGCTTAAATAGAGAAAATATATTTGAAAGCACAAATTAATTGCACCTATTTTCTAGAAGTATTTCAAAATGCTTTCTTTTATTAGAGATACCAAATACACTCAGCGATAGAATTTAAGTAGAAACATGTCAGTATTATGCAAACATAATAATAACAACAGTAATAATAATAGCAGTTACTCTCTAGTGCTTAGCTGCCTATCAGGTATCATATTGAGATCCTTGAAAGGATTACCACCTTTACTCTGCCCAGCAACTTTTCAGAAAAGTCACTGTTGTTATTTCTATTATATCAAGGTGAAAACTGAGATTTGAAGAGGTAATCTTGCTCACATTATTCATGTTACTATTTTAGTGAAATTGGGGTTCATACCTGGGCAATCCTACTCTATATTTATGCCATGTAAGGTGTTATTCATTCAAATTCAGCAAAGAAACAGAATCCCATCTATATGCAGAAATAATCTTTACCTGCTGGCCTTAAGTTTTACTACCATAGGGAGTATGAGGCTTACATATGAGTATGAGTTTTACATACCATAGGGAGTATGAGGCTTAAATCATAGCATGAAATACATGGATACAGTTATATGGCTGGTTTCTAAAAGTTGATTTTGGAATCACTCCCCTCTTCCCAATGTATGGGAGTAAAAATTCACTATTAGTAATTTTTCTAAAGTCTTCAGAGATTTCACACTGGCATATATACTCATGAAAAGCTGTGTCCTAAAATGTAGTATCCCCATCTACCCTGCCACTCCCAAAACTCATAGGTGCCATAGTATTCAATAGTATCAAAGTAACTATTGAAGTTGTCAAACGCACCTTTCTGCCATAGAACCTCCAGCCATATAAATATTACCTAATTTGTACTCTTAACATTCTAAAGACAGTTATTGGCATTATTAGAAGACTTTAGTGAATGGAGAAGTAGACAGAATCACAAAAATGAGTTCAAAAATCTAGGGAAGTCAATGAGAAAATTCAGGGATTTTTTTCCCCCTCATTCTTTTTTTTAACTGTAAAATGTTCATTTCATCTGATCAGGAACAACTGTAACCATGTAGCTTGCCCTATTTTGGCTATCTGGCTTCAAAAATACTTTCACTGGAAGATCATTGTAATTCAAATCCATTCAGTGCTGTTTCACTTTTGTAATTTGTTAGCTAAGTTTAAGTAGTGTATCCTGCACCTACTTTAATGATATAGCACATTGATAACATTTTTTTCCTTATTTAAAGCAATGTTTACCCACAGCGCCTTAGCACCAAAAAAATTCTAAAAGGCACTCCTTACACATTTAAATAACCTGAACAAATAATTGATACAGGTTAAGCCCTGGCTAGTTCTGCATTTTCCAAATTAAGATCACAGAATTTAAAAATTGCATATTAAAAAAAAAGTTGGTAGAATATATTTCCATAGGGCAGAAAATATATTCAAGGTCACAATATGCCCATTCATTCCTTGCTCCAACATGTAAGACCCAACCAGGCTGATTTCCAATTGAATTTTGCCTGAAGCTTTTTTAAGGTAATGATGGAAACTTTATTACAAAAGGTGGTTAAGTTGTCAGTGACAGGAAAATCAGGAGGTCAACAGAGGTAAGAGGAGAGGTGTCTAAATGGAAGTGAGAATCAGTAACTTGATTGTGAAAATCTGACTTATGTAATTTTTAAAGACCCTCAAAATAAGAGAAGAATAAGAGAAATTTAAAAGAAAATAGAAACAGCCAAAGAGGTGAGACATAGACATTTTGATTGGGGGGGGGTGTTGTCTAACTACACAATGAGGTCATCCCATCTCCCGGAAGTGACACGTAATCACCTGCTTTGCACTAGCTCCGCCCCTTCCCTCAGAGGTCCCGCCCCTCCACCAGCAGCCGGGAGGGTGTTAGGGGGCGTTTCTCCAGGAGGAAAGCTGTGAGCTGCGACGCTGAGGAAGGGGACCCCAAAACGTCTGGCACTGCCCCCTCCAGGGATCACTTTGGACCGCCTCACTCGGGCCAGCCGGATTCTGAAACGCCGAGGGGTCAACCTGATGGGTTTCGGGGTCAACGGAAGAGGGGAAGGGGAGCCCTGGCGGGGAGAACCCCCCGGTCCCCCGCCCAGCAGCTGAGGCACAGGAGGGCGGCCATCTTGGCCGGGAGGGTAGGGCTGGGGAGCTGCGGGCGCCGTGCGATTGGGGGGCTCGCCCGGAAGTGACGCCAACTACCCGGAAGCGGAGGGGGTTCCCTGGCCCACTCCCCCCTCGTTCGTTTGCTCCCCCGCTTCCTCCCCGCCCCCCTTCCTCTCCATTCGTTTCCCCCCCTCCCCGTTCCCTGCCTTCTTCCCCCCCCCCCCGCCGTCCCTCCCCCCCAACCTCCGGAGCTGGGAAGAGAGTCAAGATGGCGGCGAAATCCGATGGCGGTGGCGTGGGGGTGGGCTTCGCTCAGCTGCACAACCTGGACGAGGCGGTGGGCAGCGGCGGCGAGGAGGACGGGGAGCCCGGGGGAGGCGGCTGCGGCGGCGGCGGCGACGGCAGCGAGCCCGGCGAGAGCAGCTCGATGCACATCTGCCACTGCTGCAACACCTCCTCGTGCTACTGGGGCTGCCGCTCCGCCTGCCTGCGCTCCCTCCTGGGCAGGAAGCCGCGCCGCAGCGCCGCCGCCGACGGGGGGGACCAGCCGCTGCAGCCTCCCGCGGCCCCCGGCGCCGGCCGCCAACCCCCGACGCCCTCGGCCGCGCGGCCGGAGCCGCCGCCGCCGCAGGTGGAGCGGCCGTGGCTCGACTGCCTGTGGATCGTGCTGGCGCTGCTGGTGTTCTTCGGGGACGTGGGCACCGACCTGTGGCTGGCCCTCGACTACTACCGCAAGGGGGACTACGTCTACTTCGGGCTGACCCTCTTCTTCGTGCTGGTGCCGTCGCTGCTGGTGCAGAGCCTGAGCTTCCGCTGGTTCGTGCAGGACTACACGGGCGGCGGGCTGGGCGCCGTGGAGGGGCTCACCAGCCGGGGCCCCCCCATGATGGGGGCCGGCTACGTCCACGGCGCGGCCCGCGGTGGCCCAGGCGTGAGGGTCTCCCCCACGCCGGGGGCGCAGCGCCTGTGTCGCCTCTCCGTGTGGATCTGGCAGTCGGTCATCCACCTGCTGCAGATGGGGCAGGTGTGGAGGTAAGAGCACTGCGGGGTGGGGGCGGGCCGGCCCTGAGGAGCCCCCCTCCGCCCTCCCGGTGCTTCGCGGGGCGGCCCCTCGAAAGGGCCCAGCGCGGGGGGCTCGAAGGAGGGACCGGCCGCGCGCCGCCCCTGGCGTCTCCAAAAGACCGGCGTTTGATCTGGATCCCTGGCCACGCCTTTGGCCCGGGGAGGCCGAGACCTGCCGTTGGCCCGTCCTCGTCCCCGCTTCGCACTCGGCGGGGCTCTTGCCCCAACCTGCCCTCCCCGTCCCCTCTGCAGAGCTCCGTTCCCAAGCGTCCCTTTTCCCTGCCTCCCGAGGTAACCAGCTGCGGGCGCCCTGGGCTGCACCCCAGCTCGCGGCCCCGGGGAGCCTTCCCTCCTCCAGCCGCTGCATTCGGGTTTGTTCCCAGGTGAGACATCCTCCCCTCTTCCCCCGTTCTCCCTCTGCAGTGGCCTGCGTGGGGCCCTGTGGAAAAACCCTTGCTGCCGCCTCCGAGCACTCCTGGATTCCACGCCCCTTCCCCCTCCTGCACTCCCAGCCCCTGTGAATGACTCCAAACCACTGCTTTCCCAGAAGGAAAAAAGACTTTTTTTTTTTTTGGTTTGCTGGATTAGACGTGTCCTTTTCTTAGCGACAGGTAAAAATGGGATAAAATGTGATGGGCGCGAGCGTTTGGTGTTAACTCTCACCTCCAGAAAATCAGTTAAAGCCACCTGGATACCTATTCTGGGGAAACGATGTTTTTGGTAGCCAGGCCAGTGTGTAAGTGATTTATATTTACACAAGACGCAAGCTTGGCTTTGCGGCCCTTTCTCGTTTTGTAAATTTCCCGTGTCCCAGTTCAGTCCCTCACAAACCACTTGCAGGTGTTCTTTCTGCCGTGGCCTTCACTGACTGCCTCACTGGCTAAACTGAGGAAATGAACCCATTCACACCTGGGTACATCTGTGCCCTCTTACTTAAATTAGCTTGTGTGTATTCTGGAAACAGTGAGTTGTAGGTGAGAGCATTTGCAAGAGAAAAAAATCTTACTGAAGATAAATTACACAGGGACAAGCTCTTCAAGTGCATGGCTTCTGTGAGAAGACATTTTGCCTAGGCTGCCCTGACTCCAAGCTTAGTAGGAGATTTTAGGCATTTAGTAGTTCAGGTAACAGATATACCCAGGTTAGCTGAAATAAAGTCTGCTGTCTTTTTAATGGTTTGTCCAGATCTCTATTCAGCATTTATTTAAATAAAAACGTTTCAGAAAACATGGGATTGAATTAAGTCAAATCATGAGAGTAGATGCAATAACTTTGTCTCCTGCTGGATTTACGTGCAAATTCAGGCTAGGGGAAGTGAGGGTGGTTCCGTAGGCCCTGCACCACCCAGAGTTGTTTACTAGCCTTTCTAGGCTGAACCAAACAGCTTTTTTTCTAGCTGCATTTGTCTGCAGATAATTTGTTTCCTGCTGATAAGTTTATAAGAAGTGAGAGAATAAAATAGGAAAATGCCGATTAACTTTTAGCTGTTATAAGCATAGCTTGGGGTCAAATAAAATTCTGAAATACGTTTTAAATTTGAAATCTAAATTCCTAAACACCCACACACTCAAAGTCATATCGAATGAAAGGTAGTGTGTTTGGTATTGGAGATACCTTTTTTTTTTTGGGCGGGGGCTGGGGGTTGTTTTCTGGTTGTTAAGATGCCAGGAATGAAGCAGGGGAGGGACAAAAAGTATGGGGAAGAGAGATTTTAACATACCAGTAGAATTCAGCAGCATGTACTGGTAGGCTTCTGCTGAACAAGCCGAAGTGTGGGCAGTAAAAATGTTGGTGTCAGGTTAAAATTCCTGAGAGAACTGTTTCTAATGGAATCTGTCCTGGACACTTACTAGTAGTAAGCTTTGAGACAGAATGAAATTGGAGTAGAATAAAATCCCACCTCCATTCACCTAAATGTTAATTGTTTCTTGGCAAAGTGGAAGTCCAGATTTTAGGGCAAACTGAAAAGTACATTTAAAATGTCAATTTAGCTTTTGTAGTTGTATGTAGGGTAGTATTTTTTTTTTTTCTGATCTTAACTTTCCTCTGCATTGATATAAAGTGCCTGTGACTTTACTGTCTAGTTTTTTTTTTACATCTTTTTTCAAGATTAGAATATATCTCTAAATATTTCCTAAAGTTAACTTATTAAAAGACATGCTAATTTTAGTAAGTTATTTCTTCTAACATAGCTATACTTCAAAAGCAGTATTTACTGAGGAAGGATTTTATTAAAAAAATTTTTTTTCCCAGTTAGATGGTTTTGCTTGAAATACTGCAGGAACATGGTCTGCTGTTTTAATACCTGCTAGCCATGTTGTTTGCGTTGAAATCATTCATATGTAAAAGCTTTAGAGGAATTCTTGTTTTAATCTTTCGGCAAACAATTGCTTGTCAATGTGTTTGAACATACATCATCTCTGTTTTTATTGAAGATCTTTTGGGGTTATAGTTGTTGCCTTAAACATATTTGCTGTGGAAACTTTGCTATTTCTTATGGTCACATAACATAAAGGTTAAGATCTAATATTTCTATCATTTGGTTTGGGCCGCATCTCTAAGAAAAGATGTCAGTGAAGTTGTACATTGTCAAAACTGATTCCATTAACCCGTGAATACTTGTCTCTTTACATTTTTTAATGTAAAATTATTTGGTTATAGCTTGGACAGAGCACAACACCGATTTAATAAAACTTAGTTTCCCTCGATATTAAAGTGGGGCACTTCTCTGCATCTTGCCATTCCTGTCAAGATGGCAAATACTTGACGTCTTTTATCAAATAACTTTACAGAATGTAAGAAAATATTTTGGCTGGGCTGAAATTGGAGCATGGAAGAATGGTTGTCTGTAGAATGATGTGGCCCCATGAACCTGCTTTGCAGAGCACTAGTGTGTGATTAAGGTCTTTTTCATGCATGCCTTACTCCCACTAATTACTAAACATGTAACAGCGTCTGTACAGCTTGATGTGCTTTATTTTTCAGGTGCTTTTTGTGGGGATAACTGGCATGTGAATCACTTATTCCAGGAGCAGGAGTCACATTGGGCTTCACTTTTGTACAATGTGTTGTTAATAGAGAGTGAGAGCATTTTCTTGGAGGGTTTGGCTTTAGGAGCAGTGTGATTTAGTTTGCCTGTTGCATTGATGTATGCAAGTTTTCCTTTCTGCTATTGTCCTTTCTCTGCTTTTGTGTTACTTTTAGAGGTTGCTTAGTGCATTGTCAGTTCTCTTCAGTCAAGAAGCAACAGTTCTTTGACCAAAATTTCATGGCCACATCATTAATCTCCCATTTAATGGATGTAGTTTTATGTGTGTGTTTGCACCCTTCTATTTCAGAGTAAAAGGAATTTACTTAACTTGTTTATACCACTTGCCATATTTAAGAGGATCGTCAGTGGTTCTTTATCTTGTGAGATGGGATGTGGTAGAGGGTTGCCTTCAGGAGAGTAAAAAGGAAAAGGCATTTTGCATTTTATAATGGCACCATCCAGTTGAGCGGTCTACAGCTCTGTTTTAGCGTTGTTTTCTGATTTGAGACTGGTGGAATTTGGATATGCAGCTCTCTACAAAATCTGCAGTGAATGTTGCTGGGCTGGTGAAGATGCTTTATTATTTTTTTAATCACTCCCCTGCCCTCCTGTCTGCTCCTCTATGTAGGGATACTTAGTTTATTATGGGTCTTTGTTCATGTTGACTATTTTACAAGAGTGGTTCTTAGTTCTGGCTGAGAATAGAATCTGTTGCAGCACTTAAATAGAAAGGCCGAGGCACTGCTGGACCTGCTGAAGAAGACTCCCTGGGGAGGACACAAGAAGTCATAGTTTTAGAAGAACCACAAGTGATCACGTGGGAACCCCACGCTTGAGAACTGGATTTCAGGCTTATTCCACTTGGAGAGGAATATTAGATTTGTGTTCTTAATAAATATGATGGCAGAATTGGGAAAGGAATGATCGGGTACCATTAAGTTTGGCCCCTGGATAATACCATAACAAAATGACTTTACCTTGGAAGCATGAGTGTCTAAAAGTACCTCAGGTGTACTCAAGGGTATGCACTAATGGTACTCCATGTTTTCTGTTTTTTTTGGTTGTTGTTGTTGTTTTTTTTGTTTTGTTTTGTTTTGTTTGCTTTTTGAGCTCAAGTATTAATCTCATTCTGAAAGAATTCGCAAATTCAAAACAGTGTTCAATAAATGTAGCCCACTTCTCTTTGCCTTTTATGGGATACAAATAATGTTTATGTTGCGTGTGAAAGGTATAATAATTCTGTTTAATTCTGAAGTGATTCTATTAAATAGGCTTGAGGAAACATAACTGGGATTATGAGTGGTGTTGGGATAAGTGATCTGTAATGTCCCTCTAATGCTAAGATTTTGTGGTTTAAGAATGGTAATATTCAATATTTAGATACCTACAAATGAGGAGATTCGTTTGTGTGGGGCCAGGGTACCATTATAGACACATTAATAGATTGTATACTTGCATTTGTGGGCTGTGTGGGTGTGTGGGTAGAGAGAGAGTGTACTTTATATGCTTATTAATGGGTGGCAATCTAATTGTAAAAATAGCTTTTTTTTTTTTTTCATTTTATCCATAAACTTAATGGAATTCTGGTTTAAAAGAAACTCAGTGGGAGGCCGAGGTGGCGGATCATGAGGTCAGGAGATCGCGACCATCCTGGCTAACATGGTGAAACCCCATCTCTACTAAAAAATACAAAAAAAAATTAGCCGGGCGTGGTGGCGGGCGCCTGTAGTCCCAGCTACTCAGGAGGCCGAGGCAGGAGAATGGCGTCAACCCGGGAGGTGGAGCTTGCAGTGAGCCAAGTTCGCGCCACTGCACTCCAGCCTGGGCGACAGAGCGAGACTCCATCTCAAAAAAAAAAAAAAGAAACTCAGTGGGATTTTTCTGAGGGGAAAGTTGAGTAAAATTGATCTAAGAAAAGTATAAATGTGTTTGAGTAGTCAAAAAAAACTTTGAAGAATGTTGAGACTTACCTGATCAGGAAGTGGATGTGCTATAATGTGTCAATAATTAGACCAATGTGCAGAGAAATTAAGCAGATAGTTCGCAAAGGAGAATAAAGAGTCTGTACATATATTGATATGTTAGTGAGAATTTAGTACATAGTAAAGGTGGCATTGCTAATCAGTGGATAGAAAAAGAATTATTTAACATGATATTAGCAGTTGACTATCCATTTGGAAAAAAAAATGAATCTCTACCTTAGGTAAACAGAAATGCTAAAAGAATGAAAGGTGTAAACATAAAATGTTAAACTGTAAAAACACTAGGGTGATTATTTTTTATAATGTTGCAGTGGGCAAGACCCTTTGGTACCATCAAGGAAAAGAAGGAGCAGATTTAACCACATGAAGTTGCCTCACCTGGTTTCTTCCCTTCTCCCTCCTCCCATCTGAAAAATCCAGAAATACTTGCTTAGCTGTGAGGGTAAGTGGGTTAAATTGAGACAGAGATACTTCCTCCAGGAGAATGAATAAGAAGAGAACATCTCTAAAGATTTATTTCTTGTTTTTGAGTGAACAGTAACCCTAAAAACTTGACATTTATGGTAAATTTTCAAGGGAAGGGGATGAAAAAATGGCATGCTTTGGAGCGAAATTGCAACTGGGGATGCAGCATAGTATTTCCAGAAGGATCCAGAAACAAAGTGTCAAAATCTGTATTGTAAGAAGGCTGGTGCTCCTGAAATCTAGCAGGCAGGTGCTTACTAGAAGTCACAAGTTGTTCATTTCTGTCTTCAACATCATTTGATACTATAGACTTATTCATAAGGTCAATTGCCTAGTCAGGCTTATGCAGTGCAGTGGATAGATTCTGTAATGTTGGAAAGATTCTGTGGGATGGAAAGATTCTGTGGGATGCAAAAAGAAACTGTGTCTCTGATGTTGCCATTTTCACCCCAGGATGATTTGCTTTACAACGTGCTGTCTGCAAATAAGTTTGTGGTTAAAATTTTAGTTTACTCCCCATGATGTGCTATTCATCTAGTTTCTTCTCATCAGGAATTCTGGATTTCTTATTTGCCTCTTAAAAAGTAAAACTTTTAAAAAATTTATGAAAATATAACCTCATTTAACAAGTTCATTGACTTTTGACTAATTGCCTAAAGACAATCCACTGCTTACCGCTATTGGAGATACTTAAGAAAAGCGCAGGACATAGCCTGGTATGAAGGGAATGACTGGTGGAATTAAGAAGTCAGGTTTCTCACTCTGCAAGTTACAAACAACCACTGGCCTCAGTTTCCTCATATTTATCAAACAAGCAGTTAAATGGATTGATCTTTAATGTCCCTTCAGTGTAAAAAAGTTCATTATGCTACAGGTATTTGTGCTTTGAAAATAGCTTTAAAGAGGGAATTTCAGATTCTGGTTTGATCACTTAATCTATTTTTAAAGCAAGTGTGTATGTCTCCTAGGTGCTGATTCGGAGTAGAGTTCTAAGTCCTGCCATGGATTGTTTTGACTTATTAAACAAATTCTCATTTTGTGTCACCTATGTATAGGGACATTTTGGAGATCTCATTAGTTAATGTTAAAATTTATGGCAGACTAAACCTACTGAGAAACTTGTGCTGACTTTATCAGCTAATTTTGTGAATTTGCAATTTCAGCTAAAATTAAACTATATTTTTCAGTAGTCTTTTTTTTGTAATCTGTTTAAAATTTTTAGTGGTAGATTAAGCTAAAGCAATATATGCGTATCTGTTTAAGCCAAGTATTTTGGAGGTTTTTCTGAATTGTTTACCAAGGTTAATTTCTTTTGTGGGGGGGGGGGGGTCAGAACCTTAAAATTACCTGCTGTAATTTGTTGTTTGAGATGTGTTCTTTAACTTTGAAAAGTTAGTGTTTGTAAAAAAAAAATTTTTTTAGTGATACCATCAGGTCACTTGAGCTCTTTTAGGAAATAATTCTGTTAAGTGAATTTTTTTGTTTGTTTAGATTAAGGTATAAGTTCTCTTTTGACACTAGTCGAATTTTTAGGAAAGATGGAATTTGCTGAGAGAATTCAGTGGCTATTGTTACAGTGACATTAATATAGTTCTACATAAAATTCTACATGAGATTTTTCATTTCTGTATTTCTAATGTGGGTAGATCTTGGTATATTGTATTATTTTAATATAGCTCAAAACATACTACAGCACCCTATGGTATTTTACAGATTTCTAACAAAAAATTTCTTCTCATTGACCTCTTTTACTTTTGAAATATTAAACAAGTGGTTTAAAAAATAATTTTTGTTTTGAATGGAGTGTTTTTGTCTTCTTAGTTTAAATGAGGAAGCAATTTCTGTTTTATCTTGGTCACTGATTTAGAGCATGGACTGTGCTCATCATTCATTTCTAGGAAGAAATTAGAGTATTCATTTCACAGAGAGCTACATATTGTTTTCTTCACCACCCTCTTGGAGGAAAGGTAGGGTTGATAATTACGGTTTGCCCTGGCCACATGCTTTCACTCATGGGTAGGTGAGCTAAAACATTCATATCACCATGATGCTTCCTTTTCTTTCCGTCTTAAATAGACAGGACAAATGAGGAAAGGCAGCAGATTTGAGGAAGATGCCAAACCCATGGCTTGGGAAGCTTGCCAGTGAAGTTGAGCAGGCAGGGCAATCTAGAACTCAGGCCCCTCCAGAGGGCAGGTGCCTGACTTTCTCACTTCAGCTGTGTTTCTTCAAGTGTGGCAGAGACTCCTGTGTTAGGAGAGCCCACGGGGCCATTAACATGCGGATTCCAGGCCTTACTACAGACTCCAGGATCAGAGCCTCAGGGAGTTGGGCCAGGGAGTGTGTATTTTTGCTCAATTTTTATTATTGAAGCTTTGAAGCACACAGGGAAATAGAGCAGTATAATGAACACCTGTTACCATTCACTTGGCTTCAGTAATTTTTTTTCTAAAGAAACAGATTCTCACTCTGTTTCCCAGGCTGGAGTGCAGTGGCGTGAGTATAGCCCCCTGCAGCCTTGAACTTCTAGGCTCAAGCAGTTCCCTTGCCTATGCCTCCTGAGTAGCTGGGGCTTGAGGCGTGTGCCACCATGCTTTACTCGTTTAAAAAGATTTTTGTAGGCCAGGCGCTGTGGCTCACGTCTGTAATCCCAGCACTTTGGAGGCTGAGGTGGATGGATCACGAGGTCAGGAGATCGAGACCATCCTGGCTAACATGGTGTCTCTATTAAAAATACAAAAATTAGCCGGGCGTGGTGGCACGCGCCTGTAGTCCCAGCTACTCAGGAGGCTGAGGCAGCAGAATCGCTTGAACCCGGGAGGCGGAGGTTGCAGTGAGCCCAGATCGTGCCACTGCACTGCAGCCTCAGTGACAGAGCGAGACTCCACCTCACAAAAAAAAAAAATTTTTTTTGTAGAGATGGGGTCTTGCTATATTGCCCAGGCTGGTTTTGAACTCTTGGCCTCAATCAGTCCTCCTGCCTTGTCCTCCCAAGGATTATAGGCGTGAGTCGCTGTGCCTGGCCAGTTGTTAATATAGATATATTTATCTGTATGTGTGTGTATTTAACACATATCCTATCCTGATGTTGCACCTCTAAATACTTCACCTCAAATATGAAATGTTTAGAATCATTCTACAAAGCTACAATATTATTATTGCACCTAAGAAAATTAAGAGTATTTCCATAATTATCCTTAATTCGTAAAATCATCTAATAGCTGTTTTGTACTCAGATTTGCCTAGTTGTCCCCAGCAAATTTGCTTGTGGGTTTTTTCTCCCCTCCAATCAGGGACTTGATAAAAATTTATGAATTATATTGCTGTTTCTTTAGAATAGTCCCTCTCTGTTTTTTTTTTTTTTTTCTCATGACATTGACTTTTTTCCAGTGTCCTGTCCATTTCTCTTGTCTGCTCATATTTTGCGTTTCCTGAGTGTCTCTTGCAGGTGTCGTTTGCACTCTGTATTTCTAGTAAACTTGAAGTTGCATCTAGGGGCTGAATTACATTCAGGCACAAATTTTTGTCAGAAGTACTGCTTTCTTCATGTTGGCATCATATCAGTAGGCGCCCCATACGTGTTTTGTCCCACTATTAGTGATGCTAAGTTTTATCCCTTGGTTAAGGTTGCGACTGCCAGATTTCTTTATATAAAGGTAGTTTTTCCCTTGGCAATCGGTAGGTAACTTGTGGGGTCATATGTTAGCAAAGTATCAGTGTCTCTTTTCCTAAATACCGTTTACCTTATGGTTTTAGTGTCTTTTGGGAATCCTTGCCGGAATCAATTATTAAGTAGTTGTTGTTGGTGGGTGTATGTGTTTTAAACAGGCTCCCTGGTAATTCTAACCTTTAAGGTTTGATAGCCACTGCTGTCCTATTAATAGAACTAGGAGCTGAGTTATCAGGTCTGTTGAATGGGTTGCCAGTAAACAGTTAATGAGTTTAAGCTTCGTGTTCATTTTAGAGAAACTAAGATCAATAAAGTGCCTCCTAAGGCCCCCTATGTCCTAGTTTAGTTGTTGGAGAGGACATGTGTGTGATACTTGCAGTAAACTTGAGGTGAGCCCTGCTAGTGTGTTAGAATGTATGACAAAAATCCAAGGAGAGTGGAGGAGGCGTAGAGAAATTACTAAGGAGGAAAGGAAACTATATTGAATATTCTGTTTATATATATAGTCTCACTTAATTTTCACAAGCATTTTGTGCCCATTTTACAGATGAAGAAGTGAGCTTAAAGTGATAAAGTAACCTATGGCACTGGTGGAGGAAACTTTTGAAGCCAGAGCTCACAGAGCTGTGGGCGGGACAGAATTAGTTTGCTTTACCTCTGGGACGTTGTTGTCTGGCTTATTGAAGATGGAGGAATGATATTCTTCAACCTCTGGGGCCTCTTGGTATATAAGCTGAGGTTCTTTGAGACCTCTGATGTCTAGTCTAATGTGTTAATATTAAACTCTGCAGAGCTTAGGGTAGGCTTGTAAGTCTTGTAGTTGATTGTAACTGCTGATGAATCAAACAGCTGAGTAATATTAATACCTCTGGGTCTGTGTCTTAGGACACAGTTTTCAGTACCTCACTCCATTCTCTTTCTCAGGGTAGATGCACCTTACAACCCCGTGACTTCCACATTACACAAAGGAATATGTAGGTTTGGCATACCCCACAGGTCCCATGTAAATACTGCACTCAAATATGTTGGTTCTCTGTTGACCTGTTGGAAACATTGAGAACAGCAGTTGTATCCCAAGGATATAAAGAAGCTGTTTTCTTTTCTTTTCTTTTATTTTCCTTTCTTTTCTTTTCCTTTCCTTTCTTTTCTTTTCTTTTTTCTTTTTTCTTTTCTCTTTCTTTCTTTCTTTCTTTTCTTTCTTTCTTTCTTTCTTTTCTTTCTTTTCTTTCTTTCTTTTTTTTTGGGACAGTTTCACTCTTGTTGCCCAGGCTGGAGTGCGGTGGCGCGATCTCGGCTCACTGCAACCTCTGCCTCCTGAGTTCAAGTGATTCTTCTGCCTCAGCCTCCCACGTAGCTGGGATTACAGGCATGAGCCACCATACCCGTCTAATTTTTGTACTTTTAGTAGAGAAAGTGTTTCACCATGTTGGTCAGGCTGGTCTCGAACTGCTGACCTCAGGTGATCTGCCCTCCTTGGCCTCCCAAAGTGCTGGGATTACAGGCGTGAGCCACTGCACCCGTCCAAAGCAGCTGTTTTCAAACCTTGGCTGTGCATCAGAATCACTTGAGGAGCCAGATATTTGAGATCTACCATAAGAGACTGTAATCCAAGAGATCTGGGATGGGCCCAAGAATCTATATATTTAAAAAATCTAGGTTTTCAGAAAGTTCCCTAAGCAGTACACAGACAGGGATGAGAAGCATAGTTGTACAGGCTGATTTCTGCCAATATCTATGAGTTAGTTATCAAGGAGAAGGAGCATATGTTAGAATTGCTTGGGAATTTGTTTTTTGTTTTTGGTAAACTTTTTATCACTAGGCATCTTAGATTTAGAGGGGCGGAATGGATAAAAGAAGGTCCTCAGGTGATTCTAATGGATTACCAGTATTTAAACAATCTGAATGGACCTTTTAGCTGGAGTGGCTTGGCAAAAAGTCTGTATTAACCAAAGAGTTGCTGTTGCCATATATTATGCCTGGATTTAGAATGCAGGAAAGACATTTAACATTAAAATTATGACATATAATTGAGGATTCCTTTGATCCAAAAGCTTCTTTCTTTGGAAGTTTGAAGTATTTCAAGGTCATTATTATGAACACAGATGATCCCCATTGGTGCTCAGAAGTGCCAGGTTAGAGGCATTTTATTATGCTTGGAAATTGATATTTCAATCCAGTGAATTTTGTGTCTCAAATTCAGAAATGTTATATTTGTTGTAATCAGTGCCAAGGATAAGATTCCTAAAAAGAAACTGGTGAATGAAAGAGGAGACATGACCTAATAGATACTGAGTGTCATTAGAGACAGGAAAGAAGGGAGCAGAGAAGAAAAATGGCCTACCTACATTTTGCTTGATAGATTCGTGGGGAGAACAGCCAGGAGAGGGGATGAGGGGGAGTTGGATGGTGTTTACTGGTAAGATATTAGTGTGGCACATCAGCAAGCATCCCTGCATCTGTGCACACTCAATACCTTCCCTTTGCACTCCACCTAGAAATGTACATGGGGATGGTGAGAAAATCCGAGAACCTTGTAACGGAGAAGCTCAGGGCCAGAAATCCTAGGAGAGGCTGGGCTGGCAGAGGTGGGGCCTGGGGTCTGTGGACTTGCACAGGGCAGGGAGGGTTAGATCCTCTGCTCGTTGGTGATTCCGCATCAAAATGAGCAGAACTCCAAATCTGTCATTTTGTTTGGTCATAAGGAAGACAGCTTTTGAGTAGTCAACAGAAGAGTTAATAAATCACCCTACACTGTACATTTAAAAGATGCCACTTTGCCTTCAAAGCTGAAGAAAACTCTGAAGGAAAAGATGATGTCTTCCAAAAAGGAATTCTGTGTTCAAAGTTTAAGCAATCAAGTGGTTTTGGTTGGGCCTAGAGGGTGATGGTATATATGGCTGTGGGTTGGAAGGGAAGAGAAACTACAATAAAGGACTCATTACTCAGTTTGCAGATGAAACAAAAGTTGTCAAAACGAAGCTGAAGTTAGAGACAATCACATGATGAGTTTGGAAAAACAGAATTTGAATGTGTTTGTAGCATTTGTGGACTGTGTTTGGGGCGTCCACTATTTGATAGGAACTGCATACTAATTTTTAGGTAGTTTCTGAGCTGTAATGTGGGAAAGGGTTGGTGTGTACCCAAGCAGGCCTTTATGATTAAATGTGATATGTGTCAGGCATGTTACCTGGTTTTGGATGGGGTCTGATGAGGTTGAAGTGTATTTTTTTGCTTATTGCTTGGCATTTCAACTCACTATCTCAAATTAGCGATGGGCTCATACCTACTGTAATGTGATACACACATTCCTGAAAAACCTCTCATTCTGCAAAATCATACACTAAAAATAACAGGGCTGTAGAAAAAAAAACAGGATTAAGGCCAGACTACTTAAAACTATGTAACTTTGTAAGTGGAACTTTAACAAAAGCAATGACAGTTGAAGTAAAAATACAGGGAGGCTTAACTCTTCCTTGAAACTTGCGCTCAGCATTATACTCAGATGATTGTAGGGGCCTTATTTTATCCTGGGACATGTTCATCCTGGGTTATGTAGATTCATTCTTGGAGATGTTAGTTTATTCTGCAGGCCAGTTTCACTAGAATTAAAGCTCTGTTTCAGAGTGTAGCCTTCATGTGCCCCCACACCATCATTGAGTGATGGAGAGCCCAGCAGATACTGAGGTGACTAAACCAGCCACCCCCATGCCCACTGCTTGCACAAAAGGAAGGTGCTTTGATATGACTGATTTTTCTTAGGGTTGTTTTCTTTTTTGTTGTTTTTTTCTAAGTCTTTCTCATTATTTGTGAAAAAATCTTGGCCCTCAATAGCTTCAAAACGTTAACATGCTGGGAAGAACCACTCGTGAACCAACACTCCTTCTCCATGATACTGTTGTCATTCCCATTTTGCCAGTCATGTGGGAAGGAATCCATGTCCCGGAGACATGTGTTGCAGCAGTTCTGACATGTTTTTGAATCAGCGATGGTGTCACGATGCAGCTTTTGAGAATGTCAAGTTTCAGTTGCATTGGGAAGTTCTTGTTTGGGAGATATCCTATAGTGTTTCAAGGTTAAGTGACATTTCTTACCTTTCTTATGCTTTGTTGGCCCTTGTCTACAATAAAGAACTGAAGTGGAGCTATTTTTGTCCACTTTTACATTCTGCCTCCAAAACCTAGCCATAGGGTGGGATGCTATAATTTCTTGATGCAGCATTGGTATTTGAACAACACACATGAAGCAGGAATGGTTTTACATTTTGGTTCATTTGAAATATGGTTATAGTGAGGTTTTAAATAAATCATCTGAGCTACAGTAAACAAAAAAAGAGCAACACTAGCCAGTTGTCAAGGAAAAGACTGATGGGTAGAATAAACAGACTGCTTTCTGCAGTCTAAACAATCTGTTTTCATGGTTTTTTTCTCTTTCTTTTTGAAGGGTGATTGGGAGAACTTCCAAATTAAGTAGAAGTTAGTTAAATATGAGAGGCAGTAAATCCACAATGCGTATGTTAGTGATTATTACAGCCTGTTTTCTCAATAGCTCTAATAACAACAATGTCAGTGACTGAACACAGTAGAACAGTATTGTTTGTCGTGGGGTGGTATGGCTGGTGGTGGCTTCGACATCCTCAGGGCTCAACACCTCAGCATTCAGTCAGAGAAAGGAAAGAAAGTATAGAGAAAGTATAACTGTTTCTTAAAAACTCTAGCTTGGGCCAGGCGTGGTGTCTCATGCCTGTAATCTCACCACTTTGCAAGGCCAAGGTGGGAAGATCACTTGAGTCCAGGAGTTTGAGACCAACCTGGGCAATGTAGGCAGACCCTGTCTCTACAAAAATTAAAAATAGATGAGCTGGATGTGGTGTGGCACACCTGTGGTTCCCAGCTAGTTGGGAGGCTGAGATGGGAAGACTACTTGAGCCCAGGAGGTTGAGGCTGCAGGGGCCTGTGATTGTGCCACTGCAGCCTGGATAACGGAGCAAGACTCTCTCTCTGTCTCTCAAAGCCCTGGTTTGAAGTGAAGTGAAACACATCACTTCCACTCACATGCCATTGTGAAGAACTAGCCGTGGACCATACCTAGATCAAGGGTGGCTGGGCAACACCTTCACATCACAGGAGAGGTAGACTGCATTTTGGTGGATAGAGACTCAAAGAATTCTGTGTAGATCAGGTACCTTCCAGATTAAAGTGGGATGGGGATGGGGGGGCATGAATGTGTCTATGTGTGTGTATGTATAAAAAAAAATGCTATTGATTGCAGAGTACAAGAGACGATTTCCCTTTAAAACTTTGATTTCTGTTTTGATTCGGGACTTGGCAAGCTTTTTCTGTAAAGAAGTATTTTAAGATGTGTAGCCACAGAAGGCCTCTGATGCACAGTCCCCTCGAAAAATATAAAAAGCATTCTTAGTCTGAGGGTGGTACAGAAATAGCCCAAGCCCTGTTTCCATCGATCAGCTCAAACAGGTAACTATTTAAATTAGCTTTTAAAAATAGTTGTGAAGTTTAATGAAGAGTGAGTCATACTAAATACACTAAACTATCTTGAAATTATACAACTGGAGTTTTAAATAATTTTTCTTTAGATGATATTTCATTGAGGTAAAAATGGCCTTCAGGGACTCAATGAAAAGTATTGTAGCCATGTGCCCAAGACTCATCAGTGTTTCAGGTCTTAAGGAAAAGTTCATCTGGTTGAGGAAAGATTGGATCTTGGTTTGTGAGCACAGCTAATGTACTCTTTCAAAATCATGTCCCATCATTGGAGACTTTATTGGGTGCCATCTCCCAGGAAACTATCCCTAAAAGTGACTACTGATTCTCATCTGTTGAATATATAGATCACCAAATAGATATTTAAAAAATGTGAAAAATTGTACGTACATTTAGAAATTTACTCTAAAACCCCATACAGTAAATCTTCACTGTCATCAGTGAGTTCTTAGAAACTGCAATTTGAAGTGAAACTACGTATATGGAAACCAGTTTTCCCATAGGCTAATTGATACAAACAAGATTAAGTTTCTGTGGCATATTTCTGTTCACAAAAACACCACCAAACTTTTAAGTAAAGACCAAAACACTTCTAGCATTAAACGTTGAAATAAATGTGAGCCATACCTATATTTAAGAAAGATTAATGCAACGTGAGATAATTCTTACCCACTTATTCCACCTGGTCACAGGTGGTCAGAGCCTATCCTAGGAGCTCAGGGCACACGGCGGGCACCAGTCCTGGACAGGGTGCCATCCCATCACAGGGCACACTCACACTCACACCCGCACCCATGTCCTTAGACTGGGACCAGGTAAATGCGTTAATAAACCTAATGTGCCCAGCTTTGTCTGGGAGGAAACCCAGGTACCCAGAGAGAAAAACCACCAGACAGTGGCCCGGTTGGGAATGGATTTTTCTTATCAACTGTGTAACTAAATGATGGTCAATGAAACGATGTTATTTGAGGATGTGCTGTATACTAAAATATATGGAATTCTATTTGGTTTGTGTGTTAGTAACCCCTGGGGATGGATTCAGATGATCTGAAAATTCCTTATTGAGGCTGTGCATGGTGGCTCACACCTGTATTCCCAGCACTTTGGGAGGCTGAGGCGGGTTGATTGCATGAGCCCAGGAGTTTGAGACCAGCCTGGACAACATAGTGAATTCCCGTATCTACAAAAGTGAAAAAAAACTATAGAAATTCCTTATAAAGGTGTTAAATATCTAAATATGACTTAAATGTAAAACCAAACCAGAAATGTTTTCATCGAAACAGGTCAGTATGTTTTGTAAGTTCTTATAGAAAACCATAAAATATTTAAAAAACAGAAATCTACCATTCTAGCCTTGAAGTTTCTAACAGTCAGCTGTCTTAAAATACCTGTTCAGTTAGTTCCAAGTGTTAAGTTACATTTTCTGACATTCTTAATGGGCTTTTAAAAATTAGGTTACTAATAAATGTAATATAAGTGTGTGTGTGTGTGTGTGTGTGTGTGTGTGTATGTGTGTATATATATATATAAAATATGTATTTATTTAGAGGCTATTTAATAATTTAAAAGCTCCTTTACATAGTATCTCCACCAGTTGAGACTGTACCAGGGGTCTGCATGAGGGCTCTTGTTTCTTCTTAAAAAGCCAAAATCTGTGACCTGTGTGGCTAATAAGTAATTATTATCTTCTCAGACTATTGTACTTGAGAGATTAAACTGCAAATTATAATTAGAATAAAACTATACTCTGAAACCTTTAACAGTCTCTGTATGGTGGTAGAGGTCAAATATACACTATGTATGAGATAATTTTTTTGTCTAGCTGATCTTATTAATAGAGTTTTAACACTTTTCGTTATATTTGCTTATATTATCTGGTGCCGGCTCAGTCTTGCCCTTACAGTGGAATCATCTGTTGTAGCCGGGGGATATTATTGCCCAGACTACAGACAGTCCTGACTTGTTGGCATTGTATAAAGCATGCTCCAGATAAACACTACTATGTACATTGCTTCCAAAAGTTCATAGTACTGCAAATGTTATAACCCTTATGCTGTGTTTAAACCCTTATTCCTGAGCCTTTCCGCTTCATGAGCCCACTTGGCCAGACTTTCCAAAAACCGTATTTAGGGGCCTTATAGTAATATTAATCAACACAGATCTTAGGACCTCTTTTCAAGATCAAATAAAAAATGAATTGGTTAACCTCACATTGTAGTTTATTTTGACTAGCACAGATGTAATCTTAAATAATTTTTAAAAATCCAGAAAATAAGCCAGGTGTGCTGGCTCATACCTGTAATCCCAGCACTTTGGGATGCTGAGGTGGGAGGATCACTTGAGGCCAGGAGTTCAAGACCAGCTTGAGCCCAGCATGGTGGGACCCTATGTCTTCAAAAAGTTAAAAAAAAAAAAAAACTAGACAGGTGTGGTGGCGCATGCCTGTAGTCCCATCTACTTGAGAGGCTAAGGAAGAGAATCACTGGAGCCCAGGACTTTGAGGCTGCAGTGAGCTACACAAGACAATAAGTGCTAACAGGTATGTGGAGAAATTGGAACCCTTGTGCAATGATGATAGGAATGTGGAATGGGGCAGCTGCTGTGGAAAGCAATATAATGATTCTTCAAAAAAGTAAACATGGAATTACCACATGATCCAGCAGTTTCAATTCGGGCTGTATATCCAAAAGAAAGGAGGGTCTCAAGGAGATATTTGTACAGCCACATTCATAGCAGCACTATTCACAGTAACCAAAAGTGGAAGCAACCTAAGCCTTCATCAACACAAGTGAATAAACAAAATGGATACAAGACGCATTCAAAGGAATGTTTCAGCCTCAAAAAAAAGGCAATTCTAACACATGCTGCAACATGGATGAACCTGGAGGACATTCTGCAAAGTGAAATAAGGCCACCATAAAAGGACAAACACTATGTGATTCCACTTACAAAAGGGCCGTGGAGGAGTCAAGTTCATAGAGACATAGTAGAAAGGGGGCTGCCAGGGGCTGGGGCGAGGGGATACGTGGAGTTACTGTTAATATGGCACAGAGTTCCAGTTTTACAAGATAAAAACTTGCAGAAATGACTGATGATGCATTGTGAATGTATTTAATGCCACTGAACTGTACACTTGAAAATGGCTCAGATGGTAAATTTTGTTGTATATACTTTGCCACAATTAAAACAATTTTTACAAATACTCTAGATGTTTTTATTTCTTGCTAGCTCTACTACAACTTGAAACACACAAATGAACGAACAAACAAAATCTTTTTCTCTTCCTCACTTAGGACTGTTGCCCAACTTAAAAAACAAAACCACTGCTAATATATCCACACAGGTGACCCATCTGACTTCAAGATATGCCTCTTATCAGTGTCCTGGCCACGCTGACCAGCTGAGGACCAGTCTCAGATGTCACCTAAAAATACTTTAAAACTGATTACTTGCACTTCTACAGCACAGTATGACCATGACCAGGTACAAAGTTAGTCCTGGTGTTAATGCGCCACAGTGATGCCTGTAATGACAGGGTTTAAAAAGACAACCCCAGTCTCATTAAGGCTGAAATTATTCCAATAAAGGAACTGTGTGGTATTTTAAGTCAGAAGAGTGCTCTTTCAAATTCCCCATCCTACGACGTCACCTGTGGTCATGGGGCTCACCACCACCTTATAGCAAGGTCAACAGCCTGGTCCTCCCTTTTGGAGCCCAAGTCCCTAGCCCTGCCATGGACCAGTTAACTTGGGCAAGGTATTTACTCTAAAACCCTATACTGTAAATAGTGTTTATTTTGGTTAGAAAGATGAGGAACAAACTGGGCGTGGTGGCTCATGCCTGTAATCCCAGCACTTTGGGAAGCGAGCGGATCGCTTGAGTGTGGGAGTTCAAGACCAGCCTGGGCAACATGGTGATACTGAGACTGAGATGGGAGTGTGGCTTGAGCCTGGAAGGCGGAGGTTTCAGGGAGCTGAGATCTCGCCACTGCACTCCAACCTGGGCAACAGAGCCAGACCCTGTCTCCAAGAGAAAAAAAAAAATCAGGAACAGCTTTGTGGAAGAAGATACTATGTCATAGGGTTGTTTTGAGTTAAGAATTAATACATGCCAAGTCTCAGAATAGTGCTTGATGCATATAGTAAGTACGTACTGAATGTTAGATATTAACAGCTTTTTCTGCCTGGCTCACTACCTGCCCACAGTGTTGAAGATTTGACTTGGCATTGATGAGGTTCTTCCTCACCAAATTTTCTTCCTTTATATACCTTATCTATTCCTCTTTCCACATATATAAATATACAAAACAAACCTTGCTTATGTGTTCAAAATATTAATAAATTCTCCAAATAAAGGTCTAACAATGTTAAAGCAAGTTACAAATATGTCCCTATGAAATAATTGTTCTCATTGTTGAGTGGAACCAGAAGAAAACTATAGTCACTTTGTAATCTAGTTTTAGGTTGATAATATGCTTGTATAAAAAGGCGATCCATATTCAAGAATAAAATTAGGCAAGCATGTCATCTGAAATACAGTCTGTCTAAAAGTCAAAACATTGTCTAGCACCAAAGAATCTAAAAATGCTTATATAAGTTTTTAAGAAAAAATTTCATTATGAAATATCATACATATGTAAGCTTTTGACTGAAAAACGTTCACCACTCTTCAGTTGATGAAGAAAATATTGAGTATAAATTGTTTATACAACAACCCTTTAAAATCCCCTCACCAAAGATGGACATTAACCAACCATTTCTCATCCTTTCCAAGCAACATTACCAACAAGTCTTAGTGCACTTGTTACTCTCAGGTCAAAGACCTTTTTTGGTTCCTCTTCATTCATAGAATACATCCCAAACTTTTAAACAAAAAGTATGAAGCCTTGTGGGTCCAGAAGACTTCTAACCCTGTATGTCATTATTGTATTGTGTTTTAGCCCTGACTTTCATAATGAATTGTTACAACATTTTATTATTTTTATATTTTAGAGACAAGGTCTTGCTCAGTTGCTCAGGCTGTAGTGCAATAACATGATCATAATGCACTGCAGCCTTGAACTCCTGGGCTGGTGTGCTCCTCCTGCCTCAGCCTCCCGAGAAGCTGGGACTACAGGTGCAGGCCACCACACCTGGCTAATTTTTATATTTTTTTTGTGGAGTTGGGGTCTCAATGTGTTGCCCAGGCTGGGCTTGAACTCCTGGGCCCAAGCATTCCTCCCACCTGGGCTTTGCAAAGCCCTGGGATTGCAGGTGTGAGCCACTGTGCCGTCCAGTCATGACAACTTTGTATTTCAACCAAATCCTTCTCCTGCCCTGTACTATTTGTCTCCATGCTGTTGCACATGCTGTTTCCTTTACTTGTTCTCCACCAGGGATGATTTTGCTTCCCCCACCCTTGCAGGGTATGTGGCATGTCTAGGGACTGGTTGTCACAGCTGGAGGGGTGCTACTGGCATCTAGTTGGTAGAGGCCAAGGGTGATACTAAACTTACTATGATACAAGGAGAGGCTCTCACCACAAAGAATTTTTTAGTCCAAACATTCCTTGTGCCATGGTTAAGAAACCTGACCTGGACAGTCATTTCCCCTGTTCTTTGTTCAGGTTCCAGCCATTCTTTATGCTCTCTTGTTACCTCTTCTGTGAAAGCTGGTTCTGTTCATTCCATCCAGATAATCACTTTTGACTTTGAATTTTCCCAGACAAAGCACTTTTGTTACTTAATACCTTTTATTATTTTTATTTTTAATTTTTTTTGAGACAGGGTCTCAGTCTGTCGCCCATGCTGGAGTGCAGTGGTGCTTATCATAGCTCACTGCAACCTCAACCTCCCAGGCTCAAACAGTTCTCCCACCTCAGCCTCCCAAGTAGCTGGGACTACAGGTTTGTGCCACCATGCCCAGCTGTTTTTTATTTTTTTGCTTTTTGTGAAGATGGGGTCTCGCCATGTTGCCCAGGCTGGTCTTGAACTCCTGGGCTTGAGCAATTCCCCTACATCGGCCTCCCAAAGTGCTGAGATTACTGGCATGAGCCAGTGTGCCGGGCTACTTTTTAAAAAGTCCTGTTTATAATCTGTTTTCTCCCTTGGTAAACTCCTTTAAGGTAGGCTCCGTATTGATTGATCTTTGTCTCCTGCACAGTAATTTGTATATGGTGGAGAGCATTATCTTTCTGGGTGAACAAACAGTGTGAAAGTCCTGCAGTGTTGACACCGAGCAATTGGGCCAAGAGCACCTGAATGATGGTTGGTGAGGACATTGGAAGGTGGAGGAGTCCCCTGATGAAACCTGAGTTGGGCTTCTGTTGAAGGGTAGGACTGAAACTCTAGTGTTTTGAGGGAGGAGAGACAAGGCTATGTAACTATAAAGAAACGTACTTGTGGACACACACACATGTGCATATCAGGGAAGTATTTAATTCTGATAGTACCTTGAGAATAGCCTCAGCCAACCTGGAGGGACTGGTGGCTCAGATGGTGGTTTTAATCTCTTGACTTTGAAATGTTAGGTGGACTGAAAGTATGTAGAGGTTTATTTTAATCTGTCTTTTCTGTATGGTGGCTAAAGTCCAGTATTACCCACTAGAAAATTGTCAGTTAACAGTTACCTAAAGGAATCTACGTGTGTGACAGCTGTCCACCTTGCAGTGGGTCTTCTAGCCAGATGCTTGTTCTTTTTGGGTGACTATACTCGTTTGGTGCTCACAGAACCGAAACCAATCAAAATGAATTAAAAGAAGAGGGCTGGGTGTGATGACTCATGCTTGTAATACCAGCACTTTGGGAGGCTGATGCGGGAGGATTGCTTGAGGCTGAGAGTTCGAGACAAGCCTGGTAACATGGGAGACCCTAGCTCTCCAAAAAAAAAAAAAAAAAAAGAAAAAGAAAATTAGCCAGGTGTGGTCGTGTATGCCTGTAGTTCTAGCTACTTGGGAGGCTGAGGCGGGAAGATTATTTGAGCTTGGGAGACCGAGGCTGCAGTGAGCTGTGATTGTGCCACTGCACTCTACTCTCCAACCTGGGTGCCTGAGTGAGACCCTGTCTCTAAAAAAAAGAAAAAAGGGAAGAAGAGTTCACTTGATATTTTAGCAGCTAAGTGCTTTGTCATTGCTTTTGTGAGTTGTATATAGAGCCAACGTTACCTACCATATGTAAAATTAGAAATTTTCTGTTTGATCCAATCTTTCCTCCATCCCCCCGATATACATATATATATATATATTTATCTCTGTGTATATATATATATTTGTGTGTATGTGTATATATATATTTGTGTGTGTATATATATATATATTTGTGTGTGTGTGTAGTACATATATATATACATATATATATATATATATATATATATTTTTACCTCTCAGATGTTTGGACTTAAAAATTTGGTGTGGTTTTATTAGTGATTTCTCCATGGTTAGGACATTTGGTGTCCTTTATTTTGAACCTCAATGTGCATGTACAAAAAGTTCTTTCTGGTTGGAATTCAGGTGGTGCTCTTTCATAGCCGCTTGATGACCGAAGCCACATAAGACTCATGAGATAATTCATTTTTAATACCTTATGTTTTTTGGCCCATTTGTAGTTTTTAAAGTTTCTTACTATTATTGATCCTTGAGGTTGCTACAGTTCCATCCGGAGCTGATTGTCTAGAGTAGACAGATTTGTTGTTGAGAGTGCAAAATGACTAGTTTGACTGGAATGCATATTTGCAGCCAGTTTTCAGTAATTTTACGCTTAGTAGTTTTCATTAAGATAAGCTGTTTCTCCATGGTGTGGTTTCGTGCCTCTTCTGCCTGGAGTTTGGAAGGCCCGGCTCCTACCCGGTCACTAGGCCCTGCACTCTGCTTTCTGTGCTGTGGCAATCTCCTGCCTCTGTTAGTAAACCAGGTGCGATGGGATCCGTTTTTTTGGTTGCAGTGGAGAAGGACCTCAGACTTCAGGCTTTCCATGTCAGAAAGGGGCTTAGGTGGAGCAGGACATTAGCTCACTGTGTGAGTTTTCTCCTGGGACTACCATCACAAAGTATTTAATCGCAGGAACTGGGTGGGGTTAAACAACAGAAATGTATTCTCTCAGAGCCTGAGGCTAGAAGTCTGCAGTCAATGCGTGAGCAGGGCACTGCTCCCCTGAGATTCTGAGCAGGACCATTCCATGCCCCTTCCTAGCTTCTGGGGTGGCAGTCAACCCTTGGGGTTCCTGGCTTGCAGCCGTCTAACCTCAGCATCTACCTCTGCTGTCACTGGTGTTTTCCCTCTGCGTGTATGTCCAAATTTTCCTCTCCTTATAAGGAAACCGGTCATGTTGGATTAAGGGCCTTGCCTATTCCATTATGACCTCACCTTAAGTTACTACATCTACAGTGACCCTATTTCCAAATTCGGTCATGTTCTGAATTTTTGGGGGAGGGGGTTAGGACTTCCATCTATCTTTTTGGGAGGGAGAATTGAGCCCATAACACTCATGGTCTTTTCTTAGCATAATGGGTTTTGAAACTCTTTTGTAGTTGACCCAGTGTCAGTATGACTAATAAAAAATGAAGGCAGTTTGCTTCCTTGAAGTTTGAGTGTAGGTAACCCTTAAGATAAGGACATTTTGTGTTTATGAAAATATACTGTAATGCAGGTCATAATGTTGGCAAATCTACAGCTTCGCTATAGGAGAGCAGGAAAGAGTCTTTGTAGCTGTGGGAGGTTACACAGCCTGTTGCACCTACCTGCGTGCCAAAGCCCGTAGAAGTGTGGTGTGCCCTCGTTTTCCATCATTTCAACCTGGCACATGGTGCTTTTTCTCCATTTCCTTAGTGCCATGGTCCCAGGCTTTGGAACAAGTTCTCAGATCCTTAGCTTCTCTATCTTTAGAGTGGACACTCTACCTCCCTAGCACAAGGTTTGGATGAGATGACATTGGCGTCCTGTCACCAGTGCATGCATGTTTGCCCTCTCCTCCCCACCTTCTCTTAGCATTGGCCACGCTGAAAGTGGTTGTCAGTGGCACTGCTGGATTCTGTTGCTCTGGTGGCAGGGGCATCTTGCTGCCAGGGTGCCAGACTTTGCCCAGCGTCCAGCTACCTAAAAGTCACCAGGAAGACAGCCAGAGGAGGTCTCCTGCTTGGATTTGGTGGCTTTGCGGGGTGGGGGTTTTCTTTGAGGAAGATACTGCAGATCTAGGGAGATGCCCTAACTGCTGATGGGGCCTAAGAGTCCTCGAGGCTGTGGCACCATGACACCCAGAGTGGCTGGGGCCGACTTCATCTGCCTCCCACCCTGTACTTGAGTAGTCTTAAAATTTTGGGGGATGAGGAATGCTGTGGAGCAGTATCTTAATATTTAGGAAAAGAATTTGATGTAAAATCTGGCTTGACATAATTTCTTTAAAAATATATACAAACGTTGCATAAAGGAATATTTTAATAAAAACACCAGTTAACCAGTATATTTGAAACCATTTTTTCCCAAGTATTGGTGTCATGCTTAAGTTTTCTTTTAGGTGACTTTATTTTTGACATAGTACACGTAACAGATCTTCATTTACCATTTATTATATGAGACATACCACTTGACTCAGCTAAACCTCCGTTTCTGATTCTATAAATTGGAAATAAGAGTAACCATTTTACTCATCTTAGAAATGGTTATAAAGATCAAAACAAAGGATTTATGCATATGTTGGCCAATTCGAGGAGATAATTTCCTAGGGTTATTACAGTTGTGAGATTTTTCCGGTTTCAAAATGGGATAATTTGTAAAGGTGTTTTAAAGATGCTAAGCACAGGTCAGTGATGATCATGTCATTTTGGAAACATTCATTATACAAGCTGGGAACCTTGTAAAATGAGTTTCACAAGGTCATTTGCTTTACACCCACAGAGTAGTGTATATTGCAGCTGATCACATTCTTAGGGGTCAGAAATTAATATTAATTTGTCAGGCTTCAAATGTAAATCAGCATTTCCCTGTTTTTCTTTTGAGAAGACCAAAGTTGCTAACCTGTATTCTTGTTCTTGGATTATGCTGTTTGTAATAAAAAAAGATGGATCATGATGAATGCTGATTAGCACCTTGGGGACTGTTGACGGACGGATGTGTAGTGTATTTTGGAAGGTATGGTGACCACGCTGAGGTATCACTGGGCTAGTAGGAGAAGGAAGCATAGTGTACGGGCTTTAAAAATCATATACTGCCTTCAGAATGAAGTAATTATCTTCAGGTAGATAATCAGAAATTAATTGTTTTTGAGGATTTACAGCAGAGAGACCTGAGGAGTAGATTTTGCAAACAGATTCTTTATTTTTCTTAACTTTTGATTGCATTTATTTTATGCGGAATTTATTCCTGTGCCGTAAGTTTTTATTTCTTCAGTTTCTTCTCAGGTATCTTTTTCTTCGGTGCAACCTCTTCTTCTGATTTAGGAACAATTTGTTCCTTTTCAGTAAGAATCATCTCGATGTGGCTGGGAGAGCCCACGTATGGGTTAGTCCAGCCATGAGCTCTGTAAGTCCGACGGTGCATCTTAGGTGCTTTATTTACCTCGAAATGCTCAATGGCCAGAGAATCTACATGGAAACCCTTAAGTTCAGCGTGACTTTCACCATTTTTAAGCACGTGCAGCAAAAGTTCACCTGTGTCCAGCCCCACTGTTTGGCCTGGGCACACCTACCGACTCTACCATTGTAACATCAGAATGATACCATTTCTGTAAAGTGACATCTTTCAGTTACCTGGTGGCTTTTCATATATGCAACCTCGATGGCCTGGGTAATGTCACAAGTGTTTGTAAAGTGAACATGAAGATTTAAACCTCTTGATTTCATGATTGTGTAGGGTTTTCTGGGTCAAGTGAGTAGTGAACCGTTTTCACAGATCACCTCAGGCCGCTTAGGGGAAGAGCAACAAATTCTTTCAGTTTCCTCTCCCCTGTGATTTTATAAAGTAAATTTTCATGTACCTGTCCTAGAAAGAGGAAAAGGGAACCTAGTAATTCTAAATTACTGTGGAACTTTAGTTAAATACTGTCTTGTCCAGAAGGCAGACTTGGGGCATTTGAAAAGGTGAAGGGGTCCGTTGATCATCCGTTCTCTTGTGCTTCTCTGGTGCTGTGGATGAGATAATGAGAAGCCCTCTAGTATGTGCTCCCGAGACTCCAGGTGAGAGCTAGACTTGGAAAGTGCGAAGGGCAGGGCATCTGTCCTGTAACTGAGCGTGACCTCTGGGTGGTTGGTAAGTAACCAGAGGAAGACACTTGGTGCTCTTTGTAACAGTCGCAGCCGCTTTGTTCCTTGCCTCACAGGAAAGAACAGAATGTCTAATTATAATAATCTTCTAATAATTACAATATTTTGTATTCATTTTCTTTTAAAAATCTGTTTGAGTAACTACTAGCCTTCAGAAGATGCTGGAAAATAGTATTTAGGCAGCAGCTGGCAGCTCCCAGTGTTGGAGTCGATGCGGTGCTCGGCTCGTAAAGATTTCATTAGCTGGACATACACTCTGATTTCCTTCTTGCTGCACAAGTACATTCTGTTGAGCAGCTGTTTTGGAAAGGGAGGTACAATAAACACTTCTGCACTTGTTTTAAATACGTGGGTTTTGTTGCAGTGTCGCTTGCCATCTGGAAGAGAGAGGAGTGAGTGACTTACTGCTTGAGAGGAAGGGTTTGGAATCTCCACGTGTGTTCCTAATGCAATTTGAGGTTCCCTCTCATTTTCATTCACTGAGAGGTGATAATCGGCAGCTGTAGTCATTTTGTTTTGTCAGAGCCTTAGCCAGTGTGTTGCATGGATTAATAGAATTAATAGAAATTAATCGAGTTGGACCTGATCAGTGGTGGTTTTATTTTTTAAAGCAAATGTACAAAGGAAATACATGATGTTGTCAACAAGTCAGAGAAAAATACAGATATGCATAGAATAAATTGTGAAAGTACTCCCCTCATCCCAAAGCACCCGAGGGTAACCCCATCAGCAGTAAGTTGTCATGTTCTTCCCTCTTTTTTTCCCACTGTGTCCCGTCTAATAACTAGGTGTCCAAGTGATCTGTGAGCAGAATTCTTTATTCTAGTAGTGACTTGTGGGTGGGTACATACTGGCAGTCACACACTGGTTCTCTTGAGGCGGCAGTGGCATCAGGGAACTGGTGGGTGGGTTGTGAGCAGAAGAAAACCCTTAAACAGGACCACTGGCCAAAAAGGCTTGCTGTCCAGGTGTAATTGGAATCACAGTAACAACTGCTCCCTCACAGTGGGAGTTTCCCATGTACAGGACACCCAACGCTGTGCATGTGTGTCACTCACTGAACTCTCATGGTGACCCCATCTTACAGATGTGGAAACCCAAGCACACAGAAGTCAGCAGCTTGTCCAGCATCCTGCCGCGTAATAAAGAGATTCCAGTTTAGTCAGTCTGGCTCCAGAATCATGTTCTGACGATGCTGTGCCATCTTGTAGGAGCAGAACTCTGTTCTCTGGGAGCTGTTATATATATATATGTATATGTATATATATATGTATATATATTTGTGTGTGTGTGTGTGTGTGTATATATATATATATATTTTTTTTAAGGCGGAGTCTCGCTTTGTTGCCCAGGCTGGAGTGCAGTGGCACGATCTCAGCTCACTGCAAGCTCTGCCTCCTGGGTTCACGCCATTCTCCTGCCTCAGCCTCCTGAGTAGCTGGGAATACAGGCGCCCGCCACCACGCCCGGCTAATTTTTTTTTTTTTTGTATTTTTTAGTGGAGACGGGGTTTCACCGTGTTAGCCAGGATGGTCTCGATCTCCTGACCTCGTGATCCACCCGCCTCAGCCTCCCAAAGTGCTGGGATTACAGGCGTGAGCCACCGCGCCCGGCCGGAAGCTGTTATATTTTTAACTCATACCTTTTTGGCCCCCAAATCAGGTAAATGGAAATTATAGATCTGTTAATGGCTTAAATACCGGATAATAGATTTTATACAATTGATTGAATGTATAACTTGAAACAGTGTCGCCGCTGCCAGCCTGCCTGCAAGAATCTTTCTTGTGGTTTTGCTTTGTAAAAGTAAATGTTTTCCCCGTGAATCTTCTGTAGTGTTTTATTCTTGGTGTTTTTCTTTGGGGCCTGCATGCTTTCTGGCCTTTGCTCCTGCTGAGTAGGCAGACATATCTGGAGAAAACCATGGAGTAAAGGAAAAGCTTTGGAATTTAAAATTGATTTATGTGGAAGCTTTTTCTGTGGTTGAAAAAAAGTAAAGAAAAACCCTCCTTTCTACATTACCAATTCCCGGCAACAGTAAGCCAAACCTGTTGTATTTGGGAGCAGGCCTGGGTGCATGGAAACTGCTCAGAACAGGGAGGTCAATGCCATTATGATAATCCAGTGACTTCCATGGGAAGCCATCATTGAGAAAGGGTACTTGTGCAGATCTAAAATTTGGAACAAAACACCCTGAAGATGGCCAAACTGATATAACGTTATGTACCTTGGTGGAGTGTCTTGGTCTGTTTGTGTTGCTTTAAAGGAATACTAGAGACTGGGTAATTTTGTTTATTTATTTATTTTTGAGACAGGGTCTGTCGACCAGGCTGAAGTGCTGTGGCTTGATCATGGCTTGCCGCAGCCTCGACCTCCCAGGCTCAGGTGATCCTTCTACCTCAGCCTCCCGAGTAGCTGGGATTACAGGCGTGCACAATAATGCCACGCTAATTTTTGTATTTTTTGTAGAGATGGGTGTTCGCCATGTTGCCCAGGCTATCTCAAATTCCTGGGCTCAAGCAATCTGCTGGCCTCAGGCTCCCAACGTGCTGGGATTATAGGTCTGAGCCACTGTATCTGGCCTGAGACTGGGTAACTTTTTTTTTTTTCTTATTTTTTGACAGGGGATCTTGCTCTGTCACCCAATCTGGAGTGCAATGGCGTGATGTTGGCTCACTGCATACTGTGCCTCCCGGGTTCAAGCGATTCTTTTGCTTCAGCCTCCTGAGTAGCAGGGATTACAGGCACCTGCCACCACGGCTGGCTAAGTTTTGTATTTTTGGTAGAGATGGGGTTTCACCATGTTTGCCATGCTGGTGTTGAACTCCTGACCTCACATGGTCAGCCCACCTCAGCCTCCCAAAGTGCTGGGATTACAGGCGTGAGTCACTGCACCTGGCCCGAGACTGGGTAACTTTTAAAGGAAAAAAGTTCATTTGGTTCATGATTTTGCAGGTTGTACAAGAAGCACGGCCCTGGCGTCTGTTTCCAGTGAGGGCCTCAGGCTGCTTCCACTCATGGCAGAAGGCTAAGAGGGCTTGTGTGTGCAGAGATCACACGGCAAGAAGGAAAGCAGGAGAGAGCCAGAAGGGCTAGGCTCCTTTTAACAACCAGCTCCCGTGGGGACTAAGAGTAAGAATTAACTCCCTATACCCAAGGGAATGAATCTATTCATGAGGCATCTGCCCCCATGACCCAAACACCTCCTGTCAGGCCCCAGTACTGGAGATGAAATTTCAACATGAGATTTGGAGGGGAAAAATATCCAAACTCTATAGCATGGAGTAATGGCATTGAGAGCTGCAACTCTTAATCTCTGGTAATTAGTGGTTAAGTAGACGACAGGATATTTTTCCTTGGGCATGTTTTGAACTCTGTGTGTGTGTGTGCAGTCGCACATGCGTGGGTGTGCACTTAATGATAAAAGCAGCACCATTTGTAATGGCAGTTCATGTTACAGAGTGCCTCATATACAGGTCGGCTGTGTGGTGGACCACACTTCAGCAGATCCTTTCTTTCTTAGCAGTTCTGTCCTTCTACCCAACCAGGCAGTTGACATTTGTGAAAACACAGAGTTTAGGATTTCAAGAACAAAGTATATAAAGATGGTGAAACATTTTCTCAGTTCTTTTTCATGATTTCTAAACTAGGAAGAGTCAAGAATTCAAGATTGCTAATCTAAATTCTGATGTTGGAGTAGTCATTTGTGAAGGGTGATAGAACAGAGTATCATTCTTAGTTACAACAGCAAAGGTTAATTACCTAGTTACCTAGTTCCTCTGTAAATTATTTAAAGCTCAGAATATTCTCCAACATTACAAAGACTTAAAAAGCAAAGGAGAATTTTGAGAATGTACTCCATGCACAGATGCTATTGTTGCGCCCCCTGAGATTTTGCTTCAGTACTTGAGATGTGTATCAGAATGTTGAAGGGCAGCAATGATGTGTAACAGTTTTATTAAGATATAATTAACGTACTACAAAATTTACCCACTTAGATTGTGCGATTGTTTTTTGTATCTTCACAGAGTTGTGCAACGATTACCACAAATGTGCTAATTTTAGCACATTTTTAATCCTACAAAAAAGAAACCCTGCATCCATTGTAGTCACTTCTCATTTTCCCTTTCCCAGCCCCTGGGAACTGCTAACCTGTAGTCTGTGTCTGTAGAGTTGCCTAGTCTGGACATTTCATTAATGAGTCATAGAATGTGGTCTTTTGTGATTAACTTCTTTTACTTTCACATAATGTTACAAGGTTCATCCATGGTATAGCCTGAATCAATACTTCACTCCTTTTTATGACTGACTAATATTCCATTGGATGGATCTACCACATTTTGTTCATCCTTTTAGTATTTGAGTTGGGAACATTTGGTTGTTCCCAGTATTTGACTTTTATGAACATAATAAGGCTGCTAGAATTCCTGTAACAAGGCTTTGTGTGGATGTGAGTCTTAATTTTTGTTGGATATATACCTAGGAGTGGAGCTGCTGGGTCTTATGATAATTCTGTGTTTAACTTTTTGAGGAGCTGCAAAGGGCAGCAATTTAGCACTCTGATTTATTCTTTTTTTCAGTACAAGACATTATCTAATAACCAGAAACTTGTTCAACTTAGATCTAACGTCAGATCCAGCTAGGAGTTGCAGACTTCCATTTTCAAGTCTCTCCAAGAGAAATTTTGTTATGTATGTCTATGAGATCACAATGACTGTCCCATCTCTCTCTCTCTTTTCCCCACTTTTTTATATTAAAAATTTATTGTAAAATATACGAACACAAAATATACCATTTTAATCATTTAAATTTTTATTGTGTTAAAATATATATAGTGTAAAATTTATCATTTTTACCATTTTTGCACTTGATCTTAGCCAAAAGGCAAAGAAACAGTTTAATCATTTTAAAGTGTACAGTTCACTGGCATGAGGTAGATTCACAGTGTTGTGCAATTATCACCACTGTCCATTTCCAGAACTTTTTCTTCATCCCTAGCAGAAACTCTGTACCCGTTAAATACTAACTTCCCATTTTCTCCTTTCTCCAGCCTCTGATAAACTGTATGCTAATTTCTCTCTGACTTTGCCTGTTTTAAGTGCCTCATGTAAGTGGAATTGTATGATATTTGTCCTTCTGTATCTGGCTTATTTAACTTAGCATAATGTTTTCAAGGTGTCCATGGTCTAACATATATCAGAGTTTTGTTCCTTTTTTTTAAGACCAAATAATATTCCATCCTGTAGATATTTACTACATTTTGTTTGTTGATTTCTAGCTTCAGTGCATCATGGTGGCAAAGTATACTGTTAGAGTGTCACCAATGCACCACAATGTAGCAGTCTCTCATTGTGAGGTAGCACCTGAAGTTCTTTGTCTCATGACTAAGAAAATTAAGGAGCATGGACACAAAGGGTGAGCTTGGAGCAAAAGTTTAAAAGTTTAATAAGCAAAAGAAGAAAGCTCTCTGCCTCAGAGAGGGTGCCTGGAAGAGGGTTGCCAACTATGAGGCTAGATTTGGGGTTTTTATGGACTGGGCAGGGAAGGAATGTGCTGACTGGTCTTGGAGAAAGCCTACTCAGCTTGGCCTGGGACCACTCAGGAGCTGAAGTGAAAGCTTGGTCCAGGACCTTGGCCTGGGACCTTGTCCTGGGACCAGTCAGAGGCTGAAGCGATGATTCATAGAGGCTTGGCAAACAGTCCAAATCATGTCCAAAAAAGGAAAGCAAAGTGCCCACAGGAACCCAACAGAGCCCACTGCGTACATGCCCACAGAAGGAAAAGAGACTATTTCCTGGAAGCCCACTGGTTATACAAAGAACAAAGGCATTTCTGGGTTGGGCCTTGTTCCTGTATCTGAGTGGGCTGGATGTTTGTGCGAGTTTTCTTATCTGTGCCTGCAGCCTGATTTTTCAGGCTGTTTCTCTTTTTAAAGGAGTTTTGCCAAGGACCTACCCTAACTACCTAACTTTCTCTATCAATACTTTGTATGACTTCAGTCTTTTTAAATTCATTGAGACTTGCTTTGTGGACAAACATAGTCTCTTCTGGAGAGTATTCCATGTAAACTTTAGAAGAATGTGTGTTCTGCTTTGTTTGAAAAAATGTTCTGTATATGTCTGTTAGATCTAGTTGGTTTATGTGTTGTACAAATTCTCTGTTTCCCTATTTATCTTTTGTCAAGTTCTTCTATCTGTTATTGAATAGGATGTATTGAAGTCTATTATTCTAGAGCTTTCTACGTCTCACTTTAGTTGTGTCAGTGCTTGCTTCCTATATTTTGGGACTCTATGTTTGGTGCATTTATGTTTATAATTATTATATCTCCGATTGAATTTATTCTTTAATCAAATATAGTATCCTTCTCAACTTCAACAACATATTGATATTAAGCATATTTAAGAAAGTTGCTTTGTAAAGTCTTTGTGTAGTAAGTACAATGTCTGGCCTTCTCAGGGACATGTTCTGTCAGTTAATTTCGTTCCTTTGAATGGGCTATACTTTTTCCTTATATGCCTTAGGATTTTGTTGCTGTTGAAAATGGGGTGTTTGAAAATTACAGTGTTGTGTCTCTGGAAATCAGAGTCTCCTCTTTCACCGAGGTTTGCTTTTTTTGTTGTTTTTGGTTTTATGTATCTCTTTTTTTTGTCAAGTGACTTTTCCCAACTATTTTTGTAGGGATTATATTCCTTGTCTTGTGTGGTCACTGAAGTCTCTGTTTCTTAGTTAATCTTCTGGTACTGTTTTTTTTGTGTGTGGTTTTTTTTTTTTTTTTTTTTTTAAGAGATGGGGTCTTACTCTGTCACCCAGGCTTGGCAGGAGCCACTGTGCCTAGCCTGGTAGTGTTTTGACAGAGATTTCCTTGAATGCCAGGAGCTAAAACAAATAAACAAACAAAAATACTTTTTCCAGTTTTTGCAGGTTGGCTCTTTGCTGGGGCCCTCCTTCAATAGTGAGCCAGACTTGTGTCTAGGCTAGTATTTAGCCTAAGGTGAAAAAGCTTAAGGTCTTCCTGGGTTTTATTCTGAGCATGTGTGTGGCTTTCTAATTTCACCCATATATATGGATGCTTTTGATTGCCCTAATTTCCTAAGGTAACTTTCTTCACGTCTTTTCTTCCCAGACCTCAGGTCATGTGTTGCATGTCTCATTTGTACTCTTTGACCCCAGGTGTCTGGATTGTTTTTGGGCAATGCCAACCACTTCCAGCCTGGATGAGTTTTGAGTTTTAAGCATGAACCTTGTCAAGTATCCCTGACAGGTTGGAATGGAGTCACTAAAAATTTATGAATGCGTTCTACTTGTTCCTATTGGAACCAGGGACCAGGGTCCCATTCTTGGAATATGGGCTGCCATCACACTGGGAGGAGATAGGGCAAAGGCAAATAAGAATGCCGTAAAGCTTTCCTATCCTTTGAAGTTCTTGATTCAGTGTTCAGTTGGTTGCTGTAAGCATTTCACTGTTTTCCAGAGTTCTGACAAAGTTAGTTCTGACAGTTGGTGCTTGTTTTTTGATGGTTTAGGTGCAGGGAGGTGTATGGGCACTTGGAATTGTCTACTCTGACATTTTTTCGACATCTCCCAGTCAGCCTTGTTCTCTTGCAGTAGTCCATTTAAAAACCCACAGAAGCCTTTCCTTCTACCACCGCCACACACGCTGCAGGCAACAGATGCCACCTTACTTGTCATACCCTCTTCCTGTATCTCCCTGGCAATCACCTCAATTTCTGTTGTATTTTTGGTATAGTTATTAGCTGAATACTAGTGTTAATATTTTCCCTATTAAATGTTAGGTTAAGCCGGGTGCGGTGGCTCACGCCTGTAATCTCAGCAGTTTTTGAGAGGTCGAGGCGGTTGGATCACCTGAGGTCACGAGTTCCAGACCAGCCTGGCCAACATGGTGAAACCCCGTCTCTGCTAAAAACACAAAAATTAGCTTGGTGTGGTGGTGGGCACTTGTAATCCCAGCTACTTGGGAGGCTGAGGCAGGAGAATCGCTTGAACCTAGGAGGCAGAGGTTGCAGTGAGCCAAGGTCACGCCATGGCACTCCAGCCTGAGCGACAAGAGTGAAACTCCATCTCAAAAATAAATAAATAAATAAATATTAGATTAAATAAACATTAAATTAAATGCACTAAATATTAGATTTTTGAAAAATCTTTTGTGATGTCTTAGTCCATCACGGCTGCTATAACAAAATCCCACCATAGACTAGGTTGTCTATAAGCAACGGCCCTTTATCTCTCACAGTTCTTGGGGGTTTGGTTTTAATGCATGAATTTAGCTGGGAAACAAACTTTCAGACCATAGCAGATGCCTTGTGATCTTCATGACACCTTGAGGCCACATTTTGGGATTTTTCCCCCACTGTGAACACGCAATCCTGAAATGACCCAAAGCAGCGATAAATATGATTTGGTTTATATACAACTTTATAGTAACATCTTCACTGGAAAATGAAGGATAGTTCAATGGTCTTTTTCCTCTTCAGTGAATAGTATGGCTGGCCAACATGGCAAAACCCCGTCTCTGCAAAAAATACAAAAATTAGCTGGGCATGGTGGCATGCGCCTGTAAATCCCAGCTACTCGGGAGGCTGAGGCAGGAGATTTGCTTGAATCCAGGAGGTGGAGGTTGCAGTGAGCTGAGATCACACAACTGCACTCCAGTCTGGGTGACAGAGTGAGACTCCATCTCAAAAAAAAAAAAAACCCAAAAAACTATATATATATATATACATGAATGTATCCATCAAACAGTGGTCATTGCACGTGGCTTTTTCAGAACTTATGGTTCCTTCATGTAACGTGAGATATAGTATAGGACACAGTATATGCAGGAGAAGACAAGTTCTACCATTGTACGTGAGCTAGAAATGATCATCTCAACAAGAATTTCAGGCTCTTTGATGCAAGAATGTATGGTGTCTTTCTGGTGTTCCTTGGCCACTTCTGTCTTTGATGAATCATTTTGATACTGGATTGGGATTCACTGTTAATTTTTCAGGAGTACAGTCTAAGAGTTAATACACTGCATTTATTTTGAAGACTGAGTAGAGGAAAACTAGAAAAAGAGTTGCTAGTAAATTATAATTATGGTTTCTGCTAATCAAATAAGGATGCCGATGCCCAAGAGAGCATGCCATCTTCTTCATCATCCCTCATTGCCCTCACCTTGTGTGTCCAGGTTTAAACTGGAAATATCATTTGGTTAAAATTCTCCCTAAAACTAAAGAAGTACACCTGCAGTTCTTTGCTTAAAATAGCGATAGCCAGCTGGGCACTGTGGCTCATGCCCGTAATCCTAGCACTTTGGGAAGCCGAGGTGGGCAGATCATGAGGTCAGGAGTTCAAGACCAGCCTGGCCAACATGGTGAAACCCCATCTCTATTAAAAATACAAAAATTAGCTAGGTGTGGTGGTGCACACTTGTAATTCCAGCTACATGGGAGGCTGAGGCAGGAGAATCATTTGAACCTGGGAGGCGGAGGTTGCAGTGAGCCAAGATCGTGCCATTGCACTCCAGCCTGGGTGACAAAGCGACACTCTGTCTCAAAAAAAAAAAAAAAAAAAAAAAAAAAGGTGATAGCCTAGGGAATGGTTGTGTTACTCAGTATTGACATGCTGCTTCAGGGGATTTTCTTGGATTCAAGGCGTATCTTAACCCTGTTGGTACCTCTGGTTCTTTGGTGTACTTAAGCACATATCTCCTTTAAACCTCCTATTAGTAAGGTGAAGTGGGAAGGTAGGCAGGTGGGATGACCTTTGTTTCACAGATTTGTAAGCAAAGCTTTAGTGCCATTGTTTCTTAATTAAGTGATGGTGTTGGTATGGGAGACAGGTCTCAGGTATACAAGGCTAGGAGTGGTCTTGAGAATATTTTACATGTGACAAATGGATATTGAGAAATAGTTACATGGTTAGAGAAGAACAGTGTAGTTAGGAATTAATGGATGGAAAAGAAAAGGGGGATCCTAAGAATCAAAGACCCTCTCTATTGTGGCATGTATGTTTGTGTGTATTTAGTTGTATCTGTCTGCGTGTGTTTGTTTATTGATTGTGTTTTGGCCACATACCTTATAATGTAATGCTTTTGAAAGTGACAAAGCCATATATCTTTTAAGATAGGGACTTAAAACAAGAACCTCTTGAATTTTCACTTTATTTCATTCTTTTCTGCTTTTTTCCCTTTCGGATCTTTTATTTTCCCCACAGGAACCCATAGGGGAGAAGACTTAGAATAACGTAAATGCAGGGGCGATGAAACTGAGGAGAAAGGGCTAATGACAGCCCTGAGTAAGTGCTGGGAAAAGAGCCTGGACCCCAGGGGTGGAGAAAAGGAAAAAGTCTAGCGAGTACCTAAGTAATTGACCTCGTTCCTAGCATGGCTGCTATGCCACACAATTACAGAGTGTGATATTGTAAAGGATCAGAGAACTGTGGGCTCTGCTTGAGGCACTTTCAAACCTCACTGCTCTACCTGAATTGAAGCTGAAGCCTGTGGGATGATTGACTTCTGACTTTCTGGCAGTGAATAGGCAGACCCAGAAGGGAAGTGGGTAGGAAGTAGTGCTGGCCTGGCCCTGTTTATCTTCCCCACTGTAGGCAGGGGGATTGTACACTTGAAATCAGCATGAGAGTGGCCCCCCAAAACATGCTCACATTACTGTTTGGAAGCATGTGTCTGAAGTTAGCTACATAGCTGGGTTTGAGGGATGGTTGTCTTTGTGATGTCTCTCTCTACTTTTGGCCTGCATGTATTTTCCAGTGAGGGCTGGGGCAGGGACCACAGAGAAGATTTAGAACAAAGTTAAGTTCCAACCCTTCATTTAGCCCTGTGACCTAGGTAGAACAAGCTACTCTACTCTCTTTGCCACAGTTCCTCAACTGTAAAATGTGATAACAATGATACATTTACCTCAGAGGAAGAAGAAATGAGTTTATGTGCTCAGGCAGTGCCTAGCACAAAGTCAGTGCGGTAGAAATGTGGTCTGGGGTAGCAGACCACGCAAACAACAAAGCAATGCGTTCTATTCCTCCTGAGTGTCTCGACCACATTCAGTGCATATTTTGTTATTCACTATTAGTTTTCTAAATGTTTGCCCTTAGACTTTGTTGTAGGACTTCATTTTGTCGTAGTTACCTATCTCCAGCGGATGCAGGGAAATAGTTACAGATGTGACGAAAGAAAGACATGGTGTATGCAGATTTGGTGGATTTTGTGAGCTTTTTGATTCTAGGTGAGGACTTGGGAAATGATAATGGTGACAAGAGATAAAGTCTCTGATGTGCCAGTCACATTTTCCCTGCAACAGTAATCATTTGTTAGAACTCAATGCAAATAGAAATATACTTGATAATACATTCTTCTGGGTAATATAAGCTGTGCAATGCTTATACTTTATGCAAAACTATATGTTTAAAATCTGCTCATGTTTAAAGAATGGTGATTATTACGACTGGCCCTCACAGAGCATGGTTTAATATTTTCTAACAATTTTTATTATTAAATTTGTGGATTTTATGATCATTTTAAATGGTGCTGATTTTATTCGAAAATAATTTTAGGTTTACTGTGGTATTATTTTATTAAATGGTTCTAGTTTCCTTGTTTTCCTGTACAAGTAGAACCAATTGGATAAAATAACCTGTTTCTCTTTAAAGAAGAGCTGTTTTCTTTTTCTGTAAGTGACATTTTTGCAGGCTCATGGTCCAAAACGATTAGCTAGACTGAGAATAAGGTAAGTGATGAATTAGCAAAAATTTCTGTGAACTCCTAAAACACTCTTACCTTGTAGCTATGCTAGGATAGGAATATTGGAGGTGACATCACTGTTAGTGGTAATGGCTTAAATTGAAACACTTCGGCTTCTTACAAAGTTCTTTTTCTGGCTCCCAAGTGTCAGCCTGACAGACCGTCTTAAAACCTGGAGGTTCAGTGCCTTACTGGGTTAACCAGTAGGCCTTTTGTAAGAATGTTTAAAAATTTTTAGAAAGTCAGAAGTTGGACTGTTTTAAATAATCAAAACAACTAGTGAAGTTTCTCCTTTGTAATTTATGGAGAAGGAAATATGTTTTGTAATTTTTACCTGCCAAATTATTAAAATTTTCACTTTGCAATTTAGCTGCTTTTAAATGAAATTTGAAACAAAACTACCTGGTACTTGATTATAATTAAAAAAGAGAGTTTTTTGTTTGTTTTTTTGTTTTGTTTTGTTTTTCCTTCCACAATTGATCACGATTACTCTACTCTAGGTTGTGACCTTGGTGAATCTGATATCACCATTTGGAAAATTAAGGCCCTAAAGCTGGAGTGAGTTTGGGAGGCTGGAGTGTAGCTCTTCAGGGCCAAGGGGGAGAAGGCGGCTTTTCCTGGGTTTACTCTGTGGTGAGCAGATCAGTCCTTGTTTCATTTAAACAGCCCACGGGCAGCAACCACTTCTCCTCAACTTTCCCAGCTTTCTCTACCTTTAACTCTTGGATTATAGTTTCTTTGCTAATTCTTTTGAAAACATTTGGCTTCCTTTTACAATTAGGTGGGTCCCTGTGTAAGCAAATAAAAAGCTTTCTATCTTGGTCATATCACTTTATTTCTCTGGGTCAGTTTTTTTACATATAAAATATGATGAAGTTGGATTGCTTTCTAGATGTAGAACTCTGTGAAGTGGGACGAGATGAGAAAAGGTCCTCTGGTGGGCCTTCCTCTTTTCTTTTTCTTTCTCATTTTGCTCAGTTCCTTGTATTCACTACAACCTGGGTAAGTAAGTAAAATTTATCTTTAGAAAGGCAAGCTAACCCTTCTTTCATTTCCGTCTTTTTCAGTGAAGCCAACCAGAATTTTGAGTTGCAGGTACCTGATGATATACTTCAGTAAATATTTTATAATTTTACAAATATATTAAATATTAAAATACCAATAATAAGAAAGTTTCTGTGATAGCTTCCAAAGTGATTGACTGACTAATCAGTAAGATTTACTAAGGACTTAAAATGCTCCCAACATAGTAAAGAACTATAGGAGCCACTGAAAGTGTTTACAGTATATGAGAAAGATGAAAACATCTGAAAGAAAGAACTGCCAGGCACTAAATCATGCTCTGCTGAGTGAGTGTGCCCCAGCATGGGGATGATGTGTGCATTGTGGTCATTGTTAGCACCTACTGAGTTTAGTTGTAGTTCAGTTGTAGTTTGTGAGATGCAAGTTATGGGTGAGTGAAAAGAGTTAAAGACAATCTAGGTTTTTAGGGACATCATGAGCAAAGGCACTAGACGGGAATTAGGCTGGTTCAGGTGAGGAGAGGAGAGGAATGAAGAGAGGGTATGGATAGCTTTGTGATATGGACACTGAGTAGGCACTTGAAGGAGTAGAAGACTTACCAAGGTAGGTACTGGTGGTGGCAAGATAACTCTAGACCCCATTCAGAGGAGTTTAGATTGGAGGGAGGGAGATACTCGGAAGCGTTTGTGTTGGTTCCTTGAATTCCATCCTATATCTTTGATTTCTTGAATTTAATTTCTACCAGGTACTCTGCCTAGATCAGTTCCTGTTGGCAGTTTTGATTTGACTGGATGTTTTAACAAGTCCTCTTAACTTTGCTTTATTCTAATCTGGTTATAATATTATGGAATCTTAAAAATCTTAAGGTTAGAAGGGCCCATATTCACAACCAGTACAGGAGCCACACCCTGAATTTTTGAAGTAGTTATTCTGTTTCTGAATGTGTGAACCCTTTTTTTTTCTTTTTTTTTTTTTTTTTTTTGAGACGGAGTCTCGTTCTGTTGCCCAGGCTGGAGTGCAGTGGTGTGATCTCGGCTCACTGCAACCTCCGCCTCCCGGGTTCAAGGGTTTCTCTTGGCTTAGCCTACCGAGTAGCTGGGACTACATACAGGCAAGTGCCACCATACCCAGCTAATTTTTGTATTTTTAGTAGAGACGGGGTTTCAGCCTGTTGGCCAGGCTGGTCTCGATCTCTTGACCTCGGGATCCACCCGCCTTGGCCTTGCAAAGTGCTGGGTTTACAGGCGTGAGCCACCACGCCCAGCCTGTGAACCATTTTTTAAGGCATCATTACATTGGTAGATTTCATTCAGAGGTTAAAGTCTGCCTTTCCTCGCTTTATCTGAGCTATACAAAGTCTACTTTTTCAGTATTGGAGCCCCTCAGACAGTGGAAGACAGTTATGATGCCTCCTTCTAAACTTTATTTATTTTCTTTGTCTAAATATTTCACTGTCTCTTCCTTTTATTTCAGGATTCCCCATCATTATTCCTTTTTTTTTTCCCCATAAAGGCCATCTCAGCTTCAGACTCACCATTATTCCTGTCCATCATCTGTATATGCTGCATCTTATTGACTACTCAGAATTGAACATAATATCCTTTTAAAAAAATAAATTGTGATGTTTTTAGCAGCAAACAACAGAAAATCCCTACTTATCTGGCTGAAACAATAAGGAATTTACTTTTTTTTTGTTTCTGACGTACATTTTCTTCATATGTGATTATTTCTGAAATTGAGACACGTGGTCCATTTAAATGCATGGTGTGTCAGTTTGTTTGACAACATTTTTTCCTCACGATGATTAACAAAATAATGATGCATCTTAACCACTGATGAGTCTTACATTTGATGAAATGTGATAATATCTCACATATCAGCAGCTCCTATAGGTAGTGCAGATTCCTGGTTGGTTATTTTATCGGCTTGATTCCATCAAGGACCCAGCGTGGTGGATCTGCTTTTGGCTTGCCCTTGGGGTCATGAGATAGCTGCAGCGGGTCTAAGCATCATATCTCTAATCAACAACATTCTAAAGGCCAGAAGAGATAAGGTACCTTCTTTGTGTTCATTTTTAAGAGTAAGCAAAATTTCTAGAAGTTGCCCCTCCTTGGCTAGAATTGTTGTATACCCCATTTCTAAACTTAGAGATACGCAGTTGCCATTATTAGTTCAGTGGTTCTTGGTCAGTAGTTTTCAGACTGGTCTGCATCAGAATGACTTGGAGGACTTATCAAAACACAGATTGCCAGGCCCCACCTGAAGAGTTTCTGCTCTAGTTTGGATTGGGGACTGACAATTTGTGTTTTTCACAAGTTCCTGATTGAAGCTGATGCTGCTGATGTAGGGAATGGGGATGGGTCCAGCCTGCCTGAAAGCACATGGCAAGCTGATGGCCATACAGAAGCAGCGTCTGTTAGCAGAAAGTGAGGCGGGGCAGCTGTGAGGACAGCAGCTGTTCTTTTCTCTCGCGATCTAGGTCAGTATTTGCCATAGCTGTCGTAACAGACTGCATTGTGGTCATTACTTGGGGGTTGTATAGACTATGTTATTAGTAAAGTAAGTTTTGAGAATGACTTACTTAAATTATATGCAGCAGTGGATCAAGTAAGTTGAAGATAATGTTTGTTATTCTCTGATGACATGCTTTCTAGAGGGTGAAGGACAAGGGTCATTGAGACCCCAAAGAATTGGGTACCCCTCTGGGAATATATGGTGGATGTTAGTAACAGCTGATGTGTATTAACTCATTGAAACGGCCAACTAAATTCATGAGCTAGTACTGTTAATGTCCACCTGTCTCAAGGAGGAAACTGTGGCTTAAAGAAGGTAAGTAATTTGCCTAATGTCATACAGCTTGTAAATGGTAGAACCAGGTTTCAGAACCATGCAGTTTGGCCTCACAAGCCACACTTTTAATCACGTGTCCTACTGAGTGCCGGCAAGCGGGTCCTCAGTTGCAGGAAGGGTAAGACTGAGAGGTTCATTTTATGTTCTTGGCTTGTATGCAGTATGGTGGGATTAGTGTTCTGGTAATTATTCCCTTTCTCCTAGGCTTATCTCTGCCTATATTTTTGCATTTGATGTACTTGAACCTAAGCGTAGAACTTAAAAAATTGTGTTAGCTGTGTCTGTCCGTTTCGTCATCTTTGCATTTAGAAGCCTGCCATTCCTGTCTGTGCACATGCTGGAGGGATATACGATTGTATAAATAGAATTGAGCACAGAGACCTGTGTTTAAACGTTTTGTTTTGTTTTTTTGCTATTGATGGAGGTGGATTCTTTTCATAAGAGGGATTGTGTTGGTCAGGGTCTCAATGGCGACTAATGAAGTAAACACAAAGGTTTTTAGTTGCTCCATAATTGTTGGGAAAGCTAAAGAAACTCAAGGCGAAGTTTCTAGGCACAGCTCCTGAAGCAGAGTGAAAATCCGGTTGTCTGATTTCTTGCCAGGCCCTGCCTAGCACTTTCAGCTGTAGCCATCCTGAACAACTGGTCATGTTCTCTTGCTTGTAGTCTTTGTGGATGCTGTTTTCTTTCTCTGGTACACTCAGTCTTCCTCTTTTCTTGGCGAGTGCTTCTCATCCTTCAGGCCCTATTCTAAGTGTTACTTTTAAATTTTTCCTGGTCCTTCCATAATAATCTCGCTCAGACCGTTAGATGCTTCTGCTCTCTGCTTCCATTGCACACTGTATTTCCCCTGTCATTATGGCTGACGATTGATTATTGCCTTTCCCCACTCCTCACTGAGTCCCGGTGCCTGGCACAACACCATGCTTGAATGTAGCAAGTTGGGTGGTTCAGAATTGAAAAGTCACTGATTACACGTTTGAAGCTTCATCATCAAGAAATAGATACCAATCACCAACTTTTAAGTTGTAATTTATAATTTTCATAATTGCAATTGACTCAACAGATTTTTGCTTTGGTTTGAGTGTAACACCCTTTATAACATATCTAATGCCGCTTGATGGAGATTGGATAACTGGCCTGTTTGCTAATAATTCTTTGAAGTTTGGAAACTGGGAATCTCAGAGATTTGTAACTAGATAAAAGAGACTCTAAGAAATAAACATTTTGGCCAGGCATGGTGGCTCACGCCTGTAATCCCAGCACTTTCGGAGGCCAAGATGGAAGGATTGCTTGAGACCGGGAGATTGAGCCCAGCAACATGGTGAGACCTTCATCTCTACCAGAAAAACCCCAAAGAATTAGCTATGTATGGTGGCATGCACCTATAGCCCTAGCTAATAGAGAGTCTGAGGTGGGAGCATCCCTTGGGTCCAGGAATTCGAGGCTGCAGTGAGCTATGATCACGCCACTGCACACCAGCCTGGGCAACAGAGAGAGACTGCATCTCTAAAAATCATACATACATACATACATACATACATACATACATACATACCTTTTATTTTAAAATAATTTTAGGTTTTTTATGTTTACAGAAAAGCTTAAAGATAGCACAGAGTATCCATATACACCTCATCAGCTTCCCCCACTGTTAAAATTGTTTGTGACCATGGTACATTTGTCCAAACTAGGAAACCATCATTGGTATGTTAGTATTATACCCCAGGCTTTATTTGGATTTCTGCAGTTTTTCCATTTGTGTCTTCCTTCAGTTCCAAGGTTCAGCCTAGTGGACCATCTTGCGTTTTGTTGTCATGTCTCTGTCTCCTCTGCGCTGCAACAGTTTCTTGGTCTTTCCTTGCTTTTCATCACCCTGACAGTTTGGAGGCTTGCTGGTCAGGCATTTTGTAGGATGTTTGTCAATTTGGGTTAGTATGACATTTTTCTTATTAGGCTGGGCTATGGATTTTTGGAAACAATACCCCAGAGGTGAAGTGCCCTCTCATGACCTCAAATTAGAGCATGTGTGATAGTCACATGACATCATGGCTGAGGTTCATCTCCGTCACTTGGTTAAAATCCTGTTTGCCAGGTTTCCTACTGTAAAGTTACTCTCTTTGCCTTTTCCCCCATCTTCCTTGGAAGCAAGTTCCTAAGTGTAGCCTACCCTGAAGGACTCTGTGTGTGTGTGTATGTGTGTGTGTGTGCATCTGTGTCTGTGGTGGGTGGGGTGTTAGGCATCACCTCCTGGACTGGGGAGTATTTACCTACGTCATTTAGAATTCTTCTGTAAGCAAGATTTTGTCTTTCCCCTTCCCACCCCAAAATAGATATTTTGATTTACCACTGTGCAGTCACTTTGTAGTATTTTGATGACAATTGAATAGATAATGGGTGTCTACTATATGTTAGATACTGTGCTAATTTTGGGGGCAATAATTTTTAACTTCTTTGGGGTCACATGCCTCTTTGACAAACTGATATTTGCTGTAGACTTTTTCTCCAAAAACATTAAGATACACAAAATACTGCCTGCAATTTTAGGTGTTTCACAGATCTTTGAAACTCTTATGATTTCAGTTAATGTAATGTCTGCCCTCCAGGAATTCAGCCCAGCTGAAGAGGCAGGCAGGTGGGGAGATAGAATAGGATGTGTTGCATGCTCTCAGACATAGTTTTACATTGGATGAGATGGTAGGGAAAGCTGCAGAGGGGAGATGTTATTTGAATTTCGCCTTGATGAGTGAGGAAGAGTTAAATCAACAAAAGTTGGAAAAGCATTCAGAACAGAGGGAGAAAAACCGACAAAGGCCTATGCAAAGAAGCATGATGCACTTCAGAATTGGTGCAGATTCTGACCTTGCCACAGTAAAAGGTGAAGAGGGAAGGGACTGGATGTAAAATTAGAGAGGCAGGAGAAGGCATAGAGTGGAAAGAGAATTGGATAAAGTCAAAATCTTTACAAGACCTTGTTTTGTTGCAAGTCAGGAGAGACTTGAATGTGTTTAAATAAAAGGAAAGCACTAGTAGAGAAGGAAAGCAGGTAATTGAAATAGCTCCTGCAAAGGTGGAAGGGTTGAGTTCACACAGAATAGGCGCCTCCTTCATTGCATCAGGAGAGAAGGAGGACATGATCTAAATTTGCACTAAATTGCTTGTGTGGATTGTATTTAGAATGATCAGCTTTATCCTGAAAATGCAAGAGAGCCATTGATGACAGAAGATCATGTTTGCATTTCGAGTAAGATCACTTTGACTGCAGTGGAATGGAGTGGGACAAAGTGGAAAAATAGACGGGTGGGAGGTTTGAGTAAGGTAGGGAGGCCATTGAGACTTCTGTAGTGCCAGTGTCTCTGCAAGTGATGAGGATGGTGCTTTGTAAGGACCTGTTACACTCTGTGTGCTGAGATACTGCTGAAATTGTCCAGAGAAAACTGTGTCTGTATATAAAACAAACAGCTGTTGCCTCTTGAAGGAAGAGTAAAGCTATATTTGTGTGCATATAGTTCTTGAATCCCATGTGAGGATCTTGAATTCCATTAAGGCTCCTTATCCTGAAGATAATGCACAACTGTTGTGAAGTCTTTATTAATTTTTTTCTCTTGAGAGGGGTCCCTTGTTCACTTTATAAAATGAGATTTTAAAATATTCACATTATAAAGTCTTTGGTCATACTGGTTTAAAAACAAATTTTTCCCTTCAGTTTTAAACATATCAGACTACCAGTATGGAATACTCGACCCGTAATTAACTAATAAGGCAAGGAATCCAATCTGCCCAAATGTTAAATAGTGCCATTTAAAATTTGGAAGCCTGAAGCAAGACAGTAAGGCTTTGGTAACAGTGGCCAAGCCAAGTGGAATCTTTCTGAGTGATAAAATGAGCTTGTAAAATGAGCACAGTTGTGGGAGTATGCAGTATCAAGACTGGTGAAGCAGGTGCCAGTGGTTGGGGGCCTCAGGATGAAACCATGGTTCTGGCCAAAATATTGCTGTTTGTTTTAATCTCTAACGCAGCTCGGATAATATGAAGCTGTGCTGCTTGAAAACATTTTATATTTCTTGATTTGTCTTTCCCTTCCAGGAGTAGTAGACATGTTGTCAGCAGATTTATAAGAATATGATAGAATTTTAGAATTAAAATTTGAGTCCCTTAAGAATTGTAGACTACTGGGAAGATTTGAAGAGGGTAGAGGCAGTCAATGGAAAGAAAAGAGGACAGAAGACAAGGTACTTTTGTTTTCTCTTAAAAGAGTTGAAGGGTAGACCCTGTTTATAGGCAGAGAAGGAACCAACAGAAAAGGAGGATTACATGTATTCTAGAAACTCTTACTTAATTTTCAAGAAAACTGTAAAAAATACACTGACTGATACCTTTCCAGCATTAGCCAAACTGTGAGTTGTGAGGTGTGATTTCCAAGACTACTCTCACTTCTCACACCAACTGCAAGTTTGGGGTGTTTCCAAAACCACCTTCAGGTCTGACAATTTGCTGGAAGGACTCATAGAACTCACTGAAAGCTGTTACACTTATTGTTATGGTTTATTAAAGGGAAAAGATACAGATCAAAGGAAGCCAAAGGAAGCCATGGGGCAGAGTCTGGGAAGGTTCTAATGTGAATCTTCCGTTCTCCTCTTCCATGGAGGCTGGGCATTGTTACCCTCCTGGTACTGATGTGTGACCGTACGCACGGAATGTTGCCAACCAAGGAATCTCTTCTGATTTTTGGTGTCTAGAGTTTTTATTAGAGCTTCCTGAGATAGCATGTTTGATTGATTGATTGCCCACAAAGTTGAACTCCGTCACCATGTCTACTGGTATCGTGTGAGCCAGAGCTCCCACCCTAAATCACATGATTGGTCCTTCTCATATGGCCAACCCTACCCTAAGATCCAGTGTGGCCAACCCCCACCCTAAACAAGGACACTTCTATTAGTTATGACACAGATTACCTCCCACTAGCCGAGGGCAAAGGCCAGATGTCTCTTCTCGGCAAGGCCAGCTTCTTTCCTACCCACCTAGGCTTTTAAAAGGATTGCAGTGAGTTTTATGTTGGGAATGGTCTTGAAGGGCAGGGGTGGAAACGGAGAGACCAATTAGGAAGAATACTTGCAGTAGTCCAGAGGGAATATTCGTTTCACCCCTGGTAATGGTGGTAGGGATGATAAGTGGTTGGAGTCTGGAAATATTTGGGAGGAAAGGAGCATGAGGATCTGTTGATGGGTTGGATGCAAATATGCAAGAAAGAGAGAGGAAGGAGTCCAAGATACCTCTTAAGGCTTTTGGCTTGAGCAGATCAAAGAATGGAGATCTCATTACTGAGATATTCAAAAGTCAGTTGTCCATCCTAAGAATTAGAGGATTACTGCTGCTACCACCAATTAAGAGGAAATCACAGAAACCAGCCCAATACTGGTTGGTATATTGCAACTCATTTAAAGAAAATTATTCCTTGTATTTCAGATATTTGAAAAAAGAAATCTGTTATGGCTTATAATCCCCATGTCAGGAGTTCAAATGAGCAAAAGACCGGTTTATATGATGTTATTACTTTTATATTGACTTTATCAAAGTTTATAAACTGTATTGAGATATTTTTAATTATTTCCAAAAAGCAGTAGTAGTAGAGTTTTTGGGGCTAAAGTTATCCAACCTATTGATACTGCTCACATTTTCAGAAATGCTTGTTCTGTATGTTATACATGCTACATGCACGAGTAATTCCATATTTCCTCACTTCTAACAGAGTCCTTAGTTCCTTCATGCTCTCTCTTGACCCAGTAAATTGGTTTATTTGGGTCAATTGGGAGTAGTTATCTGAAGGAACCATTAAGATTGAGTTCAGTTCTTCACGTAGCTTTTCTTCTGCTTTGGTGGTGGTTATTTTTATATAGGCTCAGTTTCTTCATTGGATTAAACTGTGAATGTTGGCACCTATAATAATAATTCACTGGGTAATGTGGAATAATCTAATTGTATTCTAATTGTAATTCAAAAATTAATAATTCCTTCAAATAGCAAGATTTTGTTAGTATTACTCTGTGATCATAGTCAGAAACAAACCAAACCGTGGCATTCTGTGAGCTAGTGCAGATCTGTGGGCTACAGCTTGGGCCATTTTAAAGCCCCAGTAATCCAGTAATATTTTTGCTGAACTATGGAAAGTAAAACCAGTATGCTTAGGACTGCATAGGAAACTTCTCATCATTCAGAATTTTGATTGGATAATTATATTTGTTTATATCAGTGGCTGAAAGGAATGACCAGAAAAGAAACACTCTGTCCACAAGCTAGTTGAGGATCAACATGTCATTTCTTGGCATGGCGCTTTAGTTCTCTGGGTTACTTAGTTCTGTTCACTTGTTATACAAAAGCAAACAGATGAGTGAAATAAAGCAAACTGGGTGTTATTGATATTAGAATGAGAATCTTTGTTCAAAATTTGTATTTATTAGGACAAACGTTCAGGGAAAGTTCTTCAGGGGCAAGACATCTCATCCTGATAGGAACAGATTATGCTTATGTGGTGAGGTGATTTAATTTTCCTTTCTCCCTTCTTCTTTCCTTCCTTCAGACTCTTCCTCCATCTTACCCATGATTTATTATGTATCTAGATTTTTAAAAATCCCACTCAGTATATTCGCTTAGCTTTAAAAATGCGTTCAACCTTGACTGGCGTAGATAAGGCCAGCAACATGCCCAGATGTTTTCTGGAATCAGAGGGCTGAGGGTCTTCTGAATGTTTCAGGAAGGGCAACTGTAGAGAAGCAAAGAGCCCTTAAATACTTCAGAGAAGTTTGGGTAATACACTTCCCCACAGCCTGTATCTCACAGCTGATAGCACTAATGTCCTTAGCATTCAGGCCCTAAGATTCCCAAGAGTGTCACTTTTTACTGCTGGGAAAATTTTCTTAAGATTCTTATTTGAATTCTATATACTTTAGCAAAATCCTGTGTACCTTAATGTAAATTGAGAAAAAAGGGACCGCTTTGTTTTGATAGTAATTTGTTAATAAGTTTGGTGATTACTATTGTTTGCCTTTTTCTTGTGATCTTCTTGACTCTAAGTAGTATTCAGTCTTCAGTTTAATATCCTTTTGAACGGGACTTGTTTTTTTCCTTCCCAACAAGTACTAAGAATGATCCCATTTGCTTTTACATAGCCAAAATTGTAGTATGAGTACAGGTTTATTAATTGTTCTTCCCCTTGCTGATGGGAGCTACTGGGAACACGTAAAAGCTGATTTGTAATAGCATTTTAAAAGGCGGAGCGGGGGGATGTAAGGCAGAAGGGAACGTGGATGGATATATTGAACAAGCTTGAGAAAATTAAAAAAAAAAAAAACTTGTTCAAAGACTGACAAATGGATCGTGGGTCTGGATTTTCTGAACTGAGACTCTGGGTTCATCTGCTCTGAATCCACCAGGCTTCCAGACTGCGCCGTTGCTTCTGCTATCAGTGCTGCGTGGTTTAGCATGAGCTTTTAGGGAAATGTCACATCTTGTTCACATGGGTAGAATTATATTACATCTGTTCTTACTGAGCATGAACCAAGATTAAAATCTTGCCATTCTCAACAGAACAAATAATAGAAAATTACAGCAAATGATGTGCATGTTCTTTGCTCTTAATCAATTTTCTGCAGTCCTACAAAACTTTTCCAAAGTAAATGTAAATATTTTCTTTATACACACCTAGCAAATGCACAGTGTATGATTATATTTTTATTAGTATACATGAACTTGGGTTAAAGTTCAATAAATACGGTTTAAAATTGGGAAGGAAAAATTAAATAATTTCAAGGTTGCATACTTTCACTAGTAGAAATTCTCTACTTTTGGGACAAAAATTATTATTTTCCAAATATCCAATGAGTATGTCACTTGCGGGGGAGAAAGAGGAACTGGAAGAATATCCTGAAGAGGTTAGGGAATGTGGTAAAAGGGGCACATTTTAAGGGCTACTCACAAAAGAGTCTTATATGAAGCATATTAGTTTGGGTTTATTTTTTCTTGGGAGGAATTCTAACATAATTTTAAGTTAAGGAAAGATAGCACAAAATAGCATTCAGTGAATAAAGTGAACAACACACATCTTTATTATGGTTTGAGGAGATAGAAGAAAAGAGGAGAAAAAAATAACTGATTTCAAGGTTGGAAGGAATTTTTTTTTTTTTTTTTTTTTTTTGAGATGGAGTCTTGCTCTGTCACCCAGGCTGGAGTGCAGTGGCCTGATCTTGGTTCACTGTGACTTCTGCCTCCCGGCCTCAAGCGACTCTTCTACCTCAGCCTCCTGAGTAGCTGGGATTATAGGCGCCCGCCACCACACCCAGCTAATTTTTGTATTTTTAGTAGAGACGGGGTTTCACCATGTTGGCCAGGCTGCTCTCAAACTACTGACCTCAGGTGATCCACCCGCCTTGGCCTCCCGAAGTGCTGGGATTATAAGTATGAGCCACCACGCCCAGCCTGGAAGGAATTTTAAGAGATCATTCTGTCCAGCTCCTCTTTTCCAGATAGTTAGATATTCCAGTTTAAAAAATGGGATGGAATCAGAGAAGTTTCCAGAACCCCGGGGGGAAGGGGACTTTACGTAATCAAATTTACTTTCACCTTGTTTTCTACAAATGGCTTATGCATAAAGCATAAAACAACAGTGGGTTTTAAAAATTGATACATGATATTTTACATATTCATGGGGTACATGTGGTGTTTTGTTACATGGATAGAATGTATAATGATCTAGTTGGGTTATTTGGGGTATCCATGACATTGAGTACTTATCATTTCTGTGTTTGGTGAACATTTTGAGTTGTCTTGTAGCTACTTTGAAATACACAAAACATTGTTGTTAACTATAGTCCCTCCACTCTGCTATCAGACATTGGAACTTACACCTTCTAACCGTGTGTTTGTATCCATTAGCCATCCTGTCTTCATCCATTGACCAGCCCTCTCCCCCACCCAACTCTTCCCAGCCTCTGGTATCTCTCATTCTACTCTCTACCTCCATGAGATCAATTTTTTAGCTCCCACATGTGAGTACATGCAATATTTGTCTTTCTTTGCCTGGCTTATTTCACTTAATAACCTTCAGTTTCATCCATGACGCTGCAAACGGCGTGATTTTATTCTTTTCTGTGGCTGAATAGTATTTCATCATGTATATATACCACACTTTCTTTTTCCATTTGTCTGTTGGCAGACACTTAGGGTGAGTCCACATCTTTGCTATCGTGAATAGTCTGTGAGATTTCTTTTTGATGTGCCGATTTCTTTTCCTTTGGACAAATGCCCAGTAATGGGATTGCTGGATCATATATAGTGGTTCTGTTTTTGGTTTTGTGAGAAATCTTCATACTGTTTTCTGTAGTGGCTGTACTAATTGACATTCTCAGCAACAGTAACAGTGGGTCTTTTTTTTTTTAACGTGAAGCATAGGCATTCTTGAAATATTTTCATCTCATTAGCTTTTAATATTTTTTTCATATTACAAAAGTATGATGCAGTATGATTTTAAATATGGAACCATTCTGAACATGAGATGTAGACAACATGTAAAGTATCAAATCTGATGTTTTGAATTAGAGTCAGGTGCATAATGACATTTTGGTGTACAGCAGACCACATATACGACGGTGGTTGCATAAAATTATAATACTGTATTTTTACTGTACTTTTTTTCTATGTGTAGTTAAACAAATACTTACCATTTTGTTATAGTTGCCTACAGCATTCACTATGGTAGCCTGCCATGCAGGTTTGTAGCCTAGGAGCAATAGGCTGTATATAGAGTCGAGGTGTGTCGTAGGCAATGCCATCTAGGCGTGTGTAAGTGCACTGTAATAATGCATTTCTCGGAATGTTTTCCCATCTTAAGTGACACATGACTGTACCTCCCACGGGCTCCTGATTCCATCACATTAGGGGTTAGGCTTTCAACATCTGAATTTTGGGGGCACACAAACATTCAGGTCCTGAGACCCCCACAGTTTCCTTATGTGCCTTTGTAATCCCCTCCCTGTCATCCCTCATTTCCAGGCAACCACTGATATTTCTTTCATCATACATTAGTTTGCCATTTCTGGAATCTTACGTTGATGGAATTACACACTGTCTTCTTTTCTGTTTCGCTTACTCAGCATAATTATTTTCAGATTCATTCATGTTGTTGTGTGGTATTAATAGTTCTTTCCTTTTTATTGGTCAGAAGTATTGCATCATATGGAAACACCAGTTTGTCCATTCATCTGCTAATGGATACTTGTGTTGTCTGCAGTTTAGGGCTATTACAAATAAACATGATGTGAACATTTGTGTACAAGTCTTTGTGTGGACATGTTTTTATTTCTCCTCGATAAATACCTAGGAGTGGAATAGCTGGATCATATGATAGGTATATGTTTAAGGTTTTAAAAAACTGCGAAACTGTTTTCCAGAGTAGTTGAACCATTTTATATTCACATCAGCAGTCTGAGAATTGCAGTTGCTTCATATCCTTTCTGTGTTTGTTTGCTAGCACAGCCATAACAAACAACCACAAACTGGGGCGCTTAAACAACAGCAATGTATTTCTTCAGAGTTCTGGAGTCTCGAAGTCCAAGATCAAGGTGCCAGGAGCATTGGTTTCCTCTGAGGCCCCTCTTCTTGGCTTGCAGACGGCTGCCCTCCACCTGCCTTGTTACATGGGCTTTGCTCTGAGCATGCACATCCCGTGTCACTTTCTGTGTCCAAATTTCCTATTATTATAAGGACACTAGTCAGATCAGATTAGGGTCCACCATGATAGCCTCATTTTAGTTTTTTTTTGTTTGTTTGTCTGTTTGTTTTTGAGACAGGGTCTTGCTCTGTCGCCCAGGCTGGAGTACAGTGGTATGATCTTGGCTCTCTGCAGCCTCAGCCTCCTGAGTTCAAGGGATTCTCCTGCCTCAGCTTCCCAAGTAGCTGGGACTACAGGTGCATGCCACCACGCCCAGCTAATTTTTGTATTTTTAGTAGAGATAGGGTTTCACCATGTTGGTCAGGCTGACCTCCAACTCCTGACCTCAAGTGATCCTCCTGCCTTGGCCTCCCAAAGTGCTGGGATTACAGGTGTAAGCCACTGCACCCGGCCCTCATTTTAGCTTAATTACCTCTTTAAAGACCTCCTCTCCAAATACAGCCACATTCTGAGATACTGGGAATTAGGCCTTCCTATGAATTTTAGGAGGGGTCAGTTCAGCCTGTAATACTTGCCAGCACTTGGTAAGATCAACTGTTGTGATTCCAGCCTTTCTATTAGGTGTGTAATGGCATCTCCTTAATTTGCTTCTCCCTAATGGCTTGTGATGTTGAGCATATTTTCATATGCTTATTTGCCATCCATATAGCTTTTTTTTTTTTTTTTGAGACAGAGTCTCGCTCTGTCACAAGGCTGGAGTGCAGTGGCACGATCTTGGCTCACTGCAACCTCCGCCTCCCAGGTTCAAGTGATTCTCCTGTCTCAGCCTCCTGAGTAGCTGGGACTATAGGCACGTGCCACCACACCCAGCTAATTTTTGTATTTTTAGTAGAGATGGGGTTTCACCATGTTGGCCAGGATTGTCTCGATCTCTTGATCTGCCTGCCTCAGCCTCCCAAAGTGCTGGGATTACAGGCGTGAGCCACCGCGCCTGGCCGCCATCCATATATCTTCTTTAGTGAAGTGTCCGTTGAGATTTCATGCACATGTTTTGAGTTGTTTGGCTTCTTATTATTGATTTTTGAGGAATCTTTATTCTAGGTACAAGTTCTTTTTTAAATGATTGACACATAAAAAGCTGTACCTATTTAATTTATACAACTTGATAAGTTTGGGGATAAGTTCATGCCCTTGGAACCATTAACACCATCAAGAGCATAAACATATCCATTACCACCCCAAGTTTCCTTTCACCCCCTTTATTTATTTATTATTATTATTATTATTAATTTTGTGGTAAGAACACCTAACATGAGATCTACCTTCTTAGCAAATTTTAAGTATACCACACAGTATTGTTAGCTTCAGGCTGTATTTTTTCCCTTTGACCATCACCTCCCCATTTTCCTCTTCCCCAGCTTGTGGCAACTACCATTCTACTCTGTTTCTGTGAGTCTGACTATTTTAGATTCCACATATAAGTGAGATTATGTGGTATTTGTTTTTCTGTGTCTGGCTTGTTTCATTTAACATAATGCCCTCCAGGTCTGTGTATGTAGTCACAAATGGCAGGATTTCCTTCCTTTTTAAGAACAAATGTTTTTTCATTGTGTGTGTTTACCACACTTTCTTTATTTGTTCATCTGACAATGGACATTGAGATTATTTCCATATCATTCTCATAATAATATCTTGTAATGAGTGGGAGTTTTTCATTTTGATGAAGCCCATTTTGTTAGTGTTTTTTTTTTTTTTTTGACAGGGTCTCACTCTACACAGGCAGGAGTGCAGTGGCATGATATTGACTCACTGCAGCCTCTCTCTCCTAGGCTCAGGTGATCCCCCCAACTCAGCTTTCCACATAGCTGGGAATACAGGCACATGCCACCATGCTCATCTAATTTTTAAAAATCTTTCTGTAGAGATGGCGTTTCGCCGTGTTGCCCAAGCTGGTATTGAACTCCTGGCCTCATGCAGACCGACTGCCCCAGTCTCCCAAAGTGTTGGGATTACAGGCATGAGCCACCACACTTAGCCAGTTTTTTCTTTAACAGGTTGTGCTTTTTGGTATCATATTTTAGAAATCTTTGTCAAGCCCAAGGGCACAAAGATTTTCTCCTATAATTTTCTTCTACCTGTTTTATAAAGTTTAATATCTAGTTCTGTGATCCATTTTACATTACTTTTTGTATATGGTATGAAGTGTGGATCAGAGTGCTGGTTTTGCTTTATTGTGTTTTCTAAACAATATGAATATTCAGTTGTTCTATTACTATTTGTTGAAAGGCTATTCTTTCTTTACTGAATTGCCCTTGCCCCTTTATCAAAAGTCAATTGACCATAAATATGTATTTCCGAGCTTGATTCTGTTCCATTGTCCTTTTTGTGTATCTCGATGCCCACACCACACTGTCTTTATTACTAGGTTTTTCATTATAAAGTCTTGAAGTCATGTAAGTCCTCAAACGTTATTCTTCCTTTCCAAAATCATTTTGACTATTGTGGGTCGTTTGCATTTTTATCTGAATTTGGAATCAGTTTGTTAATTTCTACAAAAACAGTGTGCTAGGATTTTGATCGTGTTGAGTTAGCAGATCAGTTTTGGAAGAATTGAAATCATGACAATATTAAACCTTCTGACCCATGAATATGGCGTATCTCTCCATTTATTTAGATCTTTAATTTCTCTTAGCAATTATGTTGTAGTTCTCAGTGTAAAGTTCCTGTGCACCTTTTGTCAGATTTCTCTCTGTTTCATTGTTGATGCTATTAATGTCATTGTCCTATTAATTTCTATTTTTGTTAGTTTATTTTTATAGAAATACAGTTGATGTTTTTATCTTTGCATATCCTGCAATCTTGCTAAGTCTTAGTTGCAGAAACTTTTTTTTGGTAGCGGCTATGGGAATTTCTGTGTAGATGATCATGTCATCTACAAATAAGTTTTATAACAATGTACTTTGATGTGGATGTCTTCATCTTTTGTTCTGGTTCTTGGCCTTTTCAGCAAAGAAAATTATTATCTTTAGTTGTGGGAGACTTAGAGACGTTTCTGGTGCAGACTGAGTCCTCCTTATCTGAAACATTTGGAACCAGAAGTGTTTTTGGATTTTGCATTTTTTGGATTTTGGGAGTATTTGCATCATGCTTACCAGTTGAGCATGATGTAGATATCTGAAAATCTAATCCAAAAATCTGAAATCCAAAATGCTCCAGTGAGCATTTCCTTTGAGTATCATGTCGTTGCTCAAAATGTTTTGGATTTTGGAGCATTTTAGGTTTTGCATTTTCAGATTAGAGATACTCAGGTAGTTTGTTTCCTTCCTCCCTCCCTCCCTTCTTTCTCTCCCTTTCTCCCTTCTTTCCCTTCCTCCCTCCCTTCTCCCTTTCTCCATCCCTCCCTTCTCTCCCTTCCTTCCTCCCTTCTCTCCCTTCTTTCCTCGCTTCTCTCCCTTTCCTTCTTTCCCTTCCCCTTCCCCTTCTCCTTCCCCTTCCCCTTCTCTCCTTTCCCCTCCCTACCCCTCCCTTCCCTTCCCTTCCTCCAAACTGAGCTGTCTTTGTTTAGGATGTGAACAAGGCAGGGCTCTGGAGATGAGGACTTTAATTATCTTACGGAGTCAAAATGGAAGGTAGTGTTTGAATGTTTCAGGCACGGCTTTGAGGAAAGAAGGAAGGAGCTTGGCGGCTTGCTACTTTGCCCTCACCCTATACTTGGGTCTATACCTGGAAAGCAGATATCGAGGTATCTGCCTGAGTGAGGGAGGACAGTTACCCACAGGTAACTGCTGCAGGAAAGCGTCTGGGACTCAAACTGCTCGTTAGTCAAAATCATTACCAGCCGAGCTCTTAGCGCCATCCTGTGCCTGCGCCCTGGTCTCCAGATTACGTGGTCCTTTCATTTCCTGAACTTCCTAGGGTTCTGAGTTTTGAGTCTACTTCCTGCTTCTCGACTTTGCTCCAGCAGACCCCTCTGTCTCCTTTCCACTTTCTCAAATGTGACCATCTCTCATCTAGTATCATCACTTCTCACTTCTGTCTTTCCTTCTGGGGTTATACCCGCTTCTTCCTTTATTTCATGAGAGTTTCAGGAGGGAGCCGAGAAGACCTGTGAAGCCTACTTTAGATACACACACACACACACACACACACACACACACTTTTTATTTAAAACAAAACTACATCAAATAAATATATACAGCGTTTATGGACTGAATTGTGCATCCCTCAAGCCCCCTCAGCAAATTCATATGTGAAGCCCTGACCCCCAGTATGACTATGTTTGGACCTTGAAAGAGGTAACTAGGGTTAAACGAGGTCATTGACGGGGGGTCTTAATCCAGTCTGGCTGGCAACTTCTTAAAAGAAGAGGGAGAGACCCCAGGGACACACATGCACAGAGGAAAGGCCCTGTGAGGACAAAGGGAGAAGGTGGCTGTTTGTGAGCCAAGGAAAGAGACTTCAGGAGAAAACAACCCATTTGAGACCTAGATCTTGCACTTCCAGCCTCCAGAACTGTGGGAAAATCAATTTCTGTTGTTGAAGTCACCCAGTCTGCAGTATTTTGTTATGGTAGCCCTCAGAGTCGAATGAAGTAGCTTAGCGGATTATTGTAAAGTGAATCCCCTTTAGCCACCATCCAGGACCACAGCAGGAAATTAGAAACTCCCGTATGTGTCCCATCCTAATCACAATCCCTTCCCTTCCTCCAAAGTAACCACTCTTCTGATTTTCCTAGTAGTTGCTTCTTTACATTTCTTTATAGTTCCTTCACCCCATCATACATTTCTAGACACTAAATAATTTGGTTTTGGTAATGTTTTTAGACTGTGTCTTTTAAGTCTCCTAATCTGTAGGTATCACTCCAGCTATTTAATGTTGTTTCTCAGTCTGCGCTCTGCTGGTGTAATTCAACATATTCCTCTGTCCTCTTGTGTTTTCTGCAGATTGGCAGCAGAATGCAGTTACATTGTCGGATTAGGATTTAATCCCTTCAGCACAATTATATGTTGTAGTGTGTTTTTCTTTTTTGTGTGTTTTAAAGAAGGGACTTGGTCTTGCCATGTCACCCAGGCTGGACTTCAGAGGCTATTCACAGGCACAGTACTACTGCTGATCTTCATGAGAGTTTTGAGTAGTGTTTGTTTTTTATCAGAATGTGTATCGTCTGGTTTTCACTCTTTCTTTCTTTGTTTCTTTTTTTTATGTTAGCTATTGATGCTCAGTGCCTAGATTTATTAATTTATTAAGGATTGTAAAATGGTGGTATTTGACTTTGTCATTCTGTTTTCATTTATTAACTGGAATAATTGTATAAGAAGATGCTTCTCCTTATCTATTTGGTTGTTGAGTTTATTTAGGAAAGTCAAGATGAATATTTGATTCTTTCCTTTTATTTACACAGCTTTCAAAATAATGAATTGATTTCCTGTCATCCTTAGAACGTGACCAGTTCATTTCTTTTCTTTTTTAAAAAAATCGTTGTGATCTCAGAGCTTTCAGCATAGTCGACAAGTTACAATTCATTGTCATTCTCATCCTCATTGAAGCTCACATTGTTCCATCATTGATGTATTAGGCTGTTCTTGTGTTGCTATAAAGAAATACCTGAGATGGGGTATTTCTAAAGAAAAGAGGTTTAATTGGCTCATGGTTCTGCAGGCTGTACAAGAAGCATGGCACCAGCTTCTGCTTCTGGTGAGGGCCTCAGGAATCTTCCAGTCATAGTGGAAGGCGAAGGGGGAGAAGGCATCTCACATGGCAAGAGCTGGAGCAAGGAGCAGGGATGCCACACACTTGTAAGCAATCAGATCTCGTGTGAACTCAGAGCAATAACTCACTCATCACCAAGGAGATGGTGTTAAGCCATTCATGAGGGATCTGCTCCCATGATCCAAACACCTCCCACCAGGCCGCACCTCCAACACTGGTTATTACATTTCAACATGAGATTTGGAGGGGTTAAACATCCAAACTGTATCAGTTGGCCAAAGGGAGCCTCCTTAAATTGACTCCTGAGTCCTTTTGATCAGACCTTACAAGCCCTTATAGCTTTCTTGCTGTCTGGTATGTCAAGATGTTTCAGGTTCATTATCTACATATCTTGCCCAGGCCTAGAATCAGCCATTTTCAAAGAAGTCCTAGTTTTATTTAATTGGAAATGATGCTTCAAGACCTGAGTATAGATGCTGGATGCAAATTGTTACTGGGTTTATCATTGCTTCTGTGCCTTCCCAGTAGAGAGGGCTGAAATGTATGTGTGTGTATAAAAATAAAACATCTTGAGTTCATACTGATATTTTTACTTCAAGTTCAGAACAACTTGTCTTGGTGTTTCCTTTTTTCCTTTTTTTTTTTTTTGGAATGTAGTATATAAACAGAAAAAAATGGACAAATCTTATGTGTCCAGCTTGGAGAATTTTCAGAGTGACAATTTGGTGACATCCCTATAACCAGTTACCAGATCAAGAAAGAAAACATCACCAGCACCCTAGACCCCTCCCCAGTCACTCCCCGCTCCCTACTCCACCAAAGATAATTACTGTCCTACCTTCTAGTAGCATAGATTGGTTATGCTCCAGGACCTTTTCCCTCTCAGTTGTCATCCTTTTGAGAGTGTGGCTAGGGTCACCAGTCAAGGGCTATGGAGACAGATAGGCTCCCATCAGGAGCTGCTGTTCCACTCCTGATACTGGGCACACGATCACTCATATTGGGGGAGAGCTGTGGAGCCGTCAGTGACGTAACCAACTGGAGCCTAGTTGCTGAGCCAAGAGCACTGGTCTGGGAGTCCTCAGAGCTGGGGTCCACGTCAAGAGTATGCGTCTGACTTGTTTCTCTTTGCAAGCCACCTATCCTCTAAGGACCGCAGGTCATTTGCATCATCTCTTATGTATTACAGCTCTATTTTCTTTTTTCTACACTGAGAATCCTGGCTTTCAGCTTCACATGGTGCCTTAGTTAAGGCTGCTTGTGAGGCCATGAATCCCATCATGGGGGGTCTACCCTCATGACCTCATCTAAACCTAATTAGTTCCCAAGGATCCTGCCTCCCAGTGCTATGGTGTTGGGGATTAGTGTTTCAACATAGGAATTTTGGAGGGACATATTCAGTGCATAACACGTGATGATAGACTATTATAGAATTACTTATTTGCTTTGTCCCACAATACACATAGGAAGTCTCTGAATAACAGTACTAGTACTACCAGCTTCCGTTATGACTACTGAATACAGTTAAAGTCTTTTGCATCTGTTCTCCCCCTTCTCCTGTGTGTTTAATTGTTGTACCATGTCGACTTAGCGTGTAACCATTACGTGTTGTAATCTCTGCCTCTTAACTCTCATTTTAACTTGATTCTGCAAGTAACTGTGTAATCAGTTTATACTCACAGCAGTCTTTCATATATGTCTTTGGAGTGATGTTGATTTTCTGAAGCTTATTCTCTAGGAGGTTTCTCAGGAAGGTTTTTTTTTTTTTTTTTTTGAGACAGAGTCTCGCTCTGTCGCCCAGGCTGGAGTCCAGTAGTGCGATCTCGGCTCACTACAAGCTCTTCCTCCTGGGTTCACGCCATTCTCCTGCCTCAGCCTCCCGAGTAGCTGGGACTACAGGCGCCCACCACCATGCCTGGCTAATTGTTTTGTATTTTTAGTAGAGACCGGGTTTCACCGTGTTAGCCAGGATGGTCTTGATCTCCTGACCTCGTGACCCACCCACCTCAGCCTCCCAAAGTGCTGGGATTACAGGTGTGAGCCACCATGCCAGGCCAGGAAGGGTTCTTAAGAACAACATATCTTGAATCCTTGTCTAGTGATAACTGTCCCCTTGATACTTGAAGGTCACTTTACTTAGAGATAAAATTATTGGCTTGTATTTTCTTTCCTTAAGTATCTTAACTCTCTTTCTCTGTTTCCTTCTGGCATAAACTGTTGCTGGAAATGTGCAGTGATATTTCCCTCTGTAAGTCATGTGGTCTTTTTGCCTCGATACCCAAAGGACTTTTTCTTAATCTGGTGTTAGCCATTTGTGGTTGATAGGCTTAGATAGGTGGTATGTTCTCTCAGTGTATAGCTTCAGATCGTTTTTCATTCGGAAAACGTTTCTTGGATTGTAGTCTTCAGTATTTGTCCTGTTCCATTGCTTCATTGTTGCTTTTATAGTCAGAGACTCCTGTTATCTGTTTCAGGTATTCTTTGCCTGTCTTTAGTATTCATTTCTTCTCTTGCATTCTTTTTATCTCTTCTTTTTTTTTTTAATTAAAAAATTTTCTTCTTCGAGCCGCCTGTTTCTCTTAAAGCATTTTTGTGTTTACGTGTTCTTGTCTTCCATATAATCTTTATGTATAAAACGAGTTTCTCCTTTATTTGTACTTCCTAGAGATTTGCCCGCTTTTTGAACTTTAAAAAGGAAATCATTCTGGCTTACCTTCGTTCATGGCTTGTATCATTTTCACATACTTTAGCTCAGTTTGAATTGTATTTTCTTCAGTGTGCTTTCCTTGTCTGTGGGGATTTTGCTGCTTAAATCTTTCTCTCGTAGTAAGTTTGTGTGGGGTCTGACCTCAGTGCTTTCGGTGCTTGTTTGTATGTGACGCTAGTTTTCCTCAACTCATGGAAGGAGACTTGGGAGATACACTGCCCTGTTACAGCCCCTTCGGCTGTGGCTTTTGTACAGGTTTCCTGCTTCCCCTCTCCCAGTTTTACCTGCCTTTTCTTTGTCCCTGTCCCTGTTTTGCTCCTTTTTGAATCCAGTCCCAGCACTTTCTCCTCAGTGTGAGGCCTTGGCTTGGAGCGGGAGCCCTGGAGCATCTGTTTTCCGAGTTCCAGGAGGTGAGGCTCATCTAGTCCCTCGGACTGCACTCCCTGTCTCTGTGGAGTGGCCAGATCCCTCCTAGTAGCAGCTGCTGGCAAGAAATGGGTCTGCTGTGCTTTTCAGTGAGTGCCTCAGGCTGTTGGGGTGTTCTGCCTTCCCGAGAGCCCATGCCTCCTCTAGTGGCTGGTGCAGGGGCAGTGACTGCTGGGGCCTGGTCACTGCCTCCCTACCTGCGTGTGCCTTGCTGTCCACAGGATTCTTTGAGTTACGTAAGAAATGATGTCTGACTTTGGGTTTTGCTACTTATTCTGCTTTTATATTTCATTTAGAGAAAATTATAGTTTTGTACATAAAAGTGAAGAATTTTATCTTATTTCATGGAGGAAAGCATCTTTTATAAAATAACACCCTTGTTGTGGAGGCCAAGAGAGTAAAATTGCCTGTTAAAGCTTTGTAATTTGCATTTACTATTAAAGGTTAATGGTTTTATTCTGAAATTGCCATAGAGTGGGTTAGAGAACTAATTGCTTTTATTAATCATTAACAAGTTACTGAAAATTATCCAGAATGTGGCAACTAGCTAACTATATATTAGTGAATATGAATATTGTTGAAAATTTCATCTTGAGGTCAGGTTTTTTTTTTTTTTATTCTGCCGGTGAAATGGCCCAGATAACTTCATTGTAAAAATATTCTGGCTTTGGAACATAAGTTATTTGTTTTATATAGTTTGCCTGTTTAGAGAATATAGAACATTTCAAATAAAATTAGTCATTTTGTGAAAATTCAGAGGACTGGGAATTTAACTGTCCTTCTGGCTGTAGGAATCATAATCTCCCCATTTTCATCAACCTGAAGACCTCTTGGTTGTAAGAATATTTGGGTTTTGATGTTTTAAAAAACTGATTATTTAAAAAAACTGATGCAACCTTTGTTGCATGGAGTTGAGGAAGGCCCAGGAGGGAGGATTAAAATTAAATAAGAGACAGTTTTGCTTCTTAATGGTTTCTCCACTTAATTATTTTAGTAGGAATCTGAAATCAAATATAGAATGGAAAACTAATGTAGCCAAACCATCTGAGAGCCAATAGTAGAGACAGACATTAAATCACAGCACTTGTTCACTAGCAGTTTGGGTACCTACAGTATGCTATATTGAATGATAATTGTTAACAGCTAGAAACTTGCTTATAAAATGTGGTGATGTTTCTTTATGATAGATGCCTGACCAGTGTCCTCTTCCCTCAGTAAGGTGGTTCTAACTCATAGTTGTTCATACTAATGGGAGAAGATGGTGGGAGAGTCTTATCATCTGCTAACATTTCAACATGAGACACCACACATGTGTGTCCTAAGTAGGTGATGCATTGTTGAAGTACCTGCAGGATTTTCGTATGATCTTTGCATTTATAATATCTTTCTGGAATGGGTCTTAAAGTCAGGTTTGAGCAGGTGCTTATAGCATGTAGTCAGATTCCATGGTAGAGGCAAGCATTCTCCCTAAGAATGTTGTTTACGTTGAAGACAGCGATGGAGGATCCCACCCTTCTGCTCTGATGTCTTCCGAGGTAGAAGGGGTTGCTGACGGCTTCATCAGGGCATTAGAGAGAATGAGCCTGGTGGGTTTACTGTGATCAAGGTCGAGTTGTGTCACGAAATAGGATTTTGGACCTAAGTCTTATTCTTTAGTTTATTTAATATATCAGTCTTTTTCCATTATTTCCTCATTTGCCTTAATTGAAGATTCTAGAGTTGCGGTGCAGTTCAGAAAGCCTGAGGTTTAAGGGGAAATGGTAAAGAGAAAGAGGACCGGAGCAGGATTCGATTCAGAGCCAACTGGTTTTCTTCTTTCCTATTTCAGGGGAGTAGCTTCTTCAGCAGACTCTCCGCTGCTTGTGCTCCACATTGCATTGCTCACACCATGGCATGGTGTTTCCATTCATTGTCTCCTGAGTTCATTTGGTGTAGAAGAGCTGGTTCTAAAGAGAACTTCTCCCTGCTGTCTTTTTCTTCCAGAACACTGGGGTGATGGGTATACCGCAGCAGTTGCCTGGCCGTCTCCTAGGTTAGTGTAGCAGAGATTCTATTCTCAGATAAGACTTCCGTGTCGGCTGAAGATGTAAGGGACTGTCCACGTTTGAGGGAGAATTTCTTCTCACTATTCTAGCTAGAATATGTGAATGAAGAAAGATTTCTATTATCCTGGACTCCTTTGTATTTTTTATAATTGTTTTCTTTTTCTCACTTATGCTCTGATATGTATTGGTTTCTTGAATAAATTAAAACTTAAAGCACTGCTTTAGTAGACATTTCTGGAATTCCTGTCTCCCGCTTTCCTCACCACATACAGCTCTTCTCCACTGCCTACAGCTGTATGTTTTAGCATGATGATGGATGGATGGACTGGAGCTAGAGCAAGGTTAACCACATATGCTCTGGTTTCAGAAACATCAGAGAGGGAGGTGGTGACATTTATAAGTATTCATCTTTTATTTACAAATTTCACGCACATTTGTAGTCTACTGTAAGCAACATAGTGTCTTCTACCATCTTTTTCCTCTTAAGGGTCAACACTACTATTCTATTTCATATTTACCATTTTTTTCTTTTAAAAGAATTCATGTGGTGGGTCATTGTAGAAAATTTAGAGAATATGCAAATATTGAAAAAGAAAAAGAAATGATGCAACCTGTAACCACACTGTGTGTAGGTGTTCTCTGTGTGGGTATCTTAGTTTGGGCTTTTATAACAGAAATATCATTGCCTGGGTGGCTTAAACAATGGAAATGTATTCCTTCTGGTTCTGAGGTCTGGGAAATCCAGGATTCAGATGCCATCCGAGTTGGTCCTGGTGAAGACCTCTTCCTGGTTGGCAGAGGGAATGCGTTCTTGCTGTCTTCACGTGGTAAAGAGATCATCCCTCTTGTCTCTACTGATAGGGTACTAATCCCACTCATGAGGGCTCCATCCTTATGACCTAATTAATAACCTTCTAAAGGCCCTACCTGTAAGTACCATCACAATGGGGGTTAGGGCTTCAACGTAGGACTTTTTTTTTTTTTTTTTTGAGACAGAGTTTCGCTTTTGTTGCCCGGGCTGGAGTGCAATGGCGCAATCTTGGCTCACCACAACCTCCGCCCCCCGGGTTCAAGCGATTCTCCTGCCTCAACCTTCTGAGTAGCTGGGATTGCGGGCACCCGCCACCACACCCAGCTAATTTTTAGTAGAGACAGGGTCTTGCCATGTTGGTCAGGCTGGTCTTGAACTGACCTCAGGTGATCTGCCCACCTTGGCCTCCCAGAGTGCTGGGATTACAGGCGTGAGCCGCCGCGCCAGGCCAGGAATTTTTGAAAGACATAAACATTCAGTCCCTAGTAATGGAGGAAACCAGCATGTAAGTCCTATACGTAAAGTCCCATAAAGCTTTTCATCCTTTTTTATTGCCTCGCAGATACTTCCGGTGGTGGGATGCACTAGTTTTTATGTTCTAAGAAAGAAAAAAAATGGCAATAATTTATAAGGTGCCATCTATTGTAAGAAATATCTCAATTCCATAGATAAAAGAATGCCTCTTAGAATTGTTGAAACACTGGTAACTTTGAGTTATATAAACAATATATTAATCTATTCCTTTAAAATGTTATCAGCCTTTTTAAGTGGTTTTTGCATTTTGGGAGAAATATTTTCTGCTTTTAAAAATGTACTTTTCTGTATTTTTATCTTGTTTAGTCTTCCTTCCTTCCTTCCTTTTATTCTTTTTTAATTATTTAGATCTTGAATTTATATGAAATTTTTTTCTGTATGGTGGTTTTTTCACTTTTTTCTCCTTTTCCTTCTTTAATTTTTTTCTCCTTTTATTTGAAATTCTACCTCAGAAATTACACATGTACATGTTTTCAGACATTTTTTCATGAATTCACCCATTTTCTGTTCCTCTGTTCATACCACACTATTTTAGTTAATGTGATTTTAGAATATAGTTTAATATCTGATAACAGCAAGAATTAGAAAAAGGCCTAAATGACCGATAATAGATCAACTATTTAAACTATAGTAAAAGTCATCTTTCTTTGGGTCTTCCAGTCCTAATTGTTACAATGATATTTAAAGATAGCAATATTAAACTGTAAGTAAATCATGATTAACTTTTGGTAACTTTATTCTATCTATCCTGGGGTAGATTCTAAATTACAGGGTGGCAGAAACTCAATATTTTTGTCAATTAAAAAATTTAGGGCTTTTTGGCCGGGCATGGTGGCTCACGCCTGTAATCCCAGCACTTTGGGAGGCTGAGACTGGCGGATCACGAGGTCAGGAGATCAAGACCATCCTGGCTAACATGGTGAAACCCCATCTCTGCTAAAAATACAAAAAATTAGCCAGGCTTGTTGGTGGGCGCCTGTAGTCCCAGCTACTCGGGAGGCTGAGGCAGAATGGCGTGAACCCGGGAGGCGGAGCTTGCAGTGAGCCAAGATCGTGCCACTGCACTTCAGCCTGGGCGACAGAGGGAGACTCCGCCTCAAAAAAAAAAAAAAAATTAGTGCATTTTCTATGCATTTTTGACATTTATATACTTAAAATAAACAAATACAATCAAAATTTGTAGCCAGCCTTTTTACTTCAGCAGAGTATAATGGAAATATCTTTCTGTATTATTAAATGTCATCCTATGACATAATTTTCTATGGTTGTATAGCATTTTATGTGGTTGTACTGTAGTTTAATTAGTTGATCTATTATTGGTCATTTAGGCCTTTTCTAATTCTTGCTGTTACAAATAACACCACGGAATACATTTTTGTGAATATAGTATTGTCCATGATTATTTCGCTGGTAGGTTAATTTCTTTTGGGGCTGTGTGTGTGTGTGTGTGCGTGTGTGTATTCAGATAGCCTTCATAAACGGTTGTACCAGTTTACACTCCAACTCACAGTAAAAAGAACCATCCAATCTCTTTTCCAAAAAATATAAAAATATACAAAATGTAAGTCTTCTGTGTTTCAGTTTCCTAAAAATCTTAACAAATGCCACACATTCATATGGCACCCACTGAATGCCTGCCATTGTGCCTAGGAGACAGAAATGAGTGCATAGAATTGTAACTTGTGCAGTGTTTCCACTTGGAGTAGTCAATGCCAAGTTGTCCAACAGTGTATGATGCTACCCTTTTCTCTGTATCCTTGCTAATACTTATTAGTTTCAGATATTTTCATTTTTGTTAATCTTGGCCAAAGATACATATGACAGAAGTCTTTGTTTTCCACGCCCTTAAGGCATTGGGATAGGGTATGGAAAGGGAGGTAATCCAGATGGACAACAGTAACACACACTGTGATCAGTGCTATGAAAGAGGTGGGAGAGGGTTGTTTGGGGACATAGAGGAGAAGGTAAGGGTGGGCAAGGAAGGTGTCATGAAGGAAGGGAAGCTTGGCTGTTTTGAATGTAGAGTGTAAGAGTTCTCCAAATGAACCAGGAACCAGGGTGTGGTGATGAAGGCCATTTATATAGAACAGCAGCACGTTCTGGGGCTCAGGGCTGTGGGCCTGAAGGATGCATTAGGGGAAGTGCAAGTAATTGCAGGATGAGGCTATTTGATAGAAGATCAGGTCAAAAACATAAGAGACCAGCTCATGAATAGCACCATAGACAAAGTTGTGGGGTTTAGACTTTATTCCATAAATGGGAGGAAGTCTTGCTGGGTTTTAGTAGGAGCCGACATGGTCTGAATAGGTCTATGATATAATGGAAAGCATAGAGTTAATTATGTTTTGGATGTGGGGTGGTTGTAAGACCTGACATTTCTTAGGGAAGTAACATTGGTCTTAAAAGGAATCAGGCTATTGAGGACATGGAGGATTTTCAACATAGGGTATTTCAGCCACCTGCCTATTTCCAAAGGAGGAGGTATAGCCCTGCCAGCATGCTTTTCCCAGCAAAGGTTAGTCTATTCTTAGACACACAATTCTTTGCTGAGTCCTAGCCTGTACTGTGTTAGCATTTATTCCTTTTTCAGTCTCCCCGGAGAGTGTGTACTCTGAGAGAAACAGCATTCCCGCCAGTTCAAGGTCCATACTCCGAAAGGTCTTGGACATTCCTAAGGAGAGCTTGGTCTCCTCCTAGTTTTTGCCCTCTCTCCAGGAGGCAGATCTTAAGGGTATTGTTCACATGCTGTGCCCCAGGGTCCTCTGAGTTAGGTCCAGCTCAGAGGCCCTAATCATGACAGAGGAACGATTATTGCTACAGTGCACTTCCACCTTGCCTCTCACAAAGGAGGGCCTGATGTGAAGCTGACGCCGTATTTTTGTAGATCTGTCAACCTGTGATTCTAGCTGGTTACAAACAGAGCAATGATCATGTTTTGATACCTTACTTCTGATGACTGAAAGCGATAAGCTTTTTATAAATGTGCGTTTAGGTTTCAATTCCTCGTACCCACACCCTCTCCCTTGTATGCTTGTATTTAAAGCCAACTATATTCATATATTTGCTTTGCAGTACAACTTGAAACTCACTGTCTCCTCACTATAACATTAGATGTCAAATGAATTACTTTTTGCCATTTTTCTTACAAGATTTTTGATCTCAAAAATGTGTAAATTTATTTTTAACTCTTCTTTTTTACTTGTATCTTTTTAGTCTAAATTGAAAAGCAACTTTTGTCTTTAGAGCATTTATTTCTGGCATCTCCATTGGAAGATTTTTTTTTTTTTCACACATCATACAAAGCATTACAGGTGAAAAGAAATGTAAGTAATAAAAAAAGTCTTCCAAGAAAAAAAATGTGCGTGTGTGTGTGTGTGTGTGCGTGCGTGTGTGTGTATGAATGAAGGGACAGAGCCAGTATGAAGAAAGTAAAAGTTGAAGATTAGGCCATTGCCAGGTATGACATAGAACTTTAAGTAACAAAGTTGACCAGACGCGGTGGCTCGTACGTGTCATCCCAGCACTTTGGGAGATCGAGGTGGGTGGATCACTTGAGGCCAGGAGTTCAAAACCAGCCTGGCCAACATAGTGAAACCCCGTCTCTACTAAAAATACAAAAATTAGCCTGGCGTGGTGGTGGGCGCCTGTAATCCCAGCTACTCGGGAGGCTGAGCAGGAGAATTGGTTGAGCCTGGGAGGCGGAGGTTGCAGTGAGCGATCCGAGATTGCACCACCACACTCCAGCCTGGGTGACAGAGCAAGATTCCGTCTGGGGGAAAAAAAAAGAAAAAGAAAAAGAAAGAAAGTAAGTTATTTAGGTTTGGTTAAGAGGAAACTAGTACAGACTGTAGAATAGTGTTGTTTAGACAGTAGCTCTGTAAGTACCACCTGTGACTGTGATGCATTCACTTTGATCTTGAGGATAACTTGTCTCAAAGACAACTGATTACTTGATTTTATGAGATCAGGCTTTTCAAAGTATGGGCCTGGCATACCTGGGAGCTTGTTAGGAATGCAAATTTTAGGGCGCTGCACCAGACCTACTGCATCAGAATCTCGGGTCAGTGGAGTGCAGCAGTGCTGAAGTTTGAGACCCACTGTATCAGAGCACAGAATGCAGAGAAGATAATGGCTCTTCGGGCCAGCAGCACTAGGGGAAAAACATACACAGTCATGTATCACTTAACAATAATGTTCTGAGAAATGCATAGGCAGTCTTGTGCCAACATCATGGACTGACATACACAAACCTAGATGGTATAGTCTACTGCACACCTACACTGTCTGGTATAGCCTGTTGCTCTGAGGCTTCAAGCCTGTATAGCACGTTACTCTACTGAATAGTGTAGGCAGTTGTAATGCAAAGGTAAGTATTTGTGTATCTAACCTATCTAAACATAGAAAAGGTGTAGTAAAAATATGGTATAAATAATCATCTGGGACCACCATTAGATATGTGGTCCATCATTGACCAGAATATTGTTGTGAATGTGTTGCATGACTGGAAAAGGAGAGCTAGACAACACTGACTACTTCAGGGGAAGAGAACTGGCGGCTAATGGCAAGGATGAAAGGAAAACTTTTTATTGTGTACCTTTGTTCACTTTTTGAATTTTATGCTTTTAAGCCATACAGAAATATTTTTTAAAACGTTAGCTTTATTTACATCATGAAGTTTAAGTATGTTTCTCAGGAATTTTCTTCTTTAACATCATAAATAAAGAAAAACTCAAAAAAAATGATTTCATCATGCCTTCTATGTTAATTACTCTTTCTTGTATTTTACATCTTTCCAGTAAATTTCAGTTCCTAAATTCACACACAGTTCCACATAGGAAGCTAAAGAGGCATAATCCAGATTAAGAACCAAAAATGAAACAGAAATAGGATACAGTTGAATCATCTGTGTAACAAATAAAGAAAAAGCCTGGGAACTATAAAGCTATGGAAAATGAAAGAGGCTCACTGAGATGAACCAGAGTGTACAAATGCTGAATTCAATACAGTGCCAAGTATTTAGAGTGTTTTTTTGCATTGAGGTTATTGTGGCTGTGAACAAGGATTACCATCCACAGCTAGAAGAGAAATCCCCCGGGACAGAATCTCTAAAACAGGGTCCTCAGTTACATAACTAGCGATTTATGAAATGTGCTTATATTGTATGTGATGTCATGACATCATTTCTTGGTCTTCTGCTCAGAATTAGGTAGTTTGACTATAAAATCTACTATTTGGGGACACATTTGCTGCTCTGCAAGGTTACTGTTACCATTGCTGCAGTCAAGTGGCATATACTTAAGGGACTGGAGTCCTGAAGGTCTGTGTTGATTCTGGGAGGTGTGCACATATGTGGGTCCAGTGTTCTTTACAAAGGCCCCCTGTGTGGCATCTGTCGTACTTCTTATTTGTTCAGCATATCCCTTGGCTTGTGATGGAAGATACACAATCTGTACCTTTGTCTGAAGGAGATACCAGCTCCTGAGTGGCCTTTTACATCATCCTTAGGTGGGGATAGTTAACTTAAAAAAAAAAAAAACCGGCGAGGGAGAAAAGGCCGTCTTAGCCATAGTTGGCAGCCCCTAGCCCTTTAGCCTAAGGAAGTCTACAGAGACTACGGCACTTGGGTGCAGACTTTTAATGAACCCATCTTTTGTTGTTTTTGTCCATTGCACTGTCTGTGTGTAACACACACGTCCCGGTTCTCGCCCCTGATCCTGATGGTTCCAAGGAGCGTGGATGGATACTTTCAAGACCAACCAGACTACTACGTGGCTTAGTGTAGATATGGCGATAAAACACTTGTGCTTTGGAAAACGTAAAAATCCCGAACTTAGATCTTGACCAGTAAGTGAAGAGGAACTGAATTTTAACTATTTGCTGAAAAATCTATCATTTTGGAAGCATTAAAAAAAATTAAACTGTAAACTGAGTGCACACATCTTAACCCTAAATACATACACACATACACACAACCAGCCACAAAATAGTGTTATTTCCTTAAATGCCAAACACTGTCTAGTTCTAGAAGTGAAAAGGACCTTCTTGTCTTTTCAGAAGTGTGTGTTTTGAGTATGTAATGAGATTACCTTTCTGTGGCTTTGGAGAATTAATTTCAGCGCTTTATTGTCAGATCTTCTCTGTAAGAAATGTGATAGGGATTTCCCATTCAATCTGGAACTAAGAATTCAGATTGACACTTGAGCTTTGTACCTCAGATAGCGTTTTTCCTCATCTCCTGTTATATATCAAGCAGCTGAGATTGGTTTTTAAAAAAGTGAAGATTGAATTGTCTTCACACATTTATTGTGAACTTGCAGAAAATGGAAAGGATTATGCTTTAAAGACAGTTGGCTTGGCTGGATAGAAAAGATCCCTCTGTCCTGTTTCCCTGTCCTCCTTCCCACATCGATTTAAAAAATTAGATGCAAATGCAAAATCCTTAAATTATAGATTTATGATAAATTTAAATTCTGGTAGAATCAAGGTTTTATAACATTTAAAGTGTCTGACACTAAGTGTATATAATCTTTTAAGAAACGTCTTCTTAACAGCGCATGGTATTCTGTGACTGTTCGTGTACCATGAATATTCTTATTGGGTTCTAGAGTTAGTTACTGACTCTTGAAGATGGGCATCTAATGGTCCTCCTGTGGAAGTGGAGAGCAGCTCTCCACTGTTTGATAACATTTAAAGCCAAGGGTGAACCACTCAAGAAACATTTGGTGGTTATAATATTTTTTTGTTGTTGTTAAGTACCATCAATAAAACTGAAAAATCTCTTAAGTACCTGACTCCTGCAGTGATACAACTGCAGTGATAAAACTTTTAGCTTTTTACATCAGGGGTATTAGGTATTTTCTCACAGAAATAGCCTTTTGAGGTGAAATTCACATAACATACAATTAACCATTGTAAAATGAACAATTCAGTGGCGTGTAAGAGTATGTTTACAATGTTGAGCAACCATCACCTCTGTCTAGTTGCAAAATGTTTTCATCACTCCAAAAGAAACTCCTTTATTCATCATAGCCCAAAGTTGGAAGTATTTTCTTGATTGGGCTCTTGATTACATGGATGCATCTGAGTCATTGAATTGAAGCCTAAGATGTGCTTAATTTCACTGTGTGTAAGTTTCACCTCAGTTAACAAGAGAGAACAGAACAAACCAAAAATCTTAATTCTTTTGAAAAAAAGACTTTCTGGCTGCTTTATTAAAGAAGCCAGGGGAACAAGGTTAAAAGGAAATCAGTTAGCAGTGACCAAGGCAAGAGATGATGGTGGCTTGGCTGAAGATGGTGACAGTGGAGGTGGTAAGGTGATCAGATTCTGGATATATTTTGAAGGTTGAGCTAATTTGGTCAGCTGATGGGCATAATGGATGTGAGGGAAAGAAAGTTGGAAAGGATGATGTGAAGATTTTTAATGGGATGGAATAGGTGTTTAATGAACAGCCATTTAACAACATCAGGGTAATTTCATCTTGTGTATCATTCTCTACAACAGGGTTATACTCTAGGACAGTAGAGTACTGCGGGTACTCTAGGTGGTACTTGGATAAACATCATTAAAACTGCCTCACTTTGATGACTAAACAACTGCTTTCCTGCAGTCCCACTTAATGAGATGTACTACTAGAACTGGTCATTCGGAAGATCAGGCATTTGGTTTTAAATATGCATATACCTGTTTGACATCTGAGATGGGCTATCAAATAGGCAGTTGTGATGAAGGAGACGGGAGTTCAGAGGTCTGACTGAGACCTATAAAATCTGGAGCGTCAGCACAGATAGTAAAGCCCTGAGATTGAATGACTTTCCCACAGGAGTGAGTGTAGACAGGAAGGCCTGGGAACTGAGCCTGGATGCACTGGGGCTTTAGAGGTCAGGGAGAGGAGAAGAATCCAGCAAAGGGGAGTGCGAAGGTCTGGCCAGTGGGGTAAGGTGAAAACCAGATCAGTGTGGTTTCCTGTTTCTAGTAGAAAAAGCTCAACCAAACATTCAGATTGTCCTTTACGTATTAACTTCATTCTAGCTAATTTGTTGTTTAATTAGTCCCGTATTAATTGGTAAAGCCGTAAAGATTTTGATGGCTTAACTCTTCTATTTTTTACCCTCCACTGATAAATCAAATGCATGTCGTTTTATGTGAAAACTGAAATAGAAAAATGCAGTCTAATTTTAGTGTGAACTATGCATTGAAATAGCCATGTCCTCCTTAGGTAACAGTGTTCAAAATTTTAAGATAAAATCGTATTGCTTCATTAAATTTCAACTGGTTAACGTCAAATCAGTGTTAAAACTATACCGTAATAGCCCTGGGGTAGACACATTAATGGCGCCCCCCGCAGTGTCCATATTCCAATCCCCAGACCTATAAATATGTAACCGCACATTGTAAAGGAGACTTTACAGAGGTGATTAAGGATTTGGGGATGAAGCAGTTATCCAGGATTATCTGGGTAAGGTGGGCCTGATGTAGCCACAAGGGGCCTCCTAAGTGAAAGAGAGAGGTAGGGTGGTCAGAACTAGAGAGAGGTTTGAAGGTGTTACACCACTAGCTTTGAAGGCAGAGGAAGGGGCCACAAGCCAATGAATATATGTGGTCCCTAGAAGCTGGAAAAGGCCAGGGAGTGGATTCTTCTCTAGAGTCTCCAGAAGAAATGTGGCCCTTCTGACACCTTCATTTAGTCCACAGAACTATAATTTATCTTAGTTTAAGCCACTGGTAAGTGTAATTGTAATTGTAATTTGTTACATCTGCTATAGTGAAACTAATACTGAAATTTAGAAAAGATGGGTAACTTATTATGTGGTGAAGTTTAAAAAAGATAAGTAACTCGTTGAAGATCACATAATTAGAAAAGAAAGCAGTAGAGCTTGGCCTTGAACTCAACCAGTGTGACTCCAGAGCTTGTAGAACAGAATAACCACCTCCAAGGCCAGCTGAATCTGACCACAGTCTGGTGGAATTCTAGTACATCTCGTTAAGAAGTGGGATTGCCGGAAGGGAGTTGGTTATTCATGAAAGTGATGATGTTTATCCAATGTACCACCTAGAGTACCCTTAGTACTCTACTGTCCTAGAGTATAACCCTGTTGTAAAGAATGATACACAAGACAAACTTACCCTGATGTTGTTAAATATATGTTAGATGACCAGTTGCTTTGATTTCTTTGCTCAATAAACATTGGATTACAGCTGGTTTGCTGTGTGGCATGCCTACATGGAGGGAACACACTGAGCCAATGATTTCATCATCTGGGTCCCTTTGGTTTATATCAGTTTCCAACATGACTTGTTTGTGGGGCTTGTGGGAGGGGCACATACATCGGCCCCAGGATTCTAACATCTCCTGGTCTCTGAGGTTATAATTTTCACTTAACATTGTCGAGTTGGCATTTTGGTTTTAGTCCAATGGTTCAGTTCTTTGAAACTGACTCCAGAGATGGCTCTGTTCATTAATAGATTGTTTTGTTGACCCTGTGAGGATTAGTCTGTGGATCTTGGAAATTCGGCAGGTGACTACAATTCTAGAAGGCCTCTTGTGAGATATAAGGTGTTTTCCTTAAGTGACATGGCCCTGCGTTGCAAAGCTGAGAAGTAATATGAAGGAGCGTTTTGTAAGTTTGAATCTCTATAATCAAAAACCAGACTAATGACACATTCGCTTTTAGAACTTAAAAAAAAAAATTCAAGAACTGAGTAGTAGGCCAAAAACAAGATAAAATGTAGCATAAGAAAATGTAGAGTTTTGTACTTTATCACTTAAAAAACGCCAAAGTAGGCCGGGCACAGTGGCTCACGCCTGTAATCCCAGCACTTTGGGAGGCCGAGGTGGGCGGATCACAAGGTCAGGAGTTCAAGACCAGCCTGACCAATATAGTGAACCCCGTCTTTACTAAAAATACAAAAATTAGCCGGGCGTGGTAGTGCACGCCTGTAATCCTAGCTACTCAGGAGGCTGAGGCAGGAGAATAGTTTGAACCTGGGAGGCGGAGGTTGCAGTGAGCCGAGATCATGCCACTGCACTTCAGTCTGGGCGACAGAGGGAGACTCTGTCTCAAAAAAACAAAACAAAAAAAAAAAAACAAAAACCACCAAAAAAAAACTGCCAAAGTATAGGTTATAGAAGAGCAGACTTACTTGGTGTTTGCAAGAAAGACAAAGAGATTTAGAGTTTCCATCAAGTTTGTTGTGAGTTACTAGGAGGTAGTGCCAGAGAAGCAACATGGCATTAGGCTGCATGGGTAGAAGTATAGTACTGAGAACACGGGAGAGCATCGGTTTTGTTGTACTTGGGACTAAACATTCTGAGGGTCCTGGACGTTTTATGAGAGGCTTTGGTAAACTGAAGAGTGATGTAGGTACAGATGCACAGATGTAGAACAGTGGACAGAAATGGAAATATTTAACCTGGAGAGGAATTTAGGTTGGAGGAAGGGAACACAGTTGTTTTTAGTTTTTTGCAGGTATGGAATTTGTACTGCAATTAAGGAACAGGGAAAAGTCCTCTCTGTCCTTCGCACGGCTGTTTATTAGGTATTTCAGTTAGAGTGTATAGGTCTCAGGAAGCCATGAGGATCTTCTCTGGGTGGTGACAGGACTCACATCATCTCCGTTATGGCCCTGCAACAAAACTTCACAATTCTGTATGTTTCCTGCCTAGTAAGCTCCCACCTGTTCTGTGGTAATTAATCTCATACTCAACCATGGAGTTGTTTCTAGATCTTGGTGTGTTGTCCTCCCTCCCCTTTGCCTAAAATCAATAACCTGAGCACACCTAAAGGTGTCTTCAGGCCTCGATGTGCCCTGTGAATTGTGCGGGGTTCTAGGGTCTCTGTACGTAAGGAGATGGTCTGCATTTGCCTGGCCCCTCTTGCAGGAAGAGCAGCAGCGGTTGCCTCGCCTCCGGTCCTCAGCTTGGTCCTTAGCAGGGTGAGCAGGGCCAGAGTCATGGGCATGTGACCTGTGCACTCCCTCATGGCCCCACGCTTGCTTTCACATTTTCCTACTGGCATCAATACTTTTTTTTTCTTTTCTTTTTCTTTTTTTTTTTTTTTGAGACAGAGTCTTGCTCTGTTGCCCATGCTGGAGTGCAGTGGCGTGATCTCGGCTCACTGCAAGCTCCACCTCCCGGGTTCACGCCATTCTCCTGCCTCAGCCTCCCGAGTAGCTGGGACTACAGGCATCTGCCACCACGCCCGGCTAATTTTTTTTTTTTTTTTAATAGTAGTGACGGGGTTTCACCGTGTTAGCCAGGATGGTCTCAATCTCCTGAGCTCATGATTCACCTGCCTCAGCCTCCGAAAGTGCTGGGATTACAGGCGTGAGCCCCTGCGCCAGCCCAGCATCAATACTTTTTTTAAAAAGTGCCCTGTATTTTCCTCATGCCCTGGAGATAATGGAGCCGTCTTTTACTCACTGCCCACTTCTCATCTCTGTCTGCTCCTGCTTCCTCTTGTTGGCTTCCTGTGCCTCCCTCCAACCTTCTCCTACCCCCCTGCAGTGTTTTAAACTCTCTTTTCTTCTTAATTTCTGTTCGCCTCAACCAACCCTAAAGTGCTCTTGTACTCACAGTTAGGCTTTTATAATTGCTTGATCAGTTTATCAGTCAATTTCAGTATTTTGTTGAGCTTTGACAAAGATTTTTATTCTAATTCTATGGAGCCCATGTAATAATTGTTTTTTCAGCTTCTGCTTGTGACTTCTCTACTTCAAAAAATGTACGTGCTTGTTTCTGCCAGTTACATCCCATGTTTCATTGGATGTGTGTACTGTGTTCACATCGAGTTGGCCCCACCGCTGAGTGGGTTATTGATGATCTCAAGAGTCCAGTAGAAATGAAGGGTAGAAACTTAGCCACATCCTGGTTTGTGTTTTGCCTAACAGAGGGGTTTCACTTTCCTCTTTGGTAAGATGAATATGCTTGATAATAGAATAGCATTAAGGTTGGCTTTTTTCTCCCTCAAATGATTAAACTGTAGTTTCATATGTAAATGCCAGTAAATTAGAATCATTCTAGTAGGGAAGATAAAGTAAATAAGTAAAAATATAGTATGTTAGTAGGAAATCGTGCTAGAGAGAGAGAGCTCAAGCAGGACAGGAGGGGCCTAGAGATTGCTTGGGATTTGATGAAGAGACAGGACTGTTTTAGAGAGGCTGCTCACGGCAGTGCCTCTGAGCAGGTAGCACTGGAGCCGATCCTCTGCTGCGATGAGGTGGCAAGCCAAGAACATCATGAGGGAGGGAAGGGCAGTCCCAGAAGAGAGAGCACAGTGCAGGTGCCAGGTGGGGACCACGGGACACTGGAACTGCCTTGGTGTGTTTATTTCCAAATAGTGTCTGGCATTACACTGAGATGAGGAGACTTTTTTGTTTTTCATTTTTTGTTTTTTTTTCCCGGGGTAGGGGTGCATATTGGATTTCTTCAGGAGATTCAGCCTCTTGAAAAATATGAAATATAGACAAGTATATATACATAAAGATATATTTGAGTATTTTAAACTTTATATAGCCAAGTATCTTAAACTCTGCACACTTGAATTTTTAATCCTCGTGTATATCCATTATGATTATTTCTATTAGTTCCAGTTTGAGGTTGGTGATGATATTGTCATAGAAGCTTTGTCAGGCTTCACATTGTAGCAGCTGGTCTTGAAGGTGGGGCATATCCTTGTTCAATGTGACTACTTTAGTTGCCTGTCCAATATGAAGTAGAAAAGCAGATTTCTGGATTACAGTATTTGTCAACATAGAATTTGCCGATTTAAAAAAAAACAAAAAATCTTTATGTTTATAATGACAAGGTCCATAACCAGATTGTTGTTGGCAACTTAAAGCAAGTTGTCAAGAGAAATATTGTAAATGGTTTTGTTTGTGTGTGGGGCATGGGCTTTTTTTTTTTTTTTTCCTTCTACACAGAGTCACTCTGCCACCCAGGCTGGAGTGCAGTGGCACAATCTCGGCTCACTGCGACCTCCACCTCCCAGGTTCAAGCCATTCTCCTGCCTCAGCCTCCCGAGTAGCTGGCATTGCAGGTGTGTGCCACCACACCTGGCTATTTTTTGTATTTTTAGTAGAGACGAGGTTTCACCATGTTGGCCGGGCTGGTCTGGAACTCCTGATTTCAGGTGATCCACCCACCTCGGCCTCCCAAAGTGCTGGGATTACAGGCGTGAGCCACTGCACCCGGCAGAGGCATGGGCTTTTTAATCACTTAAATTTTAACTTATTGTGTTAGTGAGCTTGTTTATTCCATTGCTACATGAATTGTGTGTTACTTTTTCCTGTCTAGTTTTCCCCTGGAAAACAGAATCAACCATACCAAATATTAGTGAGGGTCCAAGTCAGATTAAATAGTATGAGTCAATCTGCCCTCAAAATAAATATGAACTAAAATGAGATGCTAACAGATTGACAGTGATTACCAATGGTAAACAGACCATGAGGAGAGGTTTAAGCTGTCACTAACTTTTTGAAGAACAATTACATTATTTACCAATTATGGTGGCCTGATACCTAAAGAATTGGCCTGATATCTAAAGAATATCTTATTTTCTAAATAAGAGTGCCAATGGAAAAATGTCAAAATCTTATACCTGCCACTGCTTACGCACCCATTGGCTAGTAGTCAGCAGTGACAGTAATTGTGAGACTCCTGTCATTTTGGGCAGGTGGAGGGGCCTGTGAGGGCCAAAATCTAGCCATGCTGACATGATTATGCCTCCTGTCATCCTGCTGAATGGTTCAGCTATATAACTAAAGTATTCTATCTCTGGTTAGTGTTGATTTGGGGCAAATATGAGATCTGTAAAGTAAAATGGACAAATAATAGTTTTGTAGCACATTCAGCTTTGCCTCCTTCCTAGAGACTGATCTTCAGTGACGTTTTACCAGGCAGCCTGACTGGTTTCATGTCTTCTGTCTGTAATAGTGGGTGTCCCATAAAAAGGCAAGACCGTATTTTCAAAGGAGCTGGGCTTGGAGACTTAAGATCACTGAAAGAGACTGTGGCAACAGCAGTTCATCTGGATTGGCCTTGTGTCTGGGATGGAAGAGATGAAAAACAATTGATTATCACTCACTTTATGGCACACTGTGTGCTATTGAATATTGAATATCCCATTGTGTGTGATGTTCCCCTTCCTGTATCCAAGTGTTCTTATTGTTCAATTCCCACCTATGAGTGAGAACATGTGGTATATGGTTTTTTGTCCTGGCGATAGTTTGCTGAGAATGATGGTTTCCAGCTTCATCCACGTCCCTACAAAGGACATGAACTCATCATTTTTTATGGCTGCATAGTATTCCATTGTGTATATGTGCCACATTTTCTTAATCCAGTCTATCATTGTTGGACATTTGGGTTGGTTCCAAGTCTTTGCTATAGTGAATAGTGCCGCAATAAACATATGTGTGCATGTGTCTTTATAGCAGCATGATTTATAATCCTTTGGGTATATACCCAGTAATGGGATGGCTGGGTCAAATGGTGTTTCCCGTTCTAGATCCCTGAGGAATCGCCACACTGACTTCCACAATGGTTGAACTAGTTTACAGTCCCACCAACAGTGTAAAAGTGTTCCTGTTTCTCCACATCCTCTCCAGCACCTGTTGTTTCCTGACTTTTTAATGATCGCCATTCTAACAGGTGTGAGATGGTATCTCATTGTGGTTTTAATTTGCATTTCTCTGATGGCCAGTGATGATGAGCATTTTTTCATGTGTTTTTTGGCTGCATAAATGTCTTTTGAGAAGTGTCTGTTCATATCCTTCGCTCACTTTTTGATGGGGTTGTTTGTTTTTTTCTTGTAAATTTGTTTGAGTTCGTTGTAGATTCTGGATATTAGCCGTTTGTCAGATGAGGAGGTTGCAAAAATTTTCTCCCATTCTGTAGGTTGCCTGTTCACTCTGATGGTAGTTTCTTTTGCTGTGCAAAAGCTCTTTAGTTTAAACAGATCCCATTTGTCAATTTTGGCTTTTGTTGCCATTGCTTTTGGTGTTTTAGACATGAAGTCCTCACCCATGCCTATGTCCTGAGTGGTATTGCCTAGGTTTTCTTCTAGGGTTTTTATGGTTTTAGGTCTAACATGTAAGGCTTTAATCCATCTTGAATTAATTTTTGTCTAAGGTGTAAGGAAGGGATCCAGTTTCAGCTTTCTCCATATGGCTAGCCAGTTTTCCCAGCACCATTTATTAAATAGGGAATCCTTTCCCCATTGCTTGTTTTTCTCAGGTTTGTCAAAGATCAGATAGTTGTAGATATGCGGCATTATTTCTGAGGGCTCTGATCTGTTCCATTGGTCTATATCTCTGTTTTGGTACCAGTACCATGCTGTTTTGGTGACTGTAGCCTCGTAGTATAGTTTGAAGTCAGGTAGTGTGATACCTCCAGCTTTGTTCTTTTTGCTTAGGATTGACTTGGCGATGCGGGCTCTTTTTTGGTTCCATATGAGCTTTAAAGTAGTTTTTTCCAATTCTGTGAAGAAAGTCATTGGTAGCTTGATGGGGATGGCATTGAATCTATAAATTACCTTGGGCAGTATGGCCATTTTCACGATATTGATTCTTCCTACCCATGAGCATGGAATGTTCTTCCATTTGTTTGTATCCTCTTTTATTTCGTTGAGCAGTGGTTTGTAGTTCTCCTTGAAGAGGTCCTTCACATCCCTTGTAAGTTGGATTCCTAGACATTTTATTCTCTGTGAAGCAATTGTGAATGGGAGTTTACTCATGATTTGGCTCTCTGTTTGTCTGTTATTGGTGTATAAGAATGCTTGTGATTTTTGCGCATTGATTTTGTATCCTGAGACTTCGCTGAGTTTGCTTATCAGCTTAAGGAGATTTTGGGCTGAGGCGATGGGGTTTTCTAAATATACAATCATGTCATCTGCAAACAGGGACAATTTGACTTCCTCTTTTCTTACTTGAATGCCCTTTATTTCCTTCTGCTGCCTGATTGCCCTGGCCAGAACTTCCAACACTATGTTGAATAGGAGTGGTGAGAGAGCGCCTCCCTGTCTTCTGCCAGTTTTCAAAGGGAATGCTTTCAGTTTTTGTCCATTCAGTATGTTATTGGCTGTGGGTTTGTCATAGATAGCTCTTATTATTTTGAGATATGTCCCATCAATACCTAATTTATTGAGAGTTTTTAGCATGAAGCGTTGTTGAATTTTGTCAAAGGCCTTTTCTGCATCTATTGAGATAATCATGTGGTTTTTGTCTTTGGTTCTGTTTATATGCTGGATTACGTTTATTGATTTTCGTATGTTGAACCAGCCTTGCATCCAGGGATGAAGCCCACTTGATCATGGTGGATAAGCTTTTTGATGTGCTGCTGGATTCGGTTTGCCAGTATTTTATTGAGGATTTTTGCATCAATGTTCATCAAGGATATTGGTCTAAAATTCTCAGTATGTTGTATTCAGGAAACCCATCTCACGTGCAGAGACACACATAGGCTCAAAATAAAGGGATGGAGGAAGATCTACCAAGTAAATAGAAAACAAAAAAAAGGCAGGGTTTGCAATCCTAGTCTCGGATAAAACAGACTTTAAACCAACAAAGATCAAAAGAGACAAGGCCATTACATAATGGTAAAGGGATCAATTCAACAAGAAGAGCTAACTGTCCTAAATATATGTGCACCCAATGCAGGAGCACCCAGATTCATAAAGCAAGTCCTTAGTGACCTACAAAGAGACTTAGACTCCCACACAATAATAATGGGAGACTTTACCACCCCACTGTCAACATTAGACAGATCAACGAGACAGAAAGTTAACAAGGCTATCCAGGAATTGAACTCAACTCTGCACCAAGCGGACCTAATAGACATCTACAGAACTCTCCACCCCAAATCAACAGAATATACATTCTTTTCAGCACGACACCACACCTATTCCAAAATTGACCACATAGTTGGAAGTAAAGCACTCCTCAGCAAATGTAAAAGAACAGAAATTATAACAAACTGTCTCTCAGACCACAGTGCAAACAAACTAGAACTCAGGATTAAGAAACTCACTCAAAACTGCTCAACTACATGGAAACTGAACAACCTGCTCCTGAATGACTACTGGGTACATCATGAAATGAAGGCAGAAATAAAGATGTTCTTTGAAACCAACGAGAACAAAGACACAACATACCAGAATCTCTCAGAGACATTCAAAGCAGTGTATAGAGTGAAAGTTATAGCACTAAATGCCCACAAGAGAAAGCAGGAAAGATCTAAAATTGACACCCTAACATCACAATTAAAAGATCTAGAGAAGCAAGAGCAAACACATTCAAAAGCTAACAGAAGGCAAGAAATAACTAAGATCAGGGCAGAACTGAAGGAAATAGAGACACAAAAAACCCTTCAAAAAATCAGTGAATCCAGGAGCTGGTTTTTTGAAAAGATCAGCCAAATTGATAGACCACTAGCAAGACTAATAAAGAAGAAAAGAGAGAAGAATCAAATAGATGCAATAAAAAATGATAAAGGGGATATCACCACCGATCCCACAGAAATACAAACTACCATCAGAGAATACTATAAACACCTCTACACAAATAAACTAGAAAGTCTAGAAGAAATGGATAAATGCCTTGACACATACACTCTCCCAGGACGAAACCAGGAAGAAGTTGAATCTCTGAATAGACCAATAACAGGCTCTGAAATTGAGGCAATAGTTAATAGCTTACCAACTAAAAAAAGTCCAGGACCAGAGGGTTTCACAGATGAATTCTACCAGAGGTACAAGGAGGAGCTGGTACCATTCCTTCTGAAACTATTCCAATCAATAGAAAAAGAGGGAATCCTCCCTAACTCATTTTATGAGGCCAGCATCATCCAGATACCAAAGCCTGGCAGAGATACAACAAAAGAAAAGAAAGGTAACATTTTTTTTAAACCAGCTTCCCCTTGACAGACAGTTGGGCTTGTTTTGCAGATTTTTTCTTTCATTTTTTTGTATATTAAGAGTAGTACTGTATTGTGGTTATAAACAATGTCCTCGTACAAATATTTTTGCTTACGTGTGAGAAGAAATAAGAATCTGGTCCCAGAAGTTAAATTTCTGGGTCAAAAGCATGCAGATTTTAACATTTTGGTAAATAACGTCATTATTCTTCAAAAAGTTGGTGCTGGTGTATACCTCTCCTAACGGTCTGTTTGGATGCCTGGTCCCCCACACTCTCGGTATTCCCTGTCACTCTGTTAGCGTCTCATTTGGGTTTATATTGCTTTTGAATGGGTTTGAAGTTATTTTTCTGTATTTATTGGTCTTGTTTTCCTTGATGAATTGTCTGTAATTGTTGCACAGTTTTCATGGGGTTTTCTTTTTCTTGGGAATTTATAAGAACTGTATTCATATTAATATTTACTAGAATTTTTTCTCAGTTTATGTTGTTTGTTTATAAGTGGTTTTTTGGCCACTTTTTAATCAGTTGTGTTCTTTTTTGGCTCCTAGGGTTTATGTCATAATTAAAGTTCTTCATGTGCCTTAAAATGTACTTTTAAAAATTTCAGCCATATTTTCTTTGAACATTTTTATGGTTTCACATTTTTATGGTTTCACATTTTCAGATTAAATGTGACATTTCTGGATGTTATTTTGGCTTAAGGAATGAAGATAGAGATGCTGCCTTAAGTTTCCCAAATGGCCAGCCGCTGTCTCCACGCCGTCATTCAGACATTCTGTTTTCTTCCTGTGGAATCCTTCAGTTTGGGATTTTCTGACTGATAAATGTGTTGTGTTTAGGGTGCAAGCTGCATATGTGAAGTTGCAGGACTCCCACAGAAATTAAGAATGCTGTTGGTTTTTGCTGGGTTAGGAGACAAGAGGCGTATGTGTCAGACAGGAAATCTTAGAATCTGTCAGGTTCTGGGAGCAGAAAGAAAACTTCTAAGAGGGGACTGCAGTGTTCAGGTTGCAGTTTCACCCCTAGTGTATCATGGGGGTTAACCCTTTCTGCAAAAAAGATTCAGTCTAAACTAAGGAAACAGTTTTTCATGAAAATATCTTTGACGTTGAATGTTCTTAAATAAATAGCATTTGTTTTTATAGAAGTTTGACTCTATAGTTAGTCTAAATTTGTAACTAACTCACTAGAATTCATCAATCCTATTAAATGGGAGACAGTGTAATATTACTGAAGTGGTGGATGGAGTTTTATGAGTAGTAAAAGTTAAGACTAAGTATATAGTTAGTAAGCTGAAATATACCTCTGAGGATTCAGCCTCCTTATTTTATCATCAAAGGCCTAAAGTGGAAGTAGTGAAAGTTTTGGAGTTAGGACAGTGTCGCAGTTGTTGTCGACTGTAACCTGCATTACAAAACATCAAGTGGTTGAAGGAAAAAGGGGGAAATGGCAGCTGTGACTGTGGCATGGATGAGGTTGTGAGATGTAAGGGGGACATCTGAGTTCGGGAGGCGAATGAAACCTCTCAGCTGCTTTTAGTTCTTGCCAACGAATGGTAGCAAATAGGCCTGGTGTAGTGGCTCCTGCCTGTAATCCCAGCACTTTGGGAGGCTGAGACAGGTGGATCACCTGTGGTCAGGAGTGCGAGACCAGCCTGGCCAACATGGAGAAACCCCGTCTCTACTAAAAATGCAAAAATTAGCCAGGTGTGGCGATGGGCCCCTGTAATCCCAGGTACTCAGGAGGCTAAGGCAGGAGAATCGCTTGAACCCAGGAGGTGGAGGTTGCAGTGAGCCAAGATTGTGTCACTGCATTCCAGCCTGCATAACAGAGCAAGACTCTTGTCTCAAAAAAAGAGAGAAAAGTCAAGTAAGAGTTGAGCTGTGGGTAGCCGACAGGTTCTCTGTGTTGACACAGGACAAATTTGGGATACATAGATGAGCATGTTTAAGACTTAGAGTGGAAAAAGGGTATCTATGAATTAGTTACGTTTTCTCTGAAGCTTCCTATGAACTGAAAAGAACAGTGCCCTCCGACATACATGGGAAAGGAGGACGGGTTTCACTGCTTGCACATAAGACCAGCATACAGTTTTCCATGTTTAAAATTTGAATGCAGCAAAATCTAAAACTTAAGAATCATCTTACGAACATCCGTGGGAAATGTACTTTCAAAGCTTATTGATTTGCTTAAAACCCAGATATGACTCCCAATAGTTCTTGTCTTCTTTATTCTAAGTATTTAAGCATAAACTGCAGTATATTACTTTAAAGTATTTTCTGAGACCTATGAACTTCAGAGTCAAAACATTTCACTTGGTAGTATTTGTCAAGATATTAAATTTAGTTAGACTCCATGAAAAATTATAGAAGATAAGCCAACTCAGAAATGTATTTATTCTTCTGGTTTTAACCCATTTATGCTGGAGGTTGCAGATTTTTTTGTGAAAAATCAGGCCTTGGTGATGATCTTGAGCAGTAGGACACAAATAACTCCCACAAGCTTAGCGTTGCAGTAATGGGACCCTAGGCAGAAATGGGTTAAGATGAACATGGAGCTTAATTTGAATCAGGTGCATATATTTTGACATTTTTTTGGTAACGTATCATATTCCCACACAATTAAAAAATGTCATTGGTATATGTAGAACCAGCAGAGAAATGCAAAACATTGAACGATAATGTTAGTGTAGACTATATGTGATAATTTATGAATAATATTTAATGGGCATAGATGAATGGTGTAAAACATTCTGTAACATATTTGTCTTCATTACAGTATAGCTAGGGCCAATTCTTTAAATATAACTTTAGCAGCAGGATTTCTGAATTTTAAATTATGGCTTCAGTTGAATGAATTACTCTTAAAATAAATGGTTTTTGAAGGTACTTGGCAGATTTAACCTTTCAAAATAGCCTGAGGCATTATGTTTGGGACCAAAACCACCAGCATTCTCCAAATGAGAAAGAATTAATTTCCAGGATTAAAATAGGATTTTGAAAACAGAAGCTTCATACTGAAGAGACAGACACATGATGAGTTGAGGTCATTGACAGCAACAGCAGAGAGATTCAGGGATTCAGGATTTTGTTTCAAATCCTGCAGCCTCATTCTGTTGTCACTTAATACATACTGCCCTCCTACCTCTTGTGGAATCTCCTTAGCATCATAGCCCAGACTTGAGACCTCAAATTAGGAAATAGATGGCTGACGACTCCAGACTCACTGATGAGGTTTAGAACTCGTTCTGTCATACCAAGCACTTAATTCCGGTGCTTAGAAACATTCGGTATTTGTTGAATGAGTGAGTGCCTTATTTTGGTTAGAGAAAAAGGTTAGTTTTCATGTTGTACGAGTACTGCTATTGGAACCAAGAGTTGTGAATACACAAAAATATATTTCTGAGGGCCAGGCTATTGTTACGGTTTAGCATTACACTGACCTTTCTTGCCCTGGCACATACACACACACACACACACACACACACACACACACACACACACACACATATGTGATCTAAGTAGCTGACTTCATTAAAATATTGTTAAATTTAACTCTATTAAAAATAAATGTTTGGCCAGGTGCGGTGGCTCACGCCTGTCATCCCAGCACTTTGGGAGGCCAAGGCGGGTGGATCATCTGAGGTCAGGAGTTCAAGACCAGCCCAGCCAACATGGTGAAACCCTGTGTCTACTAAAAATACAAGAATTAGCAGGCATGGTGGTGGGCACCTGTAATCTCAGCTACTTGGGAGGCTGAGGCAGGAGAATCGCTTGAACCCAGGAGGCAGAGGCTGCAATGAGCTGAGATCCATGCCACTGCACTCTAGCCTGGGTGACAGAGTGAGACTCTGTCTCAAATAAATAAGTAAATAAATCAGTGTTTTATAATCTCAGGAAATGAATCAAATATGACTTTAGCTTTGTAGAACCAACTTGGATTTCAGTTGTTACGATACCCAGCGGCTAACAGGATAAGACGGGCACCACTCCATTCAAAATAGGATTGTGATTCTCTGTGTAGAAATGTGTACATTTTCATTTTTCTGTGATAAAAATGGCTTCTAATATTTTATATTTTAGTGTCATGTTAGAGATTTCATTCCATGCTCATTTGTTCATTCACATGTATTTTTATTTTTAGCTCTAAGCGAAAGACATGAGGCCTCAGCCTGAAATGAGGTTGTTTTGAGGTCATCTGATTTCTGACTAGAAGGTGAGCGATCGCCTCGTCCTGAAACCACTTCAGCCCGCATGGTAAATGGCAAAGCCAGCGAGAGGGAGGCCTTCATGTGTTTCCGTGTCTGTGCTGCCCCAGTTCCTTCCTCTTCAAGATTAAAAACATTTTAAAGTTGTAAACCAAAGGTATTAAACAACATACTGACATATCGTACCTAAATTAGCTCAAATGTTTTACAAAAGGGCTTACATCATAAATGCTAATTAAACCTTTTAGAGCTGTTTTAACATGGCTTTTTAAAGTGAGCTCTTGTGAGCTACCTAATCAGCAACAAAATATTTATTATATGAAAAAACCTGAGCCATTAGGAGTTGGAGATTGAAATTTTTTTTTAAACAATAGGGTTTTGCTCTTAAACAAAAGGGAATCCAGACTTACAGGTTTTTAGACTAGAAAGTAAGGATTCTTGCCACAACTTTTTTTTCTATGTTAAAGAATTGTAATGTTTTATGTATGTGTGTGTTTGTTTATTTTACTTTTTAAAATATGATGTGCCTTTGGAGAATGTTAGTTGTATCAGTTAGCTTTAAGCTATTACATGTTCAAATATATTTTTTGGTTGAAGATAATACAGTGGCTTCTTTTTACATTTTAGTAAAACTTTTTTGGGTGGAGGGGAGTGTTATTTAATTATTAAATGTATTCTGATGGACCATGTCCTTTTAAATATGTTGAGGTAGTGGAGCTTATAAGGCAGTTACTATGTTTAACTCTCCTAAAAATAGAATTCCAAAAAGGTTTTTGCTTGGAGTTCAGATTCACACTAAGCTATTATTTCAAATAAGTGGTTGTTTACGCCACTTCATTTCTTTCACTACATGTAACAGCATTAATAACAAATATAGTATCACAGATTTACTTATGTTTAGCCTAAATTGTGCAGTCATTTAATTGATGAGATGGTGAGAAAATTAAATTTCATCTCATTCTGGAGGGTGCTACAGAAGGCAAATTGTAAGGAACTGAAAACATCATCATTTTTTAAAAGTCATCTTTATTTTCATGTTTCTCTTCTGGAGACTCAGTTGTCATGTAATTCTGTGTTACTTAATTTCCCTACAAACAGTATTTTCTTACTGCTTAATCTCAGATGTTGAGAGTGATTTAACATTTATAAAATGTGTTCTTTTTCTTCATGTATGTGGCTTTCTGTAATGATAGGGAGAATTATTCACATACACTAAGAAAAAATTACTCACAAGCTGGCCATGGAAATCTGGGCCCCATTAGGTTGACTGGGAGAGCAGTGATTTTATGTGTGTGGGCTCTTAATAATTTCTGCTTCCCCAGGCCAGCTTCGCCTTGTTCTTAAAGAAAAACCAGTGTGCACTCAGTGGTTCTTTGTTTGACCATATCTCCTGATGTGTTGTTTTATGCTTTTGGAAATATGAACTCTGAACTCTTGATTTTCTGTGGAATAATTAAATAAGCTGGTCTAAGTAGCATGGTCTTTAAGCCTATAGTAAATGTTTTATTCATACAGCTCACTTTTGTATATTAATATTTTTAATGAGAAATAATACTGATGTTTTTACTTTTGGAAATTTTGATTTCTTTTGCCAAAAAATTGTTTTTTTTTCTTTTTCAAAAAAGGCCTACCTCTTTGTGGTTAGAACAACTTTGAAGAGCATCTTTCTTAGTTCATGTGCTAAAAGTTAATGTAATAGAAGCACAAAGACTGTAACCGCTATTACTCGACTAAAAAAATAGTTTCTAAAAGTATGAGATGCATAAGAACAAAATCTATAATTTTAGTTATGCATCTGAATGTCTGTCACCATGATGACAACTTTTAAAAGAAAATAAAGACAGAACTAATGCCACTTTAAAGGCTCAAATTATGAATGTGGAGATATTTTGACCCAGTAAATACTCTATAATTAAGTAGGTGGTGTGGATGAGTATTGTGTAATATTTATTTTGCTTTATGAAAACTGCCTTGTTTTTAAATAAAACTTTAATGTTAGACTTAAGAGCTTATAATGGTAAGACGATAAAAAGTATTAACTTAAAATGTTTTGAAAATTATAAAAGTAATTATTGACCATTTCTAAGAAAGTCTTTCCTTTGACATTGTTTAATTTGTTTCCTTTTTGTTTTTTAGGTTTGCAATTTTTTTTGGTGATGGCATGTTCAGAATCTTGGATCCCTAAGTTCAATATATTGGACATATTTAGGAACTCTGGAAATTATGTTGTTTTCACATATCTAGTAACTTACTAGATGAATCAGTAGATTTCATTAAAGTATATCTAATAACAGATAATTATGATGTACTTCTGGGTTGACATGCATGTCTCTCATTATCAGCTATCAGTATTAGTGTCATGCTTTGGAGACAGTTATCTTTTGAAGGTTTTGGGGTTCTTATGAACCTCATTTTTCCCAGGAAGTTTCTGTAATTCCTCCTATGCCTATTCTTGTCTTTTCTGTCTGCTTGCAGTGTAAGTTATTTAGATCAGAGGCAATTATTTTTCAGGAAGAAAGAAATCATCAAGTGACACTCCTAAAGGCAGTAAAGACAAAATTTCAGTCTGGAACCGGTCTCAGAATGGCCTGTATTAGAATATGCAAAGTCCACCCAAATTATATCCAAATATACTTGTGGCACAGTGCTACCAGTTTTTAAAATGAGACGTTACTATGTAGGGCAGAAGTGCCAATGAGGAGAGAGAAGGAGCTGTTCAGTTTGCCCTCCAGCCGCCACCTCCTTCTATTATTGGCTGAATGAATTAGTGCAAAATTAGTAGCCAAAAGGGTAGACAGTGTGAATGGAAGGGAGGAGAAGGACAGAAACTTTAATCTCCAGGAAAGCTTATTTATCCTTTAAAAAATGGAAAGTTGGGCAGGCGCAGTGGCTCACGCCTGTAATGCCAGCACTTTGGGAGGCCGAGGCGGGCAGATCACGAGGTCAGGAGATCGAGACCATCCTGGCTAACACAGTGAAACCCTGTCTCTACTAAAAAAAAAAAAAAAAAAAAAAAAAAATAGAAAAAGCCAGGCGTGGTGGCAGGCGCCTGTAGTCCCAGCTACTCGGGAGGCTGTGGCAGGAGAATGGTGTGAACCTGGGAGGCGGAGCTTGCAGTGAGCCGAGATCGCACCACTGCACTCCAGCCTGGGCAACAGAGCAAGACTCCGCCTCAAAAAAAAAAAAGGAAAGTTGAGTGTATTCCATGTACCTGAACATGCTATTTAAAACTGTGGGCTACTTTCAGAATGTAGACTAATGTGTTCTCGACCATTGGAATGAATGAGAATTTGTATTTGATAGGAAAGTCAGAAAGTCCTCGAGCGGCTATCTTTTTTTCTTACCTGTTCCTGGGATTAAGAAACTTGAGAAGCATTCTGGGGCAGATACATATGATGGTCAAGTAATTGACCAAAACAGGGAAAGACTGACTTTTAAGACGACATTCAGAGCAACTTGGAAATGGATCAAGGGGAAAGAATGAAGAGAATGCACGGAACTATAGAGACTGAGTAGAAGCTCAGTGGAATGTTCGTGTATTCGTTTATTGAAAGTTTGATGGTTGGTGGATTATCCAGTATTTCCGAAACTAGTGTATAGCAGAAGTTTTCATAACATTTCTATTAGATGGCTTTTGGAAGCTGAATAGTCTACCCCAATACCCCTGGCTCCTTTTTGCTTTGCTTGTTTTAAGAGAAATTGGCTGGTAATGTATTTAATATAAAGCACAGTGAAAACATAAAGTAGGTTTTTTAAGGCCAGGCGCAGTGGCTCACGCCTGTAATCCCAGCACTTTGGGAGGCCAAGGTGGGCTGAGCACTTGAGGTCAGGAGTTCAAGACCAGCCTGGCCAACATGGTAAAACCCCATCTCTACTAAAAATACAAAAATGAGCCGGATGTGGTGGCGGGCACCTGTAATCCCAGCTACTCAGGAGGCTAAGGCAGGAGAATTGCTTGAACCCGGGAGGTGGAGGCTGCAGTAAGCCGAGATTGTGTCACTGCACTCCAGCCTGGGCGACAGAGTAAGACTCCATGTCAAAGACAAACAAACAAAAACAAAAAAACAACATTAAGTAGGTTTTTAAAAGTCACGTTAAATTTTAATCTGAACCTCTATTGGCTGTTTAGTCATTTTCTTATTATGACAGGCTTTTAGAAACTTTTATTCTGTGATGCTTTCGTCAGTAGAGGTGTTTCCTCTTAGCCAGTTCTAGCCACAATATTGACTGGGCCCAGGCATTTGCTACACTCAGAAGGAATTAACCAGGCAGGAGAAAACTTGGTCCCTACTGGAATGAATAGTTTAAAGGCCATCTTAGATGCTGAAAACTCTGAGCACAAATGAAAGCGACCCAAGAAGGAAAAACTTCAGAGCCTAAGAATAAAAAATGGTGGTAGGGTTGGGGGATAAACTCGCCCAGAGCTGACTTAAAGTGCTGTCAGGGAAGGAAGTGCCTTTCCTGGGGAGGATGAGATGGTCCATGCCGGGTCTGGAGCTGTGGGCGTTCTGATGTTGGATAGCCCACCCTAGCAGGCTGCAGTGTCTTAAGGGTAGTGGCATGAGATCTTTGGAAGTATCGATACATTTCCTAACAGTGAGTTTGAGTTTGTTCTGGTATGTTCTGAATGGATATGTGGCTCAAAGATTAACTTAGCTAAAAATAAGTATATTAGATATTAGGGAAATATTGTTAATAAAGGTCTTCTGTCCCTGTTGGATAACTTTAGAAAATAATGTAGACAACTGAACGTAGTGGAGATGATGGCATGAATACAGTCAGGGTTTGATGCTTGCTTCCTAGAAACTTCCTAGAAATAGAACACATCTAGACATAGGGAAATAAGGTTCCAAAGAAAACCTTACACTTTTATTCAGATTTTATGTTGGCCTCAGTTGTACTAGAAAAGCGTTTCAGTATGTGTCTCTTGGGGAATCTGCACCTTCTTGGTCACTGCACTTCATAGCCCGGCATATCACTGAGAATTCAGAAATCTGACTCTTTACCCAGGGACGAATACATCGTTATGAGTTCAGGTGCACTAAATACATAGGAACACCCAGAGAAAATGAGCCCGAAACAATGGTTCTTTTTATTTTGGAAGTTTCAGACAAACTCTTTGGAAAATTGAAGAAATCTATGGATCCTTTTCCTGGGAAGACTGTACAGACATACGTATTCGTGTGGTTTCTGTGGGTGTAGGGACTGGCCCTGGTCATGTGTCAGGAAGCCCCAATCCAGAAGATCGTCTTCATTTTACCTTGGCCGGTGATCTGACTCTGTTCTCGCGCCCATCTGTGGTTGATTCTCTGTCGCCTTGGAATGGAGCATCAGATCTTGAAGGTCGCTCATTGCTTTTCCACGCATAGAACTGAGCCACATGGCAAGAGCTTCCTAATGAAATGGACGGAAACTCTCTGCAAAGGGCTGCCCCAGAAGCACGGGTGATAGAAATAGAGTCCAAGGCACTAAGGCCGCTGAGCCACAGTCCTCCTAGGCAATGCCTCCTGCTGGCTTAGTGGGTTTATTTCATAAGTTGAGTACTAATGTCCTGTTTTTTAAATGAACATATTTCTTCTAACATTTCTAACAATTATGAAGATTTTCTCCCTAAGTGTGACTTTTTCTTATGTCTTGGGGTATCAGATTTACAGCGTAACATGTGTACTTCAAATTGTAGTAGTGACTGGAAATTTAGGATTCTGTTGTTTCATAACACTTAAATCTGCAGCAGATTTTCAGGAAAATGGTCAAGATTCACAGATAATTCCTTCCTTATTCCTTACAGATTTTACAATTGTATGGTTATTTCTGAATTTGGTTAATTTGTTTATAAGTGTAGTGGACATTTAACAGAACAGATGCACCCGATTATCTGATTAGAAATGTGTTTCAACACACGGGTCCCTTTGCGTGTTTCCAATCTCTGTTTTCGGATCTGGGATTCTCCACCTGTTACATCGTTCACTGGAACTTTCCTACAAAATACAGCCTCGCTGAGAGGCGCATCGTGGAAAAATGAAGCAGCCTGAAGAAACTCTAATATTGGGACCGAGTGGAGAGATGGAAGAGCATCATCAGAGTGGTGCCGCCGCACATGCGGGAGGCGTCCCAGGCAGCATTGCTCTTTGTACATGAGACAGGATACCACTGTCTTTTATGCATTAGACTGGTAACCAGATAAAATAACCTTGTAAAACAGATCTTTTATGTAAGAAAAATACAACTCTCACCTCGCAAACATTCCTGTCTGTTGCGGATGAACCTAGCAGCAGGAGAGGAGCCAGGGTCAGTCCACTTGGCCTGAAAGTTAACGTCATATATTCAGATGTCAAGGGGTTTCTGTGCATGCTTTTGAAGTATTGTGTTTGGGCTTTTACAACATGTGCCTCACTGTTTCGCATCTACAGAGAGAGTGCCGCTGAGAGAGGAGCCTGAGTGGATCCGTGCCCAGATCTGCATTCTCTGTCCTCACCACTTCTCCCTGCTGGTTGATATAAATGTGGGGATAACGTCGAGCACAAAGGAGTCAAAAATTGATCAGGGCTGGGTGTGGTGGCTCACGCCTAAAATCCTAGCACTCTGGGAGGCCGAGGCAGGAGGACTGCCCAAGGCCAGGAGTTAACATAGCAGGACCCTGTCTCTACAAAAAATAAAAAAAATCAGCTGGGCATGGTGGTGTGCACTTGTAGTCTCAGCTGTTTGAGAGGCTGAGGCAGGAGGATCTCTTGAGCCCAGGAGTTTGAGCATGCAGTGAGCTGTGATCGTGCCACTGCACTTCATCCCAGGCGATGGAGTGAGACCCCATCTCTTATTTAAAAAAAAAAAAAAAAATTGGAATCCTGTTTATCCGTGTTGCTTTTCTTTGCCAAGTAATCATAGTACAGTTCCTTTCTAGCCCTTTGAAATGTTGCTCATTTTTAGCCCTTTTGTCATAAGTCAAGATAGAAGCATCACAGTTTGTTCCATCTTCTTTCCTCTCATTGTCATGTTTTGCTCTGGGGATGGGAGGTTTTCAGTTGCCTTAAAGAGTTCACTTGCTGCCCTTGATTTCTGTCTCCCTTCCTGTAGCTTCTTGTGGGGAAGTAGAATAGATGTGGGCTGAAGGATCTGGGTTGTCTAAGGTTTGCCTGTAAACATTTTGTAACGTTGTATCTTTTTTATTTTTTTTTTTTTTTGAGATGAAGTCTCACTCTCTTGCCCAGGCTGGAGTACAAGTGGCATGATCTCAGCTCACTGCAACCTCCACCTCCTGGGTTCAAGTGATTCTCCTGCCTCAGCCTCCTGAGTAGCTGGGACCACAGGTGCCCACCACCATGCCCAGCTAATTTTTTGTATTTTTAGTAGAGACAGGGTTTCACCATATTGGCCAGGCTGATCTTGAACTCCTGACCTCAAGTGATCTGCCCACCTCAGCCTCCCAAAGTGCTGGGATTACAGGCATGAGCCACCGCGCCCGGCCAGCATTGTATCTTAAAGGTAGCCTTTCAGTTGTTTGGATGACAGTTGTCTCCACTGGACATCTGCTTCATGCCAGGCCCTCTCCTGGGTGTTGGTGTGTCCACTCTTCCCTCCAACCACCATATTCCCTTGAGGCCAGGAATGGACCTAAGGGTGCCTCAGGCATGGGAAGACCCGATACCGGCCTCTCTGGAGCTCGCTGGCTTCTGGAGTTCTGAGTTAAGGAGGTAGTTGAAGAGACCCATGTATGACCCCCAGATGCCAGTAAAACTAATCATGTGCAGGGAAGGTGGTCACGTCAATAAGATTTTGAAAGCAAGATTCATCAAAAAATAGGCCAGATTTGCAGTCCCACATGAACCTGCATTGAACCCTCATTGACTATCCAGGTATGTATTACTTTAAAAAAATAAAAACTAACATAACCTTAAAACATATTAGCAAATTTCCCTGACACACTGAAAGTAGGATATTATTCTAAAATTTTTCCTTTATGTATGTAGCTTTTTAGAAACCCTACAAATGTGTTTTGTGTAAAAGGATGTAGTCTGCAATCATTTTCTGACTCTTGGTGTAATAAAAATTAAGTGGCCTAATTATTTAAAAGCTTGTCGTTTGAAATTATTTTTTGAGAAACAGTTTAAAGCATGATACTATTTTTGCTTTTCATGTAATGTATAAGTATTCGCAGAAGCTGCTTGTATATGTTTGTGTTCCATGTATGAAAATGTTGTAAACAGGGTCCATGTATTTCCCCAGTGAGAGTTGCTGATCTTTTGGCTGTAATTACCAAGTGCTTGAGGTTGGGGTGGCTGGAAATGAATATCAAGCTTTTCGGTGCCTGGAGCCAACTTTGTCCAAATAAAAGAGCTTTGTACTGTGAAGGAATTTTACTAAGTAAATTTTGTTTAAAAAATCCACGTGAATTAAAGGAAAGGAAATGAAGAAGAAGATCGTATCAATACGATGATCTAAATCAGTGTTCTGCAACTTTTCTACCCAGTCATCAGTGGGAGTGAATCAGTAGGAATGTGGGGAAGGGAGTGAGGGGAGACCCCCTTCTTGACTCAGCAGTGGTGACGGTCGGTGTGTCCTGCAGACCTGAAGCCAAGATCAAGGGCGCTTGAGCACCAGGAGCCCCCGCAGTTCCTGAATGACCAGCGGAGGGCAGGTGCCAGCCTGTGGCAAAATAGGAAAGAAAAGGACAGGATGGGGACTTCACCATTTTTTTCAGCCTTAAATTGTTCCTTAAACCTTCATGTCCTTTTCTCTAATGTATGTTCTTGTTTGGTAAAATAAAAAAGTTTGTAACCCTGAGTTCTCTAAAGATATACATTCTTTTTTACTGGTTTGTGAAGTCAGAAGGATGAGAGCTGCTATTTCTTGGAACCGTGCAATAAATATTAGCATATTCAGTCTCAGTTCTGCCTAGAGGACCTATTTGCTTTTCTTTATCTCGTAACCCATAACTCACAGGACATTAACCAGGGTGTCCAAGAACAGTCTGGGAAAGTTTTGATAATTACTTCAGCATTGCTGTGTGATGGGAGACATTGTTTTAAAAACCGAATGTGGTAGAGGTTAAAAGGACAGCCGTCACCATCCTGTTTCAACCAACGCTTGACTGAGAACTCTTTCTGGAAATCTCTCGAACAGACTTCCAAAAGTTATATGTGAAAAAGCACTGAAACCTCACATAACGCAAAGATCCACTGCAATACAGGCATTTAGGAAATCATTTACACTACCTTGCTGATCACTTTTCACACTTGATCTTAGCCAAAAGGCCAAGAAGCGATGTGGATAACTTTTCAACCTGTAAAATAGCCACCAATCTGCAAAAAAACTAATTGAACACTAATAAATGACCAAAATTGATGCAATGGTTATAACTGGTATTATTTTTATTTCTGATCATCTACAATATCAAGTTTAAGACTGACTGTATATGTCACAGTTTTGTGTGATTAACTACTTTTATTAATTGTCTTTAAAGAACTGCACAAAAGCGCCCTGAAGGAAGAGAAACCAAGGATGAATCCATGAGGGATTCGGGCTGTGTGGCGATTGCCTTCATTTTCCCAGTGGAAGGACATTTTCCAGAGAAATTTATGCTGAATACCCATTTTTATATCTCGCCCGATTGAGTGCCAATCACTGTGCCAAGGGCTGTATATATACTGTGTCAAGGAGAAAATTTCCAAGAAAGATACTGAGATTTCTTCCTTGGCCTATTTAAAATTGGGGTTGATACTCTTCCTCAATGGATGCCGGCAGGCAGGAAGTTCAGAGGAAGTCAGTGATCTCCAGTCAGATTCACAGTTCTCCAAAGTGTGTCCTTTTATTTCCCAGGATCTTGCAAAACTCGTGCTGAATTGCTCATTAGGGAAAGCTTGCCATACGCTACATTAAGTGTTTCCCTTAGAGACGTTTTCTTAGGAGGCCCGACATTGAATTATTAAACCCTGGGCTATGATTAGTGAGGCAGACACCTGCTTTCTGTATTCTGTGGGACTTGAAAGCAAGAATGAAATTACTGAATAAAATGAAATTGGTACGAGGGATATTTTGGACTTCATTTGCAGTATTACTCCGCATCTCCTCCCAAGGGTACGACAGCTGTCAGCAATGGCTTTTAAATTCCGCAACAGTGGAAGGCATTACTTTGCCATTAAAATTTTGAATTGAATTTATTTTGAACATTCCCAATTTTGCAGCAGAGAAAAGATGCTAAATCAATACTTATTGAAATGATTTTGCCTAAAATATGACATGATCAAAAATTGTGTCGATTTGCAGTTTTGTATTTTGAAGAGAAAGCACAAGTTTTTGACTGGGTACCTTGACACAGAAGCAGGGAGTTTATCTCAGTCTCCCTCCAAAGCAAGCTCCATTTTTAGTCAAATAGTATCTCAGAAGTTCTCCCTTAGGAATTAGGATTTTCTTTACTACTTGAATGGTTCTCAGTGACCCTTTACAGCCCCATTTTGACCTTAGAAACCCACATCACAGAATGGATTAGCATGCCATTTTAAAAGCCCCATTTGTGGAATCTAGAAAATATTGAGATCATTGTCAGGTAGTTTTTCCACTTTCAGAAATAAAGAATTACCTTTCCAAATGCGAGCAACTATGTGGCTCTGGGACAGCTCAGACTGTCTCCCTGAGTTCTTGTGGGGCCTGATTCAGCTGGTCTCTGGCTGGGTGGCTTGATTGAACTCCTGAATGTTTGAATCTCTTCATGATTTTAGGAAGTTTAAGGCAGGTGTTGGAGCATTGCTTTTCACACTACCAGCATAAGCAATTCCTGTGTCTTTTTTGTTCATCTCTCTAGGAAGTCACTGTAACAAATTGTAGTTTCTGTCTTCTCCCTGGATTTTATTTTTTAGATTTATCTGTGTAAATTGAGATTAAGTAGGATTAATTCAGTAGCTGCCATTTCTTCTAAAATTAAAAAAACTGCCATCAGCAACTGATCTAAAACTCCATCTTACACTAGTGTTATGTATAATATATCAATCTTAAATTCTGGCAAAAAAATGAGAATTTGGTCTGAGTGGAGTAAAAGACTGCATAAAAGCCGTTTCTCTAATCTTTGTGTGCCTGGTCTTTGCCTCCAACCTTCCTGGCTGTCTTTCCTCATGAGGTTGATGACCACCTTATAGGTTTGAAACTCAGAGCAAGAATAAGAAGGCAGTGATGGAAGGGAAGTGTCCAAGGATGGGGTGAAAATCCTCCAAATGCAGCCAGTTCTGAGCTAGGGACAGGCAGTGTTGGTTTCTCTCTAGGTTTTCATGAATGCTGAGCACTGCACATTAACTCTTCCCATGTCAGCTCTGTCCCTCCTCATCTTCCTCTTGCCTGATGGAAACTTTGAATGCTGAAGTAGCCTTTCAGTGGCACGAAACTGTTTTAGCACACTTACACTGGTGCCTCGGTGGGCTTCCGGTTGTGAGTGGGCAGAATTTTCCATAGAGTTAGGTTCTGCTGAATTATTGAAAAGATCACATTTCTCAACAATTGGTGTTTGTCCCCTTCCATTCTTGCTTCCTGTCTGTCCCCACCTTTTTCAGAATGAGAGTACAGCAAAATTGTCTTCTCAGAGAGCTATTCGGTAGGGGAACTTGAGAAGCACAGTGCAGCTGGACATAATGTTTAAGTAAATTCTTTATTTTTGCACATTGATGATGCTTACTAGACTTCAGGCACTGTTCTGGGCTCTTGGGAAGCAAAAGACACAAAGCATGGAGTTGCCATTCTAGCAGCGGTAAACTAACGGCATAAATGAATTTGAATATGGGAGAGCTCATGGGAAAGAGCAGGCAAGTCCTCGGGATGCTGGGCTGGGATGGAGGGCAGGTCTCAGTATTCCAAGACGAACTTGCAGGGGAAAAGATGTGAAAAAGACGATGTTTATGTCAGTTGGGATTGACCCACAGGTTTGTCTTAAGGAAGAAAAGAACTGTTGAAATTTTTCAGCCAGTGACTGCTTTTCCAGCCACTCCTGGACCCATCCAGAAGCCCTCGCTGTTTCTAAATGTTGCTGGACACATCCTCCTCGTTTCTCCCGCTGTCATTCCTCTTTCTCAGATGGCATCCGTGACATTATTTATGGAGGTGGGCATGATTGTAACAAACTAGACTGCAAGATACAACACTAAAATTGTGGCGGGTCCGTAAGGGAAGGAGAGCGTTTCTAGATGGGGCCTTAAAGGGTGAGCCACATCCCTAAAGGGCTTAGGAGGACACTCCAGGCCGAGATAAACCCACAAACTAAACAGCATGAGGAATGGTGAGCAGGGTCAAATGCAAGGGTGCTTAGAATGCAGATCACGGAGGGCTGCAAACTTGATGCTAAGGAGTGAGAGTTGCACAGGAGAGGCCACTTCCATCTTCCAGGACTTCTCTCCTGTGAGAGTTTCCACCAAGGAGGGGGAAAATTCATTGGCTCTTGTGGATTCCCAGTTTTTAATCTCTGGCAGATGAGGAACAGAAGAGAAGGTGGTTAGTAAAAATTTCCTGTCTTCCATCTCTCCATCCTTGTTTTTCCAAAATTCAGACAACTTTTTATCATAAAAAATGACATAATTTGTAAATAATTTTAGAGAGTGCACAAAAATGAACAGAACAAAATTCACTAGGTCACTGCTGCTAATACTCCATTCATTGTCATTTCAGATTCCTTTGTTCTCAGCCGTGTACAGTGTACGTTATCCAATCACGGCATCTTTTTCAAGGCCGCTCTGCATGAATATAACCAGCTCCCTCTTGCTGGAAGTCCAGCAGTTTACAATTCTTGTTATTCAGGTTCTTTCCAATTTTTGACTCTTATAAACTCAGTTTCAATGACTCTCGTGTATAATTTCTGCACTTACCCAAATATCTCTTGCTATAAATTATGGACACTTTCAAAAATTGGGATGTCTGTAGCTGAGGTGCACAGTACTAGAATTCTGTACTGCAAATACTACCCGTGAGCATTGTGTGTGTGCACGTGTGTATGCTTTTCAAAGCGTTTTAGCGACAGCCTCTTTCGTCCGATGTGCGTGGTACCACTGCAGGGTGGGTAAGGGAGATGGAGGTCTCTCCAGGAGATGGGTGAGGAAACTGTCTCCTAACCACTTCCTCCGGCACCACCTGCCCATAAAGTGCATGCCCCCGGCAGCACCTTCCCATAAATCACATTTGCGGCCACCTTTCAAAGCACTGACTCGGAGGCCAACGCCAACAAAAGCTTTTGTAGCATAAAATGATTGGGACAAATCATAGCCAAACTAAAAACAGAACTTCCTACCTTCCTCCCCAGAAACTGCTTTGATTCCTAGTTCAATTAGCCTAATTAGGCAGATCAAAGAGACAACACATTTTTCTGAGAAGATGAGAATCATACAGCAAAATTCTGTTGTGTTTCTCAGTGTAGGAAGTTGCTACAAGGGTTAAGTGTGAATGCTGTCTTAGTTGTAGGGGAAAGCACCTTCTGGAAGTGGTCTGATTGGACTTGCACACTTACAGTTGCTCAGTGGTGGCCTTCTATCCGTGCCATCCTCCCAGCCACTTCGTGGTCATAAGATCTCACGATAGTTTGTAGACTAAATCATTGCGTACTAAACACAATGAGTGGAACACAAAGTCTTAATTAAGGACTCCGTGTCCCATTAGGTGGAAGGCTTGGATTAGGTGGAAGTCATAAATTCTATTCTTTTTTAAAAATGAGGCCAAGTGGATTGGCTCACACTTGTAATCCCAGCACTTTGGGAGGTCGAAGTGGGTAGATTGCTTGAGCCCAAGAATTTCGAGACCAGCCTGGGCAACGTGGCAAGACCCCGTCTCTACAAAAAATACGGAAAATTAGCTCGGCATGATGGCTTATGCCTGTAGTCCCAGCTACTTGGGAGGCTGAAGTGGAAGGATCGCCTGAGTCTGGGGAGGTCGAGACTGCAGTGAGCTGAGATTGTGCTACTGCACTCCACCCTGGGCGACAGAGTTAGACCCTGCCTCAAAACAAAACAAAATGAAAAGAAAAAAAATGAGCCCTACTTAAACTGGCTGCACCCCCTCTCCCTCCCAGCGCCCAACCCGCTAGGGTGCCCTACTCCCCCGTGCCTCAGGGCCCTTGCATTTGCTGCTCGCTTTGTCTAGGATGCTCCTCCCCATGTGCTTATGGCTCCATCTCTGCTAAATTGTCTCCTCCGCAGAGAGGGCTCTGCCCAGCCTGTCTAGAGTGGCACCTCTGCCATGGTCTCCCTTAACTTCCTCATCACCTCCATCATGACCTCACATTATAGTTTTGTCTCCTCCGCTAAATATATGCTCAGGGAGGGCAGGGGCTTTGTTTTGTTGGTGGCTGTTTTTTCAAGACCTAGAACAATGCGTGAGACACATTAGAAATTCAATACCTATATAATATTTGAGCGAGTGAATGAGTAAATCCTTCATTGCCCTTGCCTAGGGAGTTGCAAGGAAACTTGGAGATTTTAAAGAATGTGGATTTAGAAGTAAAGAAAGTAAAGGAGTTATGAAAAAAATCCAGCGACTGTAAGAGAGGAGCTGATCTCAGAGCTCGCTCTCCAGGCAGGGCTGCCCTGCCCAGCAGTGCCATTCCTGCCTCCAGCCCCTTCTCTCCCAGAATTTTCACTTGAAGCCAGAGCCTAAAATTCCCCCAGTTGGAGGTTGACTTGTGCTAATGATAAGCATCATCTTTTAAAAATGTTTTAGTAGATTCAGCCATTTAACAGGTATTTATTGGGCAGCAGCAATGGTGTGGCTATTGTGTTAGAGGCCAGGGTGACAAAAGTCAGCTGGACAGCCTTGCCAAGCTTCCAGATTTTCGATGTGACTTTGGTTGGACGATTGCCCTCCTGCTGTACCCAGCTAAGAGAAGAGATCTGAAGAAAGGAGATGTGGTTCAGTGGAGCGGGAGCTGTAATAGGGTGCCTGCCTCTTCCCAGGGAGGTGGCAGCTGCTGCTTTTTGGACAGAGGAGGGCGAAAATGGACAGCGTGCCTACCTGGTGGGGCGTTGAGGGTGCCCAGGGGCTAGGGAAGGGGGAAGAAGCTCATTATTCTCCTAGACTATACCCATAAAGAAAATTCTTATTAATACCCCTTTCTATGTTACACCTACATGAGCTCAATTCAGAACCTAATAATCATTTTTTTTTCCATGGGGGAATGTTCCAGAAGTTTCCAAGATGCAAAGTCTATTTAAAACCAACTTTTGAAACAGAACAGAATTTGTATTTCTCCCTCCTAGCCCCACTTAAGATTCAAAAGAAAGTAAAGCTTTTTATTCGTCCAAGAATGTGAATAGACTAATAGTTAAGGGAACAAGATTTCTAAGAGGTTCTTATCACTTGTGCAAGCAATAAATAAATTATTCAAAAATAAACTTTCCACATACTATAAAAGAGGTACCTTGAACCTTTCTGTAAGGGATATTTAATTGGAAACAGGAACATAATTCAAACATGCATGACCACATAGTCATCCTAGCCTATGGAGAAAGCTTTTCGGCATAGTTCTGATGAGACAAGAGTTCCTGTCCCAGTTGTGAAATTACCAAGATACAGTTCCAAATTGTGCTTTCTGACACCTCGTATTCCGTGAGTGAGAAGTACACACAGCATTAGTAGCGTCAGGAAAAACTCGAGACTGCTAAAAATAGGACCTCAAGTTCACCGAGTCCACTGGGTCCTCTTGCTCACGTACCAGCTCTTAGAAATAATGCTACCAGGATTGACAGGCCTCCAGCTCAGTCCTCAAACTTTGTGTGTGTGTGCGCGCGCGCCTGTGTGTCGTGCATGTGTGTGTGCATGCGTGTGTGTGTGTTGTGCGTGTGTGAGTGCGTGTGTGTGTGTGAGAGAGTCACCTGGGGATCTAGTTCAATTGCAGATTCCAATTCGGTATTTCTGGAGTGGGTCGTGGGATTCTGCCTTCCTAACAAGCCGGAAGTCGAAGCCAGTGCTGCTGGTCTGTAAACTGCAGAGCCTAGCAAGGCTCTAGCTTGCCAACAACTTTCACAACAGTGTATGCTGGGGGAGCCCCCCTGCAAAATTGCACCGGTTCCCAGAAATCACCAGTCTCACCAGTTGATATTACGTATTTGATGGGCATGTGATTATTTTTGACTTCCACGTGAATTCTCATCTTGCCTTAGATGTTACTAACACTATAGCAAATAGCTTTAAAAAAAAAAACTGTAGAATTTACGATGTATTTAGTAATACTTTACATTTGTATAATTTTTTTTTTTTTTTTTTTTTGAGATGGAGTCTAGCTCTTGTCCCCCAGGCTGGAGTGCGGTGGCGTGATCTTGGCTCACTGCAGCCTCCGCCTCCTGGGTTCAAGCGATTCTGCTGCCTCAGCCTCCCAAGTAGCTGGGACCACAGGTGTGCACCACCACGCCCGGCTAATTTTGTATTTTTAGTAGAGATGGGGTTTCACCATGTTGACCAGGCTAGTCTTGAACTCCTGACCTCGGTTGATACGCCCACCCCGGCCTCCCAAAGTGCTGGGATTACAGGTGTGAGACACCGCACCCAGCCTGTATAATTTTTTTAACCAATATTTATTGCCTTTTTTTTTTTAAAAAAAAAAAGAAAATATTGCCCTGTGTGTTCAGCAGTGCTGGTATTATCTACTTTTACACATAAGAAAATGGGTTCAAAGTGGCATATTGCTCAAGTTTATGCTGGAACCCAAGTTTTCTAACTTCTCGTGGAATGTTTGCATTGTACCAACTCTGGCTGCAGTATTGCATCCTGAATGTAGAAGTGGTGAGTGGGAGGGTGTGACGAAAATGACATTTCTGGAAACCCAATGGGGAAAATACACAAATACTTTTATTATCACTTTGTGTCTCTTGAGGGCTTATGAGTGGGACCAAGTGGGCTAAGGAGACAAAGTCTATATGAGAGTTCTTAGCCTTGCCATGTCAGATGGCAAGTGTCCTGTTGCTGATGACAAACTTACTTGACTATCTCTGAGGAAATCAGATTTAACTTGACTCTAGGCAACCTTCCATCTTCTGGATGGAACTGAAACTTGAGAACTCAGTGGCATTGATTGATGGAGCACACCGTTCTCATCAGATGGTACAAAGGATGTGCAAATCATATGCAAGTGGGCGAAATCTCTCAGAATCTGCCATCCTGAAACCAAATGTCTTCATTCCAGCTAGATTTTCATTTGGTGTTTGGGTGACATTCAGTGAGGTCTTGAGTATGCATATTCTTCATATGGTATTTGTTGAAAAACAGCTAAAAACTGCAATACAAAGATAAGAAGACACCAACATGGAAGTCAGTTGTAGACTTTGTCGGCTGGAGCCCAAGGACCCAGCTGTTGGCAGGAGGCCTGCCTGTCCTGGGTTGATGGGATGTGGGGCAAAGTGGACCTCATGGGGGCCTTTGACTCTCATGGTTACTTTTTCCAGGAAAAGGCTGCTTGACTAACATCGGTCCATCTTCCTTTTCCAAGCATTTGCCACTGAGGAGTGCAATGGTAGCATGGAAAGCTTTGATCCGTCTGATACCTTATTCAGTTCAGATACACCAATGCCTTCGTTGTGCAGTATTCTAATGGTGTTTTGTTAAAAACATAATACATGTTCACTGCAAAAAATTAGAAATTAAAGGAAACTGTAAAATTATTTTTATTATTAAAGTTTTGTAACCTACTCTTCCGTGTAAAACTATTTGAATGTTCCACCAAATTTTGAGATAAGATTTAAAAGTATTTGTTGACAAGTTGGCATTCCATCAGATGGATGCATGCCAGCTTATCCAGGCATCTGTTACTGATGAACTTTTAGCCTGTTTCTTATTATGTAATAGGTTATGCTGCAAGGAAGTATCCTTGTACTGAATCTTTGTATACATCTCTGCTTATTTCCTTAGGGTAAATACTGAGAAGTGGAATCACCAATTCAAAAGATATTTTAAAAATATCTGTTGGATGAATTATTAACTTTTGTCACTGGTACATATATTTTCCCTCATTTATTCTTTAGCTTTGTTGATAGCATTTTTGACATTCAGAAAAGTTTACTTTTATCTAGTCAAATTTGTCAAGTTTTTATTTTATGCTTTCTTCTGCTCTTGTGGTTAAAAATGTCTTCCCAATCCAAAAATAAAATGACAATTAAAGTTAGTTTTAATCATAGACTTAATTGGAAAACAGTGGAATTACTAATTGGCAGCAAGTGTTTTGAGGAACATACAACCATGAATTAAATGTGGTCTAGTCTTAACCAGATATATGCATCAGAATCACCCGTTTGAGCTTTTAAATGTTACCAGTGCCTGGGTCATATCCCAGATCCACTGAATCAGAAAATGTTTTTGAAAAAGACCTTCCATAAGCCCACAAACTTACAAAGGAGGAGAGCCAAGTTGCACATGATATATACATATATATTTTGGCTTGAGTTACTCATTAGATTTATTGGCATGGCGGGTGCGTTTTGTCACAGTCAGTACATCTGTTCACTAGGAGAATCAGGCTGTCATTCTAGCTTCCAGAAGAAAGGAGATTCAGAACAGTGTGTGCTGGGGGAGCCCCTGCAAAATTGCACTGGTGCCTAAAAGCACCAGTCTCACAAGTCAGTGTTACCTATTTGACTGGCATGTGATCATTTCTGACTTCCATGCTGATTCTCATGCTTGTCTTAGGTGTTACTAACACTACAGCAAGTAGCTTCTTAAAAAGAAAAAACTTAGAAGATACAATATATTTAAGAATACCTTACATTCATATAATTCTTAAAACCAAGATTCATTGCTGTTTGATATATAGCAGAATCTCATTTGAGATGGAGGGTTGACCTTGCAGATAATATTTGCAGTTTGGGGAAAGAAAGTCAACCAAAAATGTCCACTTACGTATTTGCACAAACTTGAACGCTACTCATGAGTTAATATTGAAAATACATCCCTGTTTCTCTAGCCTGGAGCTGCAGGCTTTCTCGTTAAAGATTTTATAAGGAAATTTGCCTTTGTATCAGCCTACTTTTTTTCTTTCCAACTTTTACTTTAAGTTCAGAGGTACATGTGCAGGATGTGCAGGTTTGTTACATAGGTTAGCATGTGCCGTGGTGGTTTGCTTCACAGAGCATCCCATCACCCAGGTATTAAGCTCAGCACCCACTAGCTGCTCTTCCTGATGCTCTCCCTCCTTCAGCCTATTTTTTAGTGGCATTCTGTGTTTTAAAGAAGCAGCAGTCAGTCTGCAGGAGAGGAGAGGGAAGGTGCAGGCAGGCCTGGGCTTTGGGTAAGTAACTTGGGAATCTTGGAGCCTCAGAAATGATGATGCTGATGATGACATTGACAATGCTGACGTTGATGCCACCCCAGAGGTCTGTGAGGATGATAGGTGTGGTCATCTGCCTAGTGTCTGGCTGCTAGTAACCACTCCATCGATGTCGGTCCCACCAGCCCCCAGTCTGTGCACTGCAGTGGATGATTTGAAGTGGGGTATTTGGGAGACAGAGGGTTCCCAGGAGAAGTCCCTTTCTGTTTCTGAGGTCCTCTGATCCATTTGAGAGGGAAATTACAAATGCCCCCAAATGAAAAGTAGATAATGGCCGGGTGTAGTGGCTCTGGCCTGTACTCCCAGCACTTTGGGAGGTTGAAGGGGGACGATCACTTGAGGCCAGGGGTTTCAGACCAGTCTGGTCAACATAGTGAAATCCCTTATCTACCAAAAATACAAAACATTAGCTGGGCATGGTGGTGCACACCTGTAATCGCTGGTACTCAGGAGGCTGCAGCAGGAGAATCGCTTGAACCCCGGAGACAGAGGTTGCAGTGAGCCGAGATACATACATATATATGTATATATCATGTGCAACTTGGCTCTGCTCCTTTGTAAGTTTGTGGGCTTATGGAAAGTCTTTTTAAAAAACGTTTTCTGATTCAGTGGATCTAGGATATGACCACGGCACTCCAGCCTGGGCGACACAGCAAGACTCTGTCAAAAAAAAAAAAAGGCCGGGCGCGGTGGCTCACGCCTGTAATCCCAGCACTTTGGGAGGCCGAGGCGGGTGGATCATGAGGTCAGGAGATCGAGACCATCCGGGCTAACACGGTGAAACCCCCATCTCTACTAAAAATACAAAAAATTAGTCTGGCGTGGTGGCGGACACCTGTAGTCCCAGCTACTTGGGAGGCTGAGGCAGGAGAATGGCGTGAACCCGGGAGGCAGAACTTGCAGTGAGCCGAGATCACGCCACTGCACTCCAGCCTGTGCGACAGAGCGAGACTCCATCTCAAAAAAACAAACAAAAAAAATTACATAATGTAAAGACCCTGAAGTATAAAGGGTAAATTTTGAATTATAGAGAGTACATTTATTTCTTATAAGAAATGAAAAAAGGGAAAGATAGGCGTGACTTGAAGTAGTTATTCACTAGTTTTTATATCCTTTTCCAATATTTAAGTATAAAATACTTAAACTAAATTTGAAGGCATCTTAGAGAATTTCAAGAAGAAGAAAAGGACCATGTTGCCAACATCTGGCTATTATAACTAAGAGACTAAGGATGTGGCCGGGCACTAAGTGCTGCTGGCACAAGACGCCACCCACAGTGGAGTGCGGGGAGCAGGGAAGCACCAGAACTGCTCGCAGAAAAGTTTTTCTTGCATAGCCATCTTCGTGCTAAGGGCAGTGGGTGAGGCTTTGACTTGAGATAAAAGCTGGGCTAGAAAGCTGGGGAAGATCTGGGCGTGGTGGCTCACTCCTGAAATCTCAGCACTTTGGGAGGCCGAGGTGGGCGGATCACCCGAGGTCAGGAGTTCGACACTAGCCTGGTCAACATGGTGAAAGCCTGTCTCTACTAAAAATACAAAATTAGCCGGGCATGGTGGCACACGCCTGTGTTCCCAGCTAATTGGGAGGCTGAGGCAGGAGAATCGTTTGAACCCGGGAGGTGGAGGTTGCAGTGAGCCGAGATCACACCATTGCACTCCAGCCTGATTGACAAGAGTGAAACTCCGTCTAAAAGAAAGAAAGAAAAGAAAAAGAAAGAGAAAGAAAGAGAAAAGAAAAAAGAAAAGAGAAAGAAAAGCAAGCAAGCTGGGGAGCAGGGTTGGCGACTGTGGGTAGTCAAGGGCTGCATGGTGGGCAGGAGGCCCTCAGCGGGGGTCCTGGGCCAGTTGCTCCAGGTCTCCTTGGCCCTCATGGCCTGCTGTAAGATGAGGCGGACTGACTGGTTGGATGGTTTGGTCTGTCAGGCCCCTTTCTGCTCCAGTCTTCCATGGCGAGAAACCTATTTATTGATTATTGCAGACCAGAAAAATTGAAAGAGGTTGAAAGGGATTCTGAGTTCTTTTCTGGCCAAGATTCCTCCAGAAGCCGGCAGAATGAGGTTCTTGATCATCATCCAGGGGGAAGAGTTTCTCTTTGGGCTTTACTCAGCCTTTCTTGCAGTCTCCCGGCTCTTGTTTGCAGGGCAGGACCATGGCCAGCTCCCTACGAACGTGAGATCAGCAGTTTCTCTTTCTAACCTTTATCACCCGGGATACCCCCTGTCCCCACTGCAGAGCTTTCACATCATGGCTTCCAGAGCATCAGATCTTTCCAGCCAGGGTCCTCACCTACCCCCCTAAACCTAGAGGGGAGTCTCAGGTCAAAGTGTTCCATTTGGGCTGCAAACTCCATATAATGGGTTGCAACCAGAATTCTAAAACTAAAATGAGTAAAATAAAAAGTACCATAGTGCTTCCAAGGTTGTAAGGATATGTATTATTTGCTAAAACATTTGCTCACTTCTACATTCATAAGTGCGTGTGTGTGTGTGCGTGCACAATGAGTTGCAGTGAAAAATACATTTCTTACTCTTGAGTTGTCAGAAGAATTTTAAAAGCAATGAGTTCACAGTCCCTTATCGCAAACCTGAAAGTTTTAAGTTTGGCATGAGGTCATTTGGCAGCAAAACACAACCTCATGTAATTTAAGATTATTTATACTCTTTGTTTATCTCACTTGCTATGAACATTTGTATGCTTAACTGCAGAATGGAGTTGTACCTTTGACCCCAGTGGGTGTGTTACACTTGATTACTTTTCTAAGGGCGAAAAAATTCTGAACCGCAGGGTTTTTGCATAAGAGATTGTGGTGGATCTGTATAAGAAATATAACGCTTTTCATTCATTCAGCAAATATTTATTGAATGCTTACGATGACCTTGGCATTGTGCTGGGTGTCAGATAAAGGAGGAAAAGTGAGTATGAGAGGAGGTGTTGGGGGACTTGAACAGTCCCATGGGCAGGATGGATTTGGGGCCACCAGAGCTGGGCTTCAGTTTCTTCAGTTTCACATGCAGGTAACTCACCCGGCCCCACGGCTGCAGGGCATCACTGCAAATGGCTTCCAAATGTCCTGCTCCACATTTCTAACTCCTCTGTAAGACTTAACACCGGCATCTCAGGGCAGCACATGTAAAACCAACTCCCACTGCCTCCTCCCCTATTCCTGCATCTTTAATGGTACCATTGGACCCCCTAGCCTGGACACAGCCTTCTCTTTGTCCTTGCTACTGGCATCCAGTCATCAGTCAATTCCTCTTGAGTTTTCTTTTCTTTTTCTTTTTTCTTTATCTTTTTATCTATCTATCTATTTATTTATTTATTTATTTGAGTCAGGGTCTCATTCTGTTGCCCAGACTGGAGTGCAGGGTGCAATCTTGGCTCACTGCAGCCTCCACCTCCCAGGCTCAAGTGATCCTCCTACCTCAGCCTTCCAAGTAGCTGGGACTGTGGGCATGCACCACCACACCTGGCTAATTTATAAATAATTTGTTTTTTGTAGAGATGGGGTCTCACTGTGTTAGCCAGGCTTGTCTCAAACTTCTGGACTCAAGCGATCCTCCCACCTTGTCTCTCCCAAGTGCTGGGATTACAGGTATGAACCACCACTCCAGGCCTTTGTCTTGCTTTTTCTCTAGCAATAGCCCTTGCTTGGTTCCTTTCATGCCATTCCTGGTGCCACCTGCTGGTACAGACATGCTTTCCTACCTCTCACCTAAGAGAGAGGATGGCCTAGAAGAGAACTTGGAGGAAGCAAAGGTTATAGAGACCTGGGCTCGAGTTGTGCCTCTTTTCCATTACAGCTGGGTTAACGTAGCACACAGGATCAGTTTTCTCATCTATCAAATGGGGTGATTGCAAGTATTTCATGAATTATAGTTAGGAATAAAACTATATCCAGGACACATGAACACCAAAAACAATCTTAAAAGATAAGCCCCAGATGGTAGGCAGATATTTGCAGGACATAGAACCAACAAAAGATTGGTGTTCAGAATTTATAAAGAACCTCCTTCAACCCAATAAGGAAAAAAAGACCCAATTTATAAAAGTGGGCAAAAAATATGAACAGGCACTTTCTGAAGAGGAAATCAAAAGATCGGTGTATATAAAAAGATGTTCAACCTTATTAGCAATCCAGAAAAATGCAATTAAAACAATAACATACTGTTTCATATCTATCATATGGCATAAAATGCAGGCAAGTGTGTCAAGCACTAATAATGCATACTGCTGCTGAATATGTAAACTGGTTTACTCTCTTTGAGACACCTACCATCTGCTGGTGTCATTGCCAGGACTATCCTTTCCAACATTGCTTTTAGTGGCAAAAATGCTGGAAATTAAGAAAAAAAAAAAACCATTAAAAAGCGACTGGAAGTGGGTGCAGTGGCTCACACCTGTAATCCCAACACTTTGGGAGGCTGAGAGGGGAGGATCACTTGAGTCCAGGAATCTGAGACCAGCCTGGACAACATAGTGAGACCTCATGTCTACAAAAAATAAACTAAAACTCAGCAGGGCCTGTTGGTGCACACCTCTAGTCTCAGCTACGTGAGAGGCCGAGGTGGGAGGATCGCTTGAGCCCAGGACTTTGAGACTGCAGTGAGCTATAATTTGCACCACTGCACTCCAGCCTGGGTGACTGAGCAAGACTCTGTGTGGGAAAATAAAAAGGAGACTGGATAAATTGCAAATATTCATTTAATAGAATACTATAATACTGTCCAACTGTTAAAGCCACATTTGTGTCATCATGGATAAATGTGAAAAAAAGTTGAGTGAACAAAACAACGTAGAATATCTACAGTACAAAACCATTTCCATAAAATTTTAAAACAAACTATTATATATGTTTATGTGTGTGCATATGAATAAGTATATATCTAGTAAGAATAGTAGAATATGCATGGGATTGATTAACAAAAAATTCAGTATAGCGGCTCCTCCAGGAAGGGGAAGATGACGGAGAAGACAGGTTTTACTGCACATTAAGTAATTTATTTCTTGAAAGTAGAACTATGCAAAACGCTAAATTTTGTCAAAGCTGAGTGGGTGTACATGTGCTCCTTGTAATATTATTACCTTTTATTTATATTTGTTGAAATATTTCATTTTTATTTTATTTGGAGACAGGATCTCACTCTGTCACCTAGGCAGAAGTACAGTAGAACAGTCATAGCTCACTGCAGCCTCGAGCTCCTAGATTTAAGAAATCCTCCTGCCTCAACCTCCCTTGTAGCTGGGACTATAAGCATGCATCAATACACCCTGCTATTTTTTTTAACAAGTTTTTTTGTAGAGGTGGGGTCTTGCTGTATTGTCCAGCCTGGTCTCAAACGCCTAGGCTCAAGCAATACTCCCATTTCGGCCTACTAAAACACTAGGATTACAGGCATGAGCCACTGGCCCAGACTACTTCATTTTTAAAAAGCACTCAACCCCAGGCTGGCGTGAGTGTATGATAAATATTGCTTTCATCCCATGCAGTAGGTTTCTAAGGTTTTCTTTTAGCTGACTTGTCGAGTTGCAGTCCCTGCATCTGGCACTCTAGATCAGACAAGGTCTGAACACGCTGGTGGGCCACTTGTGGCCCTCCACTCCCTGGTTTCATTCTAGCTTTATGCTCCAGTGGACCTGATGTTCCAGCCGTAGGGTCCCAGGTCACGTCCTATGCTTTCCTGATCCCTTTGCTTTGGGTTGTGTGGCTTTGTTGGCTGGAATCTCCTGTCCCTTACTCTGACTATATGACACCCCTTTCAAAGCCTACAAAATGTCACCCCATCAATCCATCCATCATGCATTTATTGGGCATCTTCTATGTGCAAGGCACATACAGCCTACCCTGATTTGCCCTGCCACAAATAATCACACCTTTCACAAAATCACATATTGCCTTATACCTCTAACATGGAATTGATCACATTAAAGTTCACTTAATCTTGCTAGGCTAGGCACTGTAGGGCAGATACCATTCTATTCTATTTTAATGCCTTGCACTTACAGGAGCTCATTAAATATTGGCTGAAGAAATAAATGAGTCTCAGATTGTATGTCTAGAACGTTGAAATCAGTGTTAAGATTACAGTTTAATCCTCATCACTTGAATCTAAATATTTAGTGTCTTTAGCTGATTGATTTTAATAGGAGTACCATGCACTCCCTCTTGTCTTTGTCACCTAAGGAAGGAAGGAAAGGTGTTAGGTCCTACTCTGGCCATTCAGCCCTTTCATTTACTGAGAGCCTAGATTCCAGCGTGTACTTCAGGTATGATTTTGCCTCTCTAGGGACATTGCGCTTGGTTGGAGAGGGAAGACAGGGCCACAAAAAATGAGTAACGTGACAAAGCAATGTGAGATGTGGACCAAATAAATAATGCTGGCATCGTGATCTGAAATTGTCCGTAATGAAACAGTTTGCTTTATGCTTGACTGTGTAAGACCATAAGGGGATCTGGGTCAGAATTATCATTTTATGTCAGATTGGGTTTCTGTGAAATCCTTTTTTTGGGAAGGGCTCAAGTAGATATTTAACAATATCTCTTTTACATCTAAGGTGATACAGAGGTGTGGATTTGCAGTGGTCTTCTGATATCACAGTGTTACAAGGTGTCAGCCTGAAATATCTTTCTGACCTGACACTGAATAGAATTTTCTTAGCATTTTTTCAAACAGCCATCTGAATTCTTGAAGCTACTTATCTTGTTTGCATCCCTTTCTTCCTACTACATTCCTGGAAAACAATTTTCAATCTGACAGTGGCAATACTTTATGTTTTCAACAAATCAGGTGCAAGTTGTTTGTTTTAATGGCTTTTCCTTATCCAGGTAGGCTCTTTGGAAACTTTGGGTGGATGAGGTCTTTATGCAGACTTCACCCTTTAAAGGACAGAAATCTCTGCTCTCTGCCTCCTCCTTCTCCTCGAGCATTTCTAGTGACGGAAACTCACTACTTATCAGTGGAGATGACCTTTGCGTGTGAGATCAGATGTTCACAAACTGAAGAATGGGTTGGGCTCTCCCCAGGAAGTTGCTGGATATGTGACTCTAGGATTAGCTAATTCAGTAGCTCAGAGATGACATTGGAAGTCCAGGTTCCCTCCATCTTTTTGCTCTGCCGTCTTCAGAATGTTAGGCTGGTTCCCTTGGTGGTTGCAAGATGCTTTCATTGTTCCTGGTCATCATTTTGAGACCTGACCATGTCCAGAGGAAGGAGAGGAGGTCTCTTCCTATATCTCTCTTTAAGAAAGAAGAAACCTTGTCCATAAGCCTGCCAGCCTTCTCCATGTCTCCTTGGCCAAACTTCATCACGTTGCTGTGCGGAAAGTTAATCCCTGGCCAGAGGAATGGGACTGCTGAGATTGACATGAGCAAATTGGAATTCATCCTGAGCCTGAGGTCAGTGCCCTTCCCCGAGGGGTGGAAAGGAATCAGGATCAGGGTCCTGTTAGCAAGGAAGAAAGGGAGACGAGCATGTGGACGGTTCACCAATAGTGGAGGCCAAGTGGGATCTTTGCTGGGACAGTGGTTGAATGCCTCCTCCAAGGGTAGACTTAGCGATATTTCAACACCAAAGCCTCACACTGTGGTGTTACAGGATTGGAGAGGAGGAAAAGAGGTGAGCTATAGAGGAAGACTTGTAGAGTGTACAAGAGTTTAGAGCCAGAAACAGAGTAGAGTGAGGGCAGGACTGGGGAGAGAGTTCAGAGGGGAGTTCGGGGTTAATTGATTCTACTTGCCCACACGTCAGCCCTGGAAGTAAAGGCAGAGTTTCATGGGGCCCATCTCAGCTTCCGAGAGACCATGGAGCCACTGCCTGGAGATCGCTAAGAAGGTGGGACTGATCCCTGCGGGACAGGACTGGCCGGGTGACCTCCGACGCCTCTGTTCTGTTTCGAATATTTCTAGTGTTAAATCTTTTCAGAGGATGCTGGCAGCAGCCGTGCCACTGCCTCTATTAGCAGCAGAACAAGCTACTGTGCTTACTTTTCATTTGAAGTCTCCCTTTTCACTGGAGAGGCAGCAGGATCTAGAAAAGAGATAGGATCAGAGTGGGACACTGGAGACTTGGATTATATTCCTCCCGCTGCTGGGGGTTTACTTTGTAGCTGAGGTAAGTCACTTAACCTCACCGCATCTTTCTAGTGTGTGCAACTTGACTTATTGTCATTGAAAGCTTTTTATTCTATCTGACATTTTACACTTGTCAGTCTAGGGTTGCCTTCATGTGGGCTGGGCAGGGTGTAGTGTGTTCCTCCCGTTAGGAATGACTTTCCATGGCTGTGATGATAAAATGACAAGGTGTGAGGCTGATGAGCGTCTCCGTGTTGAAAGCCCACCTCTGCTGAAGGCTGCCATTTATGGATAACAGCGAATAGCACCCACTGTGTGCCGGGCACATCCTCGGCCCGGGCTTTGGGCTGGGTCTCATGAGTCCTTTAATATCCAGAATGTCCTGCAGGTCAGGCCAAGTACAAGCTCTATGTTTGCCTGTAATGTGATTTTCTTTCTCAGATAACTAATTTACATTTAAGCAACTGTTCCTAAGCCAGTGAGTTGATGCATTAGCAAGAATCTGGATCAGAATTATGAATTATGCTTGTTTTTTTTAAAAAAAAATATATATATATATATTTTCTTTTTAAAAAAACACAATTGAGTTCTGGTCCTATTCTTCCATGAGGGAAAGTGGGCAGCTGGCGGGACCGTGAGAGTGTCCTCCGGGGCACTCGGGCCCCCTGCCAAGGAGGAGACTTTGATTAAGAAGCTTAGAGCTTAAGTGAGTGATTCTCAAATTCTAGTGAGCACAGCAGTCATCTGGGAAGTTGGTGGAAATGCAGATTCCTGGGTCCCACCTGCAGACATTCTGACCCAGTAGATTTTCAGCATTCTCAGACTCCCTGAGTGACGCAAGGTAGGGCATCTGCAGGCCCTTGCTCCGGCGGCAGTGGCTTCGAGCTGGGGTATGAGGAGGAAGGGGAGAGACTGGTGGAACCAGACCGTTGCTGTCCCAGGGCCATGCTGACGGTCTGAAATTGGACTCTTCAGAGGAGAGGCCTGTGGGAGGCCTGCCCGATGCTGACCAAGGCAGGGCAGAAGGGAAGCCTCATGGGAGACCATCCTATGGCGGGCATTCTTTCCTGGGCACCCCAGTGAATAATCTCCCGCTCTGGCCCCCTCCTCGTCCAGCAGTGCCCACTCCCCATTCTCCTGCCTCTGGCCAAGATCACTTAGGAGATTGGTATGAGGATTAATGCAGCCCACGCATGCACAAGCACAGACATGCACACACACACACATGCACATACATACACACACACACACACACCTCTTTCACCTCTGACAAGCATACACTTGGCACTCTCCGTGGGCTAGGTCCCCTGCAGGAGGATGTGGGCTTCTTGAGAGCAGCAACCGCACCCCATGGCATGTGGCAACCAGAGCAGGCACTCCAAGGACCCTGTGAGTGAGAGCACGTGCTTCGCCTGTTGCCACAGTTAGAGAGACAATGAGGCTCCCACCTAGCATGGGGGCCGCAGAGGAGGATCTGAGAGGGTGATGGGAGGAAGTCTGTGTGATGCCCACAGAGATCTGTGCCAACTGCTCTTGGGTGACAAGAAGGGGAGGTAGTGCCTGGGAGGCCAGGGAGTGCTGCAGAGGAGACCCTGGAAGGAGGAGGCGGAGGAGGAAGCCAAGGGGACGAAGGAAGGCTGGCAAAGGCTGGATGGAGGGATGAGCTGGGGGGTGGGAAACTGCAGGTGCACCTGGATGCAGGTGGTTGCGGGGCATTTACCCTGGGGATGGTGGTGCACCTTGGATGCTGTTCTTCAGCAGATTTCTTTTTGTAGGAGTAAGGCACTGTTTTCTTAGGAGCTGACCAACTGCAAATATGTGAGGAAGACCATGGACAGTAGAGCTCTTTCCCATCGAGTGTGAGTAACCTTTCCCTTCCCTCCAAGCTGGCAGCAGTCCCACCTCCAACATAGAAAAGTATGGAGAACCTTCTCTGAGCCTTGGGAAATAGCTAAAATGTTACTGGCAAGTGCTTCTTTCTAGAAGGGAAAAAATAGCTCCCACACATTAACTCTGAAAGCTGAAGTCTGGTAACTTATCTCAAACAGACTTGGACTGAATAAGAAATGCACCAGGCTGGTGGGTGGAGCTCTAAATTTACACCTTAATCTCATCATTAAGATCGGATAAGATGTTTCATTAGCGGTAGGTGCTATGTAAATATGAAGTGCTTTCTGAATAAATATTTTCTTTTTTTTTCCTTCCAAAATTAGGAAATGCTCTATGGTAAATAGTGCAATTCTTAGACAGGAGAGTTTTATTTTAAAATGACGGTATAAATCATATCTGAATTCTGGGAAGTGCTAAGTGATTCAGCCTTAAAGCAATATAGTAGTTTCTATTTGTGCCCTGGAAAGTCAAGCATGGCTGAAATCGTATGTGGCAAATTGCTCAGAATTACCGGGAGCAGTGTACGCAGATGGCGTTCTGACCAGATTTCCAACTCTCTTGGTTTGGTAGATATCAGTGGTTGAAGTCATAACCTAATTAGGTCAGTAAGCACTGTTTGTGGATAAACCAAACTGTGGGAAGTCCGATCTGGAAGATACCCAGGCAATCACACAGTGGAACTTAGTGTATCATTGTGGAAACTGAGGCTTAGAGGAAAGTATCCAAAGCCATGCGGTTGTGGATGGGGCAGACACAGGGCTGGAAGCCAGGACTTAGGGATTCCCATTTAGGATCCCTTTTTCTCCAGATTCCTAATGTTTTTCTTTTAATGTTACTTATTATAAAAATAATATAGTATTAAAGGAGTTTTTTTTTTTAACGAAACAGCAAACTTACAATCTGTCTCAAGAACTTTATTCATTTCTGCATTTCCTTGCAAAAATTTAAAACATGTAATCATAGTGGGCATACAGTTCCATGTTCTCTTTCTTAATACATTCAAATCACTTCCTGATATGGTGGTGTGCTTTTGACAGTTACTTTTACAGCAGCTTTCCAGATCTCTTATTGATACTAAGCATTCCCTTCCTATTGGACACTTAGATCGCTTTCAGATTTTTTGACTTTTACGTATAATTGTGAGATAAATATGCATTTGGCTTTTTCTCTATGAACTCATTCCTGTCCTCTCTCCTCATTGAAGCATCCCCAGGCCCCCCAAGGGGAAACCCAGCCCAGCACTGGTGAAGTTTTGCATTCCGAAAATGCAAAACTTGAAGCGGGGAATAGCTCAACGGGGGGTGTAATAAAAAGAGAATCCGGTCCCACATGAGGATGCAGCCACCTGTCAAGTCCCAGGGGCGATCGGTGTGAGGGCGCAGTGGTGACATTCCCTGACAGGTGGCTCCCAGCTGCCTTTCAGGTTGTGCATCCCCAGAGCTTTCCTTGTAATCTGGGGAAAATTGCACCGTGGGTCGGTGTATGGGGAGGTAGGGGAACAGGAGGCATTCCCATTCCTTCCTCACTCCTGTAAGGCCTTCCAGGGAGTCACTGAACTCCAAGTGGTGCGACTAGGTGAATGTGCTGAGCCATGTGTGTGGTGGATAATGGCAGTGTGCAGAGGAGCCCCACGGGCACTTTGAAGTGCTGGGCTCCCACTGGCTGCCGAGACTCGGAGAGGGAGGCTTGGAGAGTGGCCTAGTTCTGCAGCAGCCCCCGAGTTCCAGAGGAGACTCACAGGATCAGAAACCTCAGGGCAGGAGGATTCTAAAGCACACGGAGTGCTGTGCGCTGCCTGTGCAGAAAGGGCTGGGAAGGTGAGGCAGGGAGGAAGCCCTGCCTAGGGCTACCTGGCCGCAGCAGCTATAAAGACGAGAAATAAATACAGAAATAGAAATAATAGAAATACTTGAGGCCACTGCCTGGGACTCCACTTTCCTGCTCTTGGGCTTGTCTTCAGTTCTGCAACCATGAGACGTCAGAGCTTTAACATCACTCAGTCTCCTGCTCAGGAGAGTGTTCGAGGACGGCCCAAAGGCCCAGCCCAGTGGCCAGGCTCTGTCAAACCTGAGCTGTGTCCCAGTTAAAAGGAACTGAGGAAAGCCAGGGTCCTAAGGGCAGAAGGGTGACTTTGGGGACTGCTGTTGGGACAGAGGACTCTTGTTTGACTTTCTCCCAGGCTGCAGGCTGAATCCCCCATTATTTGGAGGAGGAGGAGCCAGGTGGTCCGCCACCTCAAAGAAGCATGTAACCTAGTCAGAAGGACAGACAAGACGGTCAGAGACAACGCAAGAACACCAGAGGCAAGCTGGGTCTGGCCACTCTGTGGCTTATGCAGGCCTCTCTGGGCACTGTTTGCCCGGTGAAGCTGCCAACCTCTTTGGAGAGGAGAATAGAGATATTATCTCAGCTGAGGTTTACCAGCTGTCTTAACCAAGCCCTTCCAAAATTGACCAACTCTTGCTCCCACATTCGTAACGGGGTGCAAAGTGATTGCACATGATATTGAGCCCCACGTAGACTTTGGGAGATGTTCCAGACTCCTGGTTCTTAGCAAGATGGTAAAGAGTGGAGCTGGGCTTCAGAGATGCCCCCCGAACAAACAGGAGAGGACCACCTTTTCTATGTACAGAGCAGAAATTGGCTCCTTGAATTTCCTCTGCCCAGGTCACAGCTCCTCACCCGACGGCAGCATCTTCTGGCAGTGGAAGGAGGTGAGTCTCTGTCTGCAAAGCCTACACCAGCCTGGTCTGACTGCTAGCTCCCCTCCAACTGGCACCCTTGGGCATGCACTTCCTTCCAGGTCTCAGGCGAGAGGGTAGGCCGACAAGAGCATCCTCCAGTGGGAACAGAACCGTGAACCACCCACTGCCTGTCGGGCTGGTTGGCATCCAGTCCCACCTCGAGGGGCAAGGACCATTTTCCTTTGTTGTCTTTGACACAGGCCAAGAGGCAGCAGCCCAAGTGACACCAGGGAAACAGTGGAAATTCCACTGATTCCTAATGAACACTTGCAGAATAAGCCTCTGACTGACTAGTGCCCATTAAAGCTTCTCTCTCTCTCTCCACTGAACTGACAGAGACTATTCTTGTTTACATCTCCTTTGGTTGTAAGTTTCCCTTTCAACTTGATGATCAGAACTTGGAGTCAGAGCCGTGGGGAAAGGAAGAAGAATTCAGGCTGAGTGAAGTTACTGCCGAGGACTTGTCCAGACCTGCTGGTGTGGGAATTTCCTGAGATGGAAGAGCCCCAGGAGAGGAAGCAAGGCAGATGCATTTAATTTCTCGATTAAAATGAATTAAATGTCCACATTTTGATGTGTGATCAAATCACATTTGAAACACACTGGGCCAAATATATTTGTGATGAACTGTCGTGCAGATAATGAAAATCATTTCAATAAAATTCTCATCCGTGCTAAGACCTTAATCAAGGGATAACCTATTTGACATTGGATGACAGATAACTGTGTAATTCTACCCCTGCAGGAACAGATTCATTCCATATGAGTGTTTAATGCATTAGGAAGCCGAGGTCAAGCTAAAGGTAAAGTCCATCTGCTGGATTTTCCTGGTACCTTCTAGTTTTCTGTGGAAGCAACAGTTTTCACAGAGGGATTTTAGTGCTTTTCTTAAGTATCCTTACTTTTCTCAGAATCCGGCTTTAGCAAAATCATGCCATTTTGAGGTAGACGGCTTCTTGCAGTCCTTAGAACAGTATGTTGCTGCTACCTAAAGTTAATGGTTTCACCTTTATTGAAAGTTATGCAGTGGAGGTCTTTGTCCCAAATAACTACAGACCTTTGAGTTTTCTTCTTGATTATTTGCCATTGATATGTCCTGTGAATTTTTTTCTCCTTGTCATACGGATCTTCTTTTGTGATCCACAGTTTTCACGTGTGTACAGTGGAGGTGATAATATCTCTATTCTCCTCTCCAAAGAGGTTGGCAGCTTCGACCGGCAAACAGTGCCCAGAGAGGCCTGCATAAGCCACAGAGTGGCCAGACCCAGCTTGTCTCTGGTGTTCTTGCGTTGTCTCTGACGGTAGTGTCCCTCTGACTAGGTTACATGCTTCTTTGAGGTGGTGGACCACCTGGCTCCTCCTCCTCCGAATTATTTCCTAGCGTAAGCCAGTGCTCAACAGAGACCTCTTGGCCTACTGGCTGGACAGAAGTAGGCTGTGAAGGTGGCTTTGGAGGCCACCTGGGGGCCTGCCCAGACTGTCACTGTGATGATGAACTGGGGACAGACTCACAGCAGTGGCAAGTGTTGACTTTACATCTCCAAAGTTTTGATTATCACTGTCTGCTGTTTAGAGAACAAGAAATAGATAAATAGTTAAATTTCTACAATGAGCCCAATAATCAGGTCAGAGGAATTGCAGAAGATATCTCTTTTGACATGTACTGATCTCTTTTTTTTTTCTCCTTCCCCACCCTGTTTCTAAAGCCTGTCCTTTCTTATAAAAAGACACCTCCCTGATTTGGCATAGGCTATAGCTTGGACAAATTGTGTGAGAAGAGATCTCTCTGTGTTCGTTTGCTTGAAGCTCTCTGATTATGGGGACTTAATGACTAGGGGAGCCCAGGGTTTTCTCTTAAGGCAAAGGACCAAAAGTCTGTGTCATCTAAGAAAATTCAAGTGGGTGTGTTTTTTTTTTTCTTGCTTTCTGAGGTGGGTCTCTGCAAAGAGTTTAGTGAATTGCTCACTCGAAAAATGGACTGATCTCAAGCATGCACCCTTGTTTAGAGGTGTTTGGGGACCTTTTATGATTATTTTATTTTTCAACTTTATTTCATTTATTTATGTATTTATGTATTTATTTATTTATTTTTTGAGATGAGGTCTCACTCTGTTGCCCAGGTTGGAGTGCAGTGGTACAATCATGGCTTACTTGCAGCCTCGAACTCCTGGGTTCAAGTGATCCTCCTGCCTCAGCCTTCTGAGTGGCTGGGTCTACAGGTGCACGCCACCATGCCAGCTAATTTTTTAAAACTTTTTTGTAGAGATGACAAGGGGTCTCCTTATATTGCCCAGGCTGGTCTCAAACTCCTGGCCTTAAGCAATCTTGCCACATTGGCCTCCCAAAGTGCTAGAATAAGAGGCATGAACCACCGTGCCTGGTCCCTTATTGGTTTATCACAACAACGTTACCTGGTCTTTCTAACACAATTCCAAGAAGTACATAAAGTGAAACCAATATTCTTTCTTCCTTGCCCCTTTTCCTGATGCCATTTCCTTTTTCCCCTTCCAGAGGCGACAGCTACTAACAATTGGTGCAGTGTAGACTTCCAAATGATCTTATGTGGATGCTGCATCAAAACCATATGCAGATAGACAGATTTTATTTTACAAAAATGGGATAATAGTCACTATATTGTTCTGCAATTTGCTTTATCCACTGTGGACAGTTCTTAAGTCAAAAATAGAATTCTGCTTCTTTATTTTTAAAAGCTGCACTTACTCTATTGTTCAGCATACTTTAATGCGCCAAAATGTGTTTATTTATTCCCCAATTGATACAGTTAGGTCATCTCTCATTCCCTGCCTCTGACACACACACTTCCTCTTGCCATTGCAGACAAGCCAGGAGACACACACAGAGCTCTGCCCCCTGGTATCTCCTGCCCAGAGGCCACTTTTTCATGGGAAGAAGGAGGTGTTTCCTCCCTGGGAGCAGGTGGCTAGGGATCTGCACTCTGTTCTCCTGCACAGCCTTCTGCCTAGGAGGGGCAGAATTCAGGTTGCAGAAGGGTTGGGGTTCTTATGGCCCTGCAGCGCCCTGTTCCTCTAGTCTTGCTCCTTCTTCCTCGCCCCGGAGTGGTCCTGAGGTGACCCAGGTCCCCTTTGCCTTGGCCATTGGAAGATGTGTTTGGCCATCAGCCTAAGTTGGCTGAAATTGACGGCTCATGAGGATGAGGCCTCTGGCCCCCCTTGGGAGGCCTTGCTTGCCATGGGAGGGTATGTCCACTCTTCTCCTATGGTGCTGAGACTGGAGGCCTGTGGGGCTGGATGGGTTGGCGTCACTGTCCTCTCTCGTCATTCTGGGCCTACCCAGAATTTCCTAACGGGTCCTGAAGGCCAACTGCTAGCACCTTCCTGGACTGCTGCTGAGCCCAGCCTTCGTGCTGTCATGGGGGGCCTCCATCAAGCACCCTCTTGTCTTGAGACTCGCAGGAAGGGAGCCACAACCCTCAGGTCCTGTCAAGGCTGCCACTCTCACACCCCATTGCACTTCCTTCCCCAAATCCTCTCTTCCTTAGGACTCAAGGATTCACCAGTGACCTCAAGGTTCCTGGCAGATGGGAAGAAGCCTTGCCTCACGTGGGGTCAGCAGCACGTGGAATAGTGGGGAACACACAGGCAGAATGGCAGACGGTACCTGGTGGATCCCAGCACCAGTATTTAAAAGCTGTGTGCCAGCATGAATATTTGAAAGCTGTGTGTTCTTGGGCAAGTGGCAGGAGCTCTCTGGGTCTCATTTCTCTGTAAGACAACATCCCTTAGACTCATGGTGCCAATTGAAGTTGACAATGTCGATAAAGTCTCGGGGCACACAGTGAGAAATTCAATAAGTGTCAGTTCTTCTTTCCCTCTGGAGTTCCTTCCCCTACTTCATCCTTCCAAATGAAATTTTAAAAATAGGTCTGTCTTCCCAGTACACTCCATGAGACTGAATAAATCCTAGAGTCAGGCACCAAGAGAGGCTGCAGAGTATGTTTTCCCAGAGGGCTTTAACAGCGCCACTGTCGGAAGTGGTTTGGGGTCAGGCTCAAGGTCAGCATTGAGGTCCTTCCATGGAGGGTCAGTGCTTGTCAGGTCTGCCCACCCAGAACCTCCCCTGCCCAGCAGGGCCAGCCCGGCGGCCAGTGCAGGTAGACACCGGGAGGCTGCTCCCGGATTGAGCCTCTCTTCTGTGGATCCCCTGGGTCCCCGGTCTGATGATCATGCCAGGGTCCCCCTCTTGTGACTACAGCAGCAGCAGACTCCATTTCTGCTGACACAGATTGGAGCGGTTGCCATGGGGACCAGAAACTGTGCCCAGATGCATTCTTGCAGCTGGGAAGACAGGATGGGACTCCTCCTGGAGAGGCTGGAGGGTTCCCACTTAATAAGAGGGAGCTGGGCGGGGAAACAGCCACAGGCTCCTTCCTCAGCTGTTCAGCAGCTTCAGCCAAAGACCAAAGGGAGTCCAGGCCTCGAGGGTCACCTCCTCCTGGAGATTTACAGGACCCAGTCTGGTGCACAGTGAAGCATCAGGCCTTTGCCTGACCCTGAGCCACCAGCTTTCTCCCATGCCCTCCTCCTTGAGTGAGCTGCATGTAGAGAGGAACTGTTCACTGAGGGCCACAGTCTCATACTCAAAGTGCTTGAGACTCCACGTAAGGGAGATGACCTCACAGAGCGCCCCAGGGCTGCAGGCACCCCATGTGACCCTGCAGCCACTCTCAGGAGGGGCCATGAGTGTCCACACTTTCTGGATGGTGCTTGAAAAAATGAAATGAGTCTCCCAAGGCCACACAGGTAAAGAGGCCACGCTGAGGCTTTGGACCCCAAAGCCACTGCACGCTGCTGCTTGGGCTTCCCGGCAGCTGGACACAATGCTTTATGCTTGTGGTTTTTCTTAGAGACAGAGTCTTGCTCTGTTGCCCAGGCTGGAGGGCAGTGGTGTGATCATGGCTCACTGTAGCCTCAAACTCCTGAGGCTCAAGTGATCCTTCTGCCTCAGCCTCTTGAGTAGCTTGGGACTACAGGCATGTGCCACCATGCCCAGCTAATTTTAATTTTTTTGTAGAGATGGGGTCTCACTGTGCTTCCTAGGCTTGTCTCAAACACCTGGGCTCAAGCAATCCTCATGCCTCAGCCTCCAAAGTGCTGGGATTACACGCATGAGCCACCGCGCTCAGCCAGCTCTCCATGCTTTGAATGGACGAAGGAATCAAACTATTACTTGTAAAGGCCTGAACTTTCTTGTCCTTGGGATTCAAGGTAGCAGTGGGCACGGGACTGCCTGTCCTCTGCGGGCCCAGAGTTGGCCAGGCCACTCCAAGGAGGCTGCCATCGCTGCCTGCGCTGGCTGAGGCCCCGGATCCTGGCTGGACTCAGCTGGACCCTTCCTTACTGTCCTCTGTGGCTTTCTTCGGGGCCTGCCCTGTGCTGGGGGCGCTTTGCTACTGTGTCATTATTAGGTATTGGCATCAATTTATAGGTTAGAAAATTGAAATTTAGAGAGATGAAGGAGGCTGAGGTCGCACAGCTCACGAGACTCTCACCTAGTCCCTGGCCTGACTCCAGGCCTTGGGTTCTTCTAGTGCCTCATGGCGTCACTGCTCCTCTGCTGATGGGGTAAGGGTCAGGCTGGGACCCAACAGGCAGGAAATATGGATTCAAGTCACGATCGTAAAATATGGTAAAATATGCATAATATAAAATCTACAATCCTAACCAATTTTAAGTGTATGGTTGAGTTGTGTTAAGAACATTCACCTTGTTGTGCAACCATCACCACCATCCACTCCAGAACTTTATCGCTGTGTAAAACTAAAAATCCACACCCATTAAACAGCACCTCCCCATTCCCCTTTCCCTCAGCCCCTGGCAACCCCATTCTACTATCTGCCTCTATGAATCTGACTCCTCTATGGACCTCATATAAGAAGCATCATATAGTATTTGTCATTTTGTGACGGGCTCATTTCTTTCAGCATACTATCATCGAGGTTCGCCCGTGTTGTAGTGTGTGCCAGAATTTCCTTCCTTTTTATGGCTGAATAATATTCCAGTGGATGGATGGACCATGTTGGGTTTCTCCATTCATGTGTCAAGTGACGCTGGGGCTGCTTCCATCTTTTGGCTATTGAGAATCATGCTGCTGTGAGCACAGAGTACAAATATCTCCTCAAGATCAAGTTACGTTTTTTTTGGGTCGGGGGGACAGAGTCTCGCTATGTTGCCCAGGCTGGAGTGCAATGGTGTGATCTCAGCTCACTGCAACCTCTGCCCCCCAGGTTCAAGTGATTCTCCTGCCTCAGCCTCACGAATAGCTGGGACTACAGGTGCTCACCACCACACCCAGCTAATTTTTGTATTTTTAGTAGAGGCGGGGTTAGCCAGGCTGGTCTCAAACTCATGACCTCATGATCCACCCACCTCAGCCTCCCAAAGTGCTGGGATTACAGATGTGAGCTACCGAGCCTGGCCAAGTTACTTTTTTGAATCAGTAAATTGAGAACAGTAGTATCTACTCCATCCACCTGCCAGATTGCTGTGAGGATTGAGTTGTGAATGTGGCTGGAAGTGCTTTGTGCTTAGGGTAGGGGTCATGATAGTCTTTCCTGTCATCAACCTGGGCTGGGAAGAGTCAGCTTTTGCCAAGAGGAATCAAGCACCTACCGGGTGTTTCTGGGAACAGTTTCCTCAACCCCTAACCCTGGAAGGAGCTTCATTGGCAGAAGAGAGACTGACTTGGACATAGTAAAGGGATTGCTCGGAGGGCAGAGTGAGCAAAGTCCAGGCTCTTTGTCGGTGCCCCATCTGCTTACTTCCGGAGTAAGACCAATCAAGGGGACTAGGCTCAGATTTCTCACTGAGGGACTGTGGCGCCTTGTAGACAACCACCCTTTTTTTCCCCAGAGTTCAAGCCATGGCAGGGTTCCTGTGCTCCCCACATGATGGGCTCCTTATGGGAGCCTCTGCAGGGCGGGGGCAGCATCCTCTTCCCTCCCCACCTGTACTAGTGCCCCAGCCTCCAGGGAGGGTGCCACCAGCCAAGTCCTGTGGGCCATTCAGAGCCTCTCCTCTCCCCAGGCTCTGCTCTGCGTCCTGGTCTGGTCTGCTGCCCCATGGGGACACTGCAGAGTTTTCCACTGCCCTAGAGCAGCTTTTCCCAGGGCTCTGCCACTCTGCTTCCCTCATCCTGGGTCTCAGTGCTGTTTTGCTCATCCTGCTCCCAGAGGGCAGCTGCCCACAGATGCTCCAGCATGAGAACTTCATTCAGCGACAGTTTGTGATCCTATCACAGAGGTCTGGTGTGCAGCCTCTACTTTGGAACCCCAAAGCACCTGGGCCCACCTCACTGGTAGCACATTCCACTTCGCCGTCTCTCTGCCTCTCTCCCACCTTGGACTGTGTGCTTCCTGGGGCAGGGGTGATGTCTCCAGTGCCTGGGTTTGCTCTGGTACATACCAAGTGCTCAGAGAATGTTTGTTGATGGAATGAAGGACTCCCCTACTAGACAAATGCTTGAGGGATGGACCTCCATAATCACCTTCATTTCTTTCTTCATTGCCACATTCGGCATAGTGTCTGGTATCTGGCCAGTGCCCAGGAAATGATTGATTGAATAAATGAATGAAACATGAGGCCAGAGCCTCCATCAGCTCTGGGCAGGGCTGGGCAGTCTTGCAGGCTGGATCTTGCTGGTGCATCGTCAGTGTCACTAACTCAACACTTACCACAGTGACCTGGCAGTGGCCATGGGGCCATGTGGGGGCTCCTAAGACAGAGGAGACCCAAGGCCGGGAAACGGCACACTAGACAGAGGGAGCGCAGCTTCTGCAGTTCCCTGTGGCCTGGCTCCTTCCTTTCTGCTCCTGCTGGAGCAGACAGAGCAGCCCCATCGCTGGGGCCGTGAACCTCGGAGAAATACTCAGATTCCCTGTTGCTCTAAGAATAGGCTCAAAGCTGCGTCTTTGAAGATCTTAGCTTTCTGCTCAAAAGCCTTCAGCAACTGAAAGTCTCCAATTCCTAGTCTTCTGTGATGTCCCCCAAATCTCTCTCTCTGCTTTTTTTTCTTTTTTCAATTCTCTTCTTCAAACCAGCCGAACAGACTGCTGGGTGTTCTCTGTGTGTCTGGCTCATTTCCTGGCAGCATTCTGGATTCCACTGCCTGGACTCCCAGCCCACTGAGTGGGTAGGGAAGCCCTGGGTCACCTGCCCAGATTGAATAGTCGGCCTCAAGGGCTTTCGCTTTATTCTGGAATGGGTCCCTGTCTGTCTGTTTGTTTCTCACTGGCCCCTCTCTGTCTGCCAAAGGCCAGCAGAACAAGCTTCTTGGCAAGGCTTCCTACTTCTTAATCCATTTTCACAACCTGTGATTGAACTACGTGCAGTGCAGGTATCAGGATTTAGTGACATCTTTTAATTCTCTATTATTGATGAAAAGTTTTGGTCTGGAAAGGAAAACTGGCTTTGGGATTGATTTTCATCAGTTTAATTCATCTTCAGTATTGATCAGTGCATATGTTACAGCGAAAGACTAAATCTGGGCTGTTTCAAAGGAACAGGGAATGTTATTACCAGAGTGTCCAGGTTTGGGGCATTGTCCCAGGACTGTTGACACCTTAGGCATGTCTCACTCTGCCTTGTATGCCAGTCCTTCATATACAGGTCTTCTTCTCCTCCAAAGACTGTGAGGTCTTTGGAGGCAGGATGCATCTCTGAAATAAACTGACCCCCAAAGACCCAATGTAGTTCCTAGCACATAGGTGACCCTCTGCCAGTGTTTGCTTAAGTGCGGTCTCCAGAGTTCATCAAAGCCCTTAATTATTATGCATCAGGAGGGATCCCAATACTCAACTCATAAAAGGACACATGGATTCCACAGGGACTCGGATTTTGGGAAAGGTGACGATATCAATCAGACAAGCTAATGAATGATTGCCTTTCTCAGGAAAAGATAGACAGGACCCTAAGTCTGAAATGTGCTAATCACAGGGTCCTTTAGCATGTGGGGGCAACTTTTTGTTTGTTTTTGAGATGGAGTCTCGCTCTGTCGCTGAGGCTGGAGTACAGAGGCGCGATCTTGGCTCACTGCACCCTCCGCCTCCCAGGTTGAAGCAATTCTCCTGCCTCAGCCTCATTAGTAGCTGGGATTACAGGCACCCGCCACCACGCCCGGCTAATTTTTGTATTTTTAGTAGAGATGGGGTTTCACCATGTTGGCCAGGCTGGTCTCAAACCCCTGACCTCAAGTGATCCACCCGCCTTGGTCTCCAAAGTGCTGGGATTATAGGCTTGAGCTACCTTGCCTGGCCTAGCATGTGGGGGCAACTTTGGCAGGCAGCCTCAGGCACAGTTCAGACACTCTGGCCACACCTGTTTTGCCCTCTGACCACCAGTGTACCCCCACCCTGACCCATGTGTTGTTGCCTGGCAGGGGTGGCCCCCACCTTCTCTACCCAGAGTCCCAGGGGCATGGAGTTCTCTCCCTTCTCTCTCCACTCAACATGAGACGTGTGGACTTTTGGCTTCATCAGTGCAAGATGCATGACCTTGGGCAAGTCTCATAACTTTCTGTAAGCCTGCACATTTCCTTGTGCAATGTGGTTGTTGAGAGGAGCTCTGCTGCCTCTCCAACAGACCTTACCAAAACAGAGAGGGGGTGGAGCCCTGCTGTCTCTCCAGCAGACCTTACCAAAACAGAGAGGGGGTGGAGCCCTGCTGTCTCTCCAGCAGACCTTACCAAAACAGAGAGGGGGTGGAGCCCTGCTGCCTCTCCAGCAGACCTTACCAAAACAGAGAGGGGGTGGAGCCCTGCTGCCTCTCCAGCAGACCTTACCAAAACAGAGAGGGGGTGGAGCCCTGCTGTCTCTCCAGCAGACCTTATCAAAACAGAGAGGGGGTGGAGCTGAGAGGACGGTATTGGCTGTACAGGTGATTTCTCATCACTGATGTGGGTTGACTGTTGGGTGCCAGAGGGTTAGCTAGAGATGCGGTCACCACAGAGAGCTTGCTCCTCTGGGAAACAGTCAACCCACACACTGGCTTTTGGACACATTGTGTTAAAAAAAATTGGGTGTTTTCTATGTATTTATCTTGGCTGTGTGTTTGTATATTATTCTGGACTTCGAGCTCTTTGGAGGTCTATATATGATCTGATTTTCTTGGTGTAGTGCATATATTCAGAGGACACAGTATTAGGAAAGGAAGAGTGATTCCCTGTGATGTGAACAGAGAGGACTTTCACTTGGGTTATTGCCCAGTGGGGAGAGGGTGCTGGGCCACCTTAAATCACCTTCTTGGGTCCCAGCCTGACCTTGGGCCTCGTATTCATTTGCTAAGACCATCATAACAAACAACATAGACTTGGGGCTCATAGACTCGGGGCTCATAGACTCCGGGCTCATGGCCTCGGGGCTCATAGACTCGGGGCTCATGGACTCGGGGCTCATGGACTCGGGGCCCATGGACTCGGGGCTGATAGACTCGGGGCTCATGGACTCGGGGCTCATGGACTCGGGGCTCATGGACTCGGGGCTCATAGACTCGGGGCTCATGGACTCGGGGCTCATAGACTCGGGGCTCATGGACTCGGGGCTCATGGACTCGGGGCTCATAGACTTAAAGGTGTAAAATGAGGTTGTATGAAACCCTGTCTCTACTGAAAATACAAAAAACTAGACAGGCATGGTGGCGCGTGCCTGTAATCCTAGCTACTTGGGAGGCTGAGGCACGAGAGTCCCTTGAACCCAGGAGGTGGAGGTTGCAGTGAGCCGAGATCATGCCATTGCACTCCAGCCTGGACAACAATAGCAAAACTTCATCTGAAAAGAAATTTTTTTCTTCAGTACCTCCAGGGCCCTAAATGCTGAGCAATGACCACACACCCGTGAGGAAGCTGTGCCTGGGCTGAGACCTCACACCACCTCACTGCTTTGCCCACCCAGGGTCCAGCTTTGAGAATGTGATATGAGTATCCATTAACAAACATTTGCTTTGTTCACGACCCTGTTCCAGTGAATGAGATGAACTGGCCAGGAGGAGATGGCCAACCCTCTGTGTCACCACAGCCGTACCCACTGTGTGCCAGTGACTATGTAGCTTCTTGGGATAGCGCCCCAGTGATGGGTTGGTTGATTTGTTCATTCATTCCTTGATATTCTTACCTGCCATGTACTCTTGGTCTGGTGGGTTCAGCAGGAGGAATGAGGGGCAGCGGGCAGGAAGGCAGAAGGCTTCCGTCTTGATCCTTGGTTTTCCAGTAAGCTGGGAGATCTTGGGCAAGTCACCTAATTATTGATTCACGATCTCTAAATTAGGAAGCCTTTTCTACTTTGCCTCCTATGTAAGGATTTTATGAAGTTCAAATGGAATCATCTGTATAAGTGTTTTATAAACTGTGAAGTGCTATGTAAATGTGAGGAATCATTACATTCACATTTTTATCCCATTTGACCTCCTGCTGTTTTGCCCATTGGGATCTACTAGTGAGGCACTGGCATATTTCAGGATGGAACCAGCCTAAAGACTAGCTTTGGGGAGAGCCTGCTCACTCATTACCTGGTTTTGTGTTTCTTTATTTTGCTTTGCTTTTTAACCACCACCACCCCAAATTGCCCCTTTCTGATCTTCTCCTCCTACCCAAAAATAGGTCCTAAACCCTCAAAGTTTCTGGTTCTTGACTACATATGTGAAATCTAGCAAAAATGTTCCTTTAGAGTCACTGAGGAAATATTTTTTTCAGTGAAGTGTACTGCTACAAACCCAGCTTCTCTCTTTTACCTAAACCTCTCAGCAGGGATTGATGAGGCGTGGATGAATAACATCCATGTTCTACAAAAACATAAACCAAGACGCAGGGCAAATACATGAGTAGTGACAGTCCTGGAGACTACGGGGACCCTAGATGAAAGACTCTTGTCCTCCAGCACTGCCCTGAGGGTCTTCTTTGTATTTCTCACACATCTGTGTTGTCAGGACTCCCATGTCCAGAACCCAGAAGCCAAAACTGTGGGGCCAGGGGAAGGAAGAGTTCTGCTTAATTCATGGCTCAACTTCAGAAGATCCCTTTAGGAAACACTGCTTGGGAAATGCCTGCAGAAGGGCGGAAGTCATGAGGCAGCCTGGCCTCTATTGACTAATCCTTGGGTCAATATCAAGGCCCTCCTGAGAACATTAAAATACCCAAGGTTGACTCCGATAGTTTTTCTCTGATGTTTTCCTAGAAGCTCTCCTGTCACAAAGCTTAGCCTGTCAGTGAGTCTGGGCCACGCCGCATGCTACATCCCCTTCTTGGAAATCCAGTTGCACAGTAGTGCACTGAAGGCTCTGGAGGCTCTGCAGTAAAGAAATCTTTACTGACCCCTGAACTCTCTTGCACCTATGTTCCCCTCTCCCTCTTTATTCTGTTTGCTTATTGATCCTCTCTGGAGCCCTCTTCTGGAAATGTCAGTGGGCTGATGGCACTCTAGGGTGCTTTCTTTTATGCTCAGCTTGGGGGCAGGGGAAGATGGCAGTTGGGGTTAGGGGTATGCCTCTTACATGACCCATCATGAGGGTCATCAGAGGAAGTGGAGGAGGAGAGCAGACAGGGGGCACAGCCATGTGAGCTGAAGCCTGTATGACCCCGAGGTGTGGCAACACAGGCTCTGGCCAGGCTCCAGGGAGGGCCTTGCGGGAGAGATACTGTGGGTGGAGTCAGGGGAGACCGGGAGAGCTGGCATCCTCTGGTGGGGGATGGACCAGGGGGGCTGCTTCTGCTTCAGACTGAGAAAGAACCCCAGGGCTTCTGGGAGGCAGAAGGCCAGAGTCGGTCCCTCCAAATGTAGATTTTTTTTTTTTTTGGCATATCTTTTCAGGTTGGAGAGTGGAACCTGCCTGCCTTATCAAAGACAGTGGGGCCTCTACTCTTTATCCCATTAAGGAGGATCCTAGGGCCATGTTTCTGGGCTGAGCCGCCCCACTTGATGGCAGTGATTGTGGTATCGGTCTCAGCTCTGCTGATGGGGCAAGACTGGGGGAAGGGAAAACATGGAAGGCCCGGTAATCACTCTTGTAAGTTAGCCACAATCAGGACCCCGAGGTTGGGCTGGCCATGGAGCAGTGGGAGAAGTGCCCCATTGAAAAGGAGCAGCCTGGGGAGGGGCAGATGGGAGAATGTAGGTGCAGGAGTGGATTCGGATCAAGGGAGGAGATTCTTCCTGACGGGTGCCTTTCTGAAGGAAGAAATCAGTTATGACCAGTTTAGCAGGCACCGAGGGGGCAGGGCCCACCTTGGCCAGGGGTGGGCTGTTCGCTGGTGGGAGCCCATGTGGGTGTCACACCATCAGTGTCCAGCTGGCTGGGTTGGCTGCAGCTCCTGTAGGAGCCTGTGTTCCTGGGAAGCCTCTCTCTGGTGAAAGGCAAGGTGGGCAGGCTGTGTGCAGAGGAGAAACCCACGCTGCCCATGTCCACACAGCTGTGTGGGCACCAGGACCTGCCGAGATGCCATCCCAGGCTGCCTGAAGCAGTAGCTTTCTGCAGAAGAGACAGGGAGGAGAAAGCATTGTGCAGGCACGGAGCAGCAGGCAGGGAAAAGAAGGGATTTTAGTAGATGGCAGGGAAAACAGGGCAAGAAAAAAATGGGAAATGGCTCAAGAATTGTCAGGGTCCCAAACATCTGTGTCAGGACACTAATGGCATTTGGGCAGGACAGTCCTTCATGGAGGGGACCATTGCTCACTGAGAGATGTTCAGCCTGCCCAGCCCCCCACCCACCGTATCCCAGGGATGCCCTTACTCAGTCATCAAGATGACCATAGCCGCCCCCAGGCTGCCTCTAGAGGAGGTGGTCACCAAGGCCCCCTTATCTCCGACGGTCTGAGATGATGGAGCTGGGAGGGGCCCTGGGAGGGCGAGGACAGCCACTGGGCACTCAGTCTCCAACTCTAGGGCCACAAAGAGCAGATGGGCTGGGAGAGGCTGTTGAAGGTGAGTTTTTCCCTAAATCAACACACCACTATTGAGTCAGGTGCTGAGGCCGGCCCTGGAGACAGGAGGAAAAGTCAAATGTGACCCTGAACCCCAGGGAGCTCAGAATCTAGCAGGAGAGGTGGACGAGCAACAGCAACCACCCCACATTCACTCACTATGCAGACCGATGAGGGCATCCTGTCACAGCATTACCCAGTGAGCATGGGCGCGGCTGCAGTCATGGGGAGACCCCCAGGCTCAGTGGTGCAACCCCAGAGCAGTCCTGTGTTCCAGCTGGTAGATGGGGCAAAAAGTGGGAGGCACATCCACCTCTGAAACGCCTGCTCTTGGAAGTGGCAGAGACTCCTCTCCCCATTCTCTGGACCTGCCATGTGGCCACATCCAGCTTCAGGGAGTTTGGGGAGGGGGCCCGGAAAGAAGAGGAAACTGTGTGTGGGCACACACCAACCACCTGTCTCAACTCCCCTCAGCTGGTAACAGGAAGAGAATCAGCACTGTGGGTGGATTTTTCTCCTGGAGAATCTTTACCTTTCAAGAAATGTCTATTATCGCTTGGCCCATGTCTAAGATAAATAATGTTTCACTGTGAGACATAGTCAATAACCACCAAAATATTTTACTAATTTAGAATCCTAGAACGTTAAGGCTCAAAAAGCCCTCAGGGATGGTCCAGTTCAACCCTTTTGATGTTCAAATGGGACTCTGATGCTTCGAGGAGAAGTGCCTGGGTTGAGATCACCCGGGTGGGGGGCTCTGCCCAGGCTGCCACAGTGGCTGCTCCAGGTGTCCGGGAGGCAAGGGAATCCACAGAGGATGCAAGCTCAAGCCAAATGTGCAGGTTTATTTTAGGACCTCAAGCTGCCGCCCCAGGCTCTTGCCCTTGCCCCTGCTGGGAGAGTCAGAGCCGCCTCCTCCTCCTCAGTCAGAATGACTCAGATGCCCGCGTCAGACATTCTCCCCTCCCCACCAGCCTGGGTGACGTCTCTCCGAAACTGTCTGCTCCCTAAGACACAGCTTACAGGCAAGATGAAGCAGTGTCGCACAGCCCTGTCGCCTCACTCATCCTGCCCTCAGGTCTTGTTTCTGCCTCTTCACAGCACCACCCCCATGAAGCTTCCACATGCACCTCTGCAGACCCATCTCGCACGATGCAGTGGGAGCGAGCCCTTGTGGTGAGGTGACAACGGCCCACATATCCCTCAGTGCTGGGGGATGGGAGTGTGGGTTCCGGGGACCACTGTGTGCAGACACCCGTAGCTCAGGTGGGCCTCTCGACTGTTCCCCCAGCCTGTTGCAGGTGGGGAGAGTAAGGTCTGGTTTTTGAAGACCTGGATGTACGTCTTCGGTGAGCTGCTTGAGCCTCAGCTGCCTCATCTAGAAAATGGCCACAATGATTGTAATGCCTCAAAGAACAGTGTATGAGAATGTGATTTGTAAACTCTAAAGTGCTGTCCACGTGCTTTGGAGGAAAAGCTTTCCTCAGGACTGGCCTCGTGAGCTGGTCAAGCAGACTGTGGGACTGGGGCTGTCTTGATTGATTGCTGACTTTGAGTCAGCCTGGGCGGGTGACGTCTCTATTGGATAAATGTGAAAACCAAGGCTCAGAGTGGTTAAGCCACATCCACAAAGGTGCAGAGCCTGCCAGGAGGCAGAACCACAACTAGAATGGAGCAGCTCTGTCACTGTACAGTCCAGGACTTGGTGGCTTATGTCCAAAATCAAGAACAGACAATGTTTCACCAGGGACAGAAATGTCAGTGTATTCCTGAAGATGCAATAGAAATGGTGGGAGGCAGAAAAATTGAGCAGACAGAAATGAAGGCTAAAAATAGTCTGTTTCGAACAGGCAGAGACCAGATCAGTTTGACAGGAGAGAGGGGGTGAGAAGGTTGTCCAGGACTCTGGAATGTGCCTCCCTTGGGCAGAGGCAAGCCACAGGGAGGGCTGTCTTAGAGATAAGAAGGGCTGCTGATTGCTAAAGAACCCATGGGTGCAATTCCCTGGAAGGAAAACTGAAGCAACGGAAAACGCCAAAGTCAGGGTGCATTTGGGGGATGCCAAAGAAGGCGGGGCTTCAAGATGGCAGGGACTTCAGAGAATGCAGAGCCCCCTCTTCCCCAACCCCTTTGCCATTTTATAGCTGGCTAAACTGAAGCTTGAAGAGTGACTTACCCAGGAACCCAGGTACTGTGGGCACACATCCATTGCTTAGCCCTGCCACATTGCCATGTTTATGGGGCACCTACGACGTGCTCAGTTGCTAGGGAAAAACGCCACTGCCTATTTGAGGACAGCTGCTGTGTAGTAGGAAGGCAGGAGCCAGCCCTGGGCTCAGCGGAGGATATTCCAGTTCCCAGGCTGAGTTATCAGGAAAGGCTCCGGAAGAGACCGGACTTTAGCCCGGCTTGGAGGGAAAGATGGAGTTCACGTGGAATGAGAGGAAGGAGTAAGTTGTTCGCAAGCCAGGAAAGAATACTAACCTTCTCGAGGCTGTCTCCCAAAGCAGGGATTTCCCAGGATAAAAAAAAAAACGTATTAAGTAAAAATGCAAATAGAGTGAAAGAAAAAAAAATAAGTAGATGAGACTGCAGTTGGTGTGGCTGATATGACGCTCATCACGGCCACAGAACCTAAATGCCTGGGAAACGTTGCATCCAAGGATAAAGTAATGTCCTCAGTGCAGGCAGAGAGCTGGGTCATATGACGAAGCCACCGAATGGTGGAGCTGGCCAAGGATTTTGAAGATTACATGATAGAACCCCTGGAGAGTTTTTCTAAAGAATAAGGGAACTGACAAGATCCATAAGACAACTTCCTCTCATGGTTCATAGTTACGAAGTGACTATCTTGTAACTGTGGTTAGAAAAAATTCAGCTCTATAATCCTGTGTTTCCTTCTTTGCCATGGGTGCCGGGGAGCTCAGAGCTAAAGTATGTACTCCATTGTGTTCATTACCATGAGTCTAGCCTTTTAAAAGAAAGTTATAGTCAGTCTTCCTTCCACACACATATCCCATTTAGCATGTCTTGTCTTTATTTTTACAATAATGATTTTTTTAAATTTTATGCTGTGTCATATCCTTTTAGCAAATAGGCAGGATGTAAAGAAATATTTTTAAAGTAGTTCAAAGACTTTCTACAAGAGTAACAAAGAGTATAGACAAGTACAGTATGCTTTCTAGTTTTAACCATTGAGGTTTTTGTCACTTCTTCTGTTTTCCTTTTTGCTTTGTCTTTAACACTATTTGCACTTAGCTCAGGGTTCCATTTTGTGCCCAGTGACAATAAGTATCCTTAACCTGGGATACATAGATTCATGGACCTTGCCATTTCCTACAGTGGCTCACATTCTTTCACGTTACAAGTTATTTTTATTATTTGTGTGCCTTCTGTTGTGAACGATTACAATTCTTTTCGGAAGTGGAAGAATTATAAATGCCTGGAGGGAAAAGAGAATGAAAGAATAGAGTATGCAAGTATCTGAAATGTCTGAGGAAACTTGACAGAAGTTGATTTATATTTGACAGATGGCAGAAAATGAAAAGTTTAATGAGGGAAAAGCTGAGAACAAGTCAGTGACAATTCTTGCGGTATGCTTTTGACTAAGCACTTTATTTCTTTCTATAAATTATTCTGCTTCCTTTCTTTTAAGATGTTGGGGCTTTCTTCCCTCTTGGCACGATAACGGATTAGGAACTATGTGATCAGATGATGGCCCATGACCACGAGGGGTAGAAGAGTCAGGATGAAACAGCTGGTTAAACAGTTTTAGTTTGTTTTTCACAAGGCTCTAATTAACTGAGGCAGAGATGGACAGGAATGGAAAGGAAAGCTTTAGCCTCTCTTTCCTAGCTGAAAGATTAATGGGGAGGGAGTGTGTCTCAGAAAATAAGTGGGGTTGTGTTTGGAGCACTGGGAAGGGAGGAAATGCATGAAAGATGAAACCATTTATTGGGAAAGAAACAGGAAATGGGGCAGAGCAGAGTGAGACTGTAGGACGCAGGAAAGCAACACGAGGAAGTGATACATGAAAGAGAGAGAACCCAAACGCAGTAGAAAGGGAAGGACTGATGGATGTTGATATAGAAGAGAACTTCGGAAGGTTGTATGAAATAGAGGCGGAACAAGGCACTCAGTAAGCTTTTTGTCAGACCCGATGGCAAGTTCAGAAGATTGAGGGAAATTATTAGCTTGAGGAAAAAGTTCAAAGAGAAAGAGATGCATTCTGGGGCCATCAGTTAAATCCCAGTGTCGAGTAGCCTCTATGGGGAGATTTGACGAACAGCAAATGGAGAGTATCTGTGGCCAGGTGCAAGTTGCAGGTGGGAAAGAGAATGGGGGGATTCCAAAAAATGTTACTGAGCCAAGCGTATCAGGAATTCTTAGAACTCCTCATCTCCGTGGATGTTCCTGGCATCGGCCTCTCCCCATATATTAAAATTTAACCCTTACTGGTACCTCCCCTACCCAAGCCAGGCTTGCCAGCCATGTTTTGCATATACATGTTTGTGCTGGACTAATGCTGGGTGCTGTAATAATAGATCAATGCCATAACATAATCTCAGTAGCGTAATAGGACTTTTTTTTTTTTTTTTTGAGACAGGGCCTTGCTCTGTCACCTGGGGAGCTGGGGAGGAATAATGCAGAGGTGAGATGGTGAGATCGTAGCTCAGTGCAGCCTCCAACTCCTGGATGCAAGTGATCCTCCCACCTCAGCCTCCCAAGTAGCTAGGACTACAGGTTCACACCACCACACCTGGCTAATTTTGTTTTGTGGGATTTTTTTTTTTTTACTTTTTGTTCTTTCTTTACATTTTTTTAACTTTGATTTGTTTTTCTTTATTAGTTCTGTCCCTCTGAAGACAAGCTAATCTTATTTTATGTTACCTTATTTATTTATTTATTTATTTAGGTAGAGACGGGGTCTCACTTATGTTGTCCAGGCTGGTTTTGAACTCCTGGCCTCAAGTGATCTTCCTGCTTTGGTCTTCTATGGCAGTAGGATTACAGCCATGAGCCACTGCACCCAGCCTTAATAGGATTTAAATTTATTCCTTGTCCATATAGGAGTCCAAATGCCAATTTGTGGCTGGCATTCCATGTGAGGATTCAAGAACCCAGGCTCCTCCATCCTCCATCTCCAGGGGCTCTGGAGTCCTTCACTTCTAGCCAATGCATGAAGAAAGAGAATAGAGAATTACCTGTGGGGGAATTTCAGTACGACGTCTGGAAGGGACACCCACTTCCACTCACCTCCCATTGGCTAGAACTCAGGCGCACGGCCACGCTGATTGCCGAGGAGGCTGGGAGGTGGGGCTGGCTCTGTGCCCAGGGAAAAGAGAGAACAATTTCTGTAAGTACGTAGCTGTTTATGTCACAGTATTTAAAAAAAGAGTTTGTTCCATAAAATAGATGAAACTCTAACTAAAAACCAGATCACATTAAAGAGTAATTATGTTTACTATTGTGGGATTCTTTGCTTTTAAAAGATCTAGATAAATTGTTTTAACTAGAAGCTCTCCCTTGCTAGTGCATTTAATCAGCCAATCAGCCCCTGTTTTGCCTGGGTCTTTGCTGGATCGGGCAGGTAGAGGAGAGATGGTGATAATGAAATACCTCCTGACCTCATGGAGCTGGATGTATTGGTGTGTGTGCATTTGATTTATAAGATCTTACTAGGGAGATAAGGAGAGTTGGGGCTAAATGAAGGAACATACAAATAAAGGCATCAACCTAGGAGGAGATCTGATTCCATTTATAAATATTCGGCTTACAGATCATATGTCACAGTTGGCCCCCTGGGTCTTTTGAGAAGCCTGCAGCTCCTCCCCACTCTCTGGCCTTGGCTCCCAGGCCTCTTGGCATGTGATAGTTTGTGTTGCTCTCTGTGGTCCACTTCCCCCAGCGCCTGGGCACGGACTAGCCCAGGGCAGGATGGGCCGATGTGTGCAGCTTCTCCTCTTGTCCTGTCATACTTCCAGATGGGATATTATTTGCTGTCTGCTGTCAGGTCTGGTTTCTCTGAGCATCCTGGTTTTCCCATCCTGTCTGTCCCATGGAATGCAGTGCTTTCAGATGATTTTCCCCTGGATGTATGAGCCAGTCACTGTCCTGGTTTCACCCTGTTAGAATTCTTGCCTTCTCTTTGGAGGGAGGAGCAGGGCCAGCCGAGGGACACAGGCAGGGAAGCTAAGAGCAGCAGCAGCTGATGCTGGCCGCGTCCTTGCCTGACCCAAGCACACAGACTCATTTTAACAGCCTCCAGTGATGTCCTCGCCCCATCACCGATGGCTGCCCTCCTGCCTCTTCTTCAGCCCAGCCCCCTTCCTTCTTCTCATTCTTTGGGCCAAGTGGGTTTAATGGGCTGGCCTCGTCCTGGGCTTCTGCTCCTGGAAGAGGGGAATGGATGTTTAATTCTCTTTCCTCTGTACTTTCACAGCCCCCAGGACATGCCCTCCCACCAGGCCAGGGTGGTCTTTCAGGGCATGTTGAATGAATGAATGAATGAATGAATGAACGGATGTGCATGAGGGAGACACTCACCCAGACAGGCCTGTGCTTCTGCAACATGGGATTGTCAGATGGTGGCTTTTAGTCACAGTGTCTGTTCCCATTTTTACTGGTTCAGAAATTTTTTTTTTTTTTTGAGACAGGGTCTCACTCTGTCACCCTGACTGGCATGCAGTGGCATGATCACAACTCACTGCATCCTCAGCCTCCCCAGGTTCAGGTGATCCTCCCACCTCAGCCTCCACAGTAGCTGGGACTACAGGTGCACACCATCACGCCTGGCTAATTTTTGTATCTTTTTGTAGAGATGGGGTTTTGCCATGTTGCCCAGGCTGGGCTCAAACTCCTGGGGCTCAAGCAATCCTCTCACCTGGGCCTCCCAAAGTGCCAAGATTACAGGTGTGAGCCACCACACCCAGCCGATTCAGAATTTTGAAAACAGCACTCTCCAAGTGGACATCTATTCTGCTTTAGCCCCAGCAAGGAACCTTTGCCATTCATGGTGCTGTGTCCCAGCTGTTTCATCCAGAGCTGGCAGACGGGCCATCTCCAACCCTCAGCCCTAGGTAGACGTTGGCTTCAGAATACAGGCTTTAGACCTGGCTCCAAACCCAGCCTTGGAGATGTTGGGCAAGTTGTTTCTCCTTGTTGAGCCATTATCTGTAAAATGGGGATAGGGGATAAGAATATTTACCCTTCATCAGGGTTTGTATCAGGATCAAAAGAGGTATTTCCCTTATGGCACACTTGCTATCACTGGAATTATTTTGTCTCTCCTCATCTACGAGACTTGTTCTCTGCTGCATCCACAGAGCCCAGTGCAGGGCAGGATGTAATAAGTATTTATTGGATGAATTGCCAGAGAAACACCAAACTCAGCATTTGGCGCCTAGTAGGCAGGCATTGAATAGCGGTGATTCCTGTCCACTTTGTCTTCCCTGTCTTCCCCTTCTAGACTGCGAGCTCCTTTGTGTACGGGAAGTGTAACCTCCTCTTTGTCAGGACTTTGTAACCTCTTAGTCCCTTGTATGCAGGAGAAAAACCCAAACAGACCAATAATCATGTAGAAACGAGTCCCTGGGCATCCGAGGATCAGGTCAGGGTCTCCCACAACTGTCCCCCTGGGAGTACAGGGAGCACCCCTAGTTCCCGGCGGGTGGCGCCATCAAGGCACTGCGGGGCTGCGGAGGAGGCAGGGGCTCTAGGTTTAGCATGGTCTAGGGAAGGTCTGCAGTGCAGGCTGGATGCGGGGAGGCCTGGAGAGGTGGAGGCGTGGAGGCATGGAGGCAGGGAGGCGGGAGGAAGGGAAAGCCCTGCTGCTGGCTGTCTCCTCCCCACACTAGCTGTCTCACCAAAGTCTGGCTATTAGTCACTGTCCAGATGTCACTTCCTTTTACCTGCTAGCACCCCTAAGCCCAGAACTTGGGGTTCTCTTTATCTCCGCCTGCCACCCTCCCCAAGCTCTGATCCAACCCTGAGCTTGTGGCTGCTGTGGGGAGTGGAGGTAAAAATGGTAACACCAGAAGTGCACTTACATCAGAATGCTTTAAAAGAATGGAATTATTACTCCCTGGAATGAATTTTAAACCAGACCTTATTGCCTGTATCTGGCCACTGTCAAGAAGGGGAATCCCCTGAGTTGGGCGAGCTATTGGACTTAGAGATTTTGTGAAATGCCTAACACCCATCCTGTCACCTTCAGGGACACTGCAGGAGCGTTGTTTTTTAGGTGCCACCCTGCGCGCCACCTCCCTTCATCCTGAACACTCCTGGATCCTGGAAATGCTCTTGTCCCCGTGGACCGCGCTCCAGCGGGGTCGCGCAGGGGGTTACAGCGGGTGAGAGGGAGCCGCGGGGCGGGGTCCGGGGGGCGCGGGCCGGGGAGCCGGGGAACAGAGACGCGCCTGTCCCGCCCCGCGCCCGCCGCACCTGTCCCGCCCCGCGCCCCCCGCACCTGTCCCGCCCCGCCCCGCGCCCCCCGCGCCCCCAGCGCCCTGCTCCTCCTCCACTGGCACCGCCGCGCGCCTGGAAGAGGAGCCGAGCTCTTGTCGCTCGCCGGGCCGGGTTGTAAACAAACACTGGAGCGGCGCCGCCCGCGCAGCAGATGGCTCCGCAGCTGCCTGTCGGGCGGGGCCTCCTTCTCGGCGCCGGCGCGGGGACGCGGAGCTGAGCGCTGCCCTCGGCCGGGGACTCCCTTCGGGCGCCAGCCCGGCTCCAGTTCGCTGGGGGCTGGAGAGGGAAAACGCAAGCCAGAGTCTCCGGGGCGCTCATACCTTTTACTTCCGTCATTCGTTCCTTCATTCATTCGCTCAACAAAGATTTCTGAGGCGCCAGGACCGCGCTGGGCCCGGCCTACACGACGCTGGCCAGCGCAGGGGGTCGCAGCTTGGGGAGCGCAGGGGCAGAGCGCCCAAACCGCGGGAGCCCTCGAAACCCTGGCCGCCACGCCGTGGATGCAGGCTCTGGGATGCTGGGCCTGAAAAGCTCTTGGTCTGGATAGGAGGCCTGGGATTGGATTCAGGCACAGGTGGGTGAGAGCCTGGTCCTGCCCCGCTTTCTGGCCCAAGGGCTTGGGCCGCTATTTCAACTTTCTGAGCTTCAGTTTCCTGTTCTGTAAAGCGGGGATAATCCCACCCACCTGGCTGCGAAGTTGTACAGATTAAGAACAATGTGCATTTGTGTTTTCTTCTGTACACCTTCGCGTTTTCTAAATATCCCACAGTGACTATACATTCCTTTCTTTTTTTAAAAATTTTACTAAGTTCTGGGATACATGTGCAGAACATGCAGGTTTGTTACATAGGTATACATGTGCCGTGGTGGTTTGTTGCACCTATCAACCCGCCATCTAGGTTTCAAGCCCCGCATGCATTAGGTGTTTGTCCTAATGCTCTCCCTCGACTTGACCCCAGCCCACGACAGGCTCCGGTGTGTGATGTTCCCCTCCCGGTGTCCATCTGTTCTCATTGTTCAGCTCCCACTTATGAGTGAGAACATGTGGTGTTTGGTTTTCTGTTCCTGTGTTAGTTTGCTGAGAATGATGGCTTCCAGCTTCATTCATGTTCCTGCAAAGGACATGAATTCATCCTTTTTTATGGCTGCATAGTATTCCATGGTATATATGTGCCACATTTTCTTTATCCAGTCTATCACTGATGGGCATTTGGGTTGGTTCATTTACGTAGCAAATAGCCTTTGCTATTGTAAATAGTGCTGCAATAAACATACGTGTGCATGTGTCTTTATAGTAGAATGATTTATAATCCTTTGGGTATATACCCAGTAATGGGATTGCTGGGTCAAATGGCATTTCTGGTACTAGATCCTTGAGGAATCGCCACACTGTCTTCCACAATTACATTCCTTTCAAAATGAGAAAAAAAATGTTGCAGGAGATTCACTCTCCCTCCCTACTTAAAAATTCACCCATTCCGACTTAAAGATACCACCGCCTCCCACATGGGTCACGCTGGGTGCTGGCAGAACACAACTCAAATGGGGGAGACCCAGTCCGATATTTAGTCCTCGAATATTCTAGAATAGATCCTGGGACTAAAATAAGTTGGGGATGAAGGTGGTCATTTAGAGTTAAAGGCAACACATGTGCCACAGACATATGACAAGACACAGACACAATGATTTTCAAGCTATTTTCTTTCTCTTCCTTCATTTAACAAGCACTCATTACACCTTCAATGTCTGTCAGATGCGGCAGGTGCTCAGCGCTGTGATTCATGTCTGTGCATTGTGTCCTCAGGAACTCCTCATTTAGTAGTAAGAGGTAGGTATGAATGTAATAAAAGGTTAAAAAAAGGCCCAAGGCCCCACTGAAGGAGTCAGGAAGAGCATTGTGGAGGAGGTGAGGTTTGACAGGTGGGCATTGAAGGTGAGGACAGGAACAGATGGTGACGTCAGACCAAGCTTGGACACAGTCGCCAATGGAGCCTGGGTCCTTCCTTCATTCCACCCAACACAGGGACTCCTGCTGAACAAAACTACACCCGCCCAGCCTCTGTGACCGTGGGAACTCATGGGAATGCCTCACATGTGTGAAATGAGGGCAAAACACTTACCTCAGCGTGTTGTCGTGAGGATGAGCCACGACGATGCACTTGACAAGGGCAGAACACTGGGACTACTGGACAAATGTCACTTCTCGTCCATTTGTTCATTCATTCATTCGAAAGGTGGTTTTTGAGCCTCTCCTTTGTGTCAGGCCCTGTTTGTTTCAAAGCAGTGAACAAAACAGACAAAAAGCCCTCTCATGCAAGCTTACATTCTAGTGGGGGAGGGAGACAGAGAATACCAGAAATAAATAAGGTATCTAGTGAGTTAGACAGTGACAAGTGTGACAAAGACACATAAAGCAGGCAGTGTGGAGTAGGGGGGCTCCTTATAGAGTAATTGATGTTATTCCTTATTCTTTAGTTTGGGTGACAAATAGGATCCATGAAGAGAGGGAGAGTCATAGGAAAATGTTTTGTGCTTCGATTGGGTCGGGGCATCAAGAACGGCTTTTGAGTAAGGATGTGATTTGGGCTGTGCTTCAAGATGGTGACATGGCTGCACCTTGTACGCAGATTGGACAGGCAGCCAAGGACAAGGCGTCAGACGTGGGCTGGTGGGCACCAACGTGGGGGTAGAATCCACCTTGCCTGTGGGTTTCTTAGCCTGGACTGGGAGAAGTGAGACTAGAGACCTGAAGGGTGAGACTAGAGGCCTGAAAGGGGCCAAGAGAGCTGCATCCTCCCAGCTGATCCCCTGGCTGGAGCCTGAGCAGACGGGAGGAGCAGGAAGGCAGATGCACCCAAGACTGCAAGACATGGAAAAGGGCTCAGGCTCCCTCTCCCATTGAAGAAAAGGTAGTGGGGTCACACAGGGTATGAGCACCCTTCAGACTTCACCTAAATCAATGGTGACATTAATTGCTGCACTTGTGTGGCTGCCTCTGTAGACCACTCAGCTTCCAGAACGCAGTGGCCCCAGTGACCTGCCCTTCCCCAGTTCCGGGGAAGCTGGGGTCAGACAGCCAGAGGTGCCTTTATGGGGGTGGTGCTCTTTGAGGAGTTGCATTTGGGGTAGATGAACATCTCCAAACCAAGTGCCAAGAGCCTGCCATGTGCACAGAAATGTCTGCCCACCCTTTTGACACTTTCCGGGTGAACACAGGGGATGTTTACCCAGGAGTTCTCAGAAGAGCCTGTGCGCTGCCGGCGTTCTGGAGCAACTGGGGAACCCACGTTTAGCAATGTGGAGAAGGGAAGGAGATGGGAAAGGAAGGCACTTGTGGGAAATGTAAATTACAGCAATGTAAATAAAGAGCTTCCCAGTAAACGCATAAATAAAAAGCAGGCAGCAATCCCCTGGGAATAGTAATCAGGCTCATTTTGCTTCTGCCTCCCAGTCTGGGGAGCGCAGCAGGACGCCTCCGGAAGCCTCTCTCATCTAGCGCTCCTAGAGGAGGAAGCTCCCCAGCCCCAGCAGCACTGGGTCCAGGAGGAGTCGGGACGTCGTCCACGGCCTCCTATGGGGCATCCAGCAGGGGGCGCCGGTGAGAAGTGGGGCGGGAGAGGAATCCTGAATCGAGACCCAAGGGCTGCACAGGCCCGGAAGCAGGGGGAGGGGGCCTTCAGACAGGCTTCCTGTTGTTGCTACTTGAAATTAGTTTGCCTGGAACACAAAGTGTATGGAGCGGGGGTATGAAGGAAATCAGGTTTTACGAGGAGGTTGTGTGACCAGAACTGTGATCCAGGTTCCCCAGCCCAGGCCTTCTTGCCCACCCCCGACCCATGGCTTTCCTCCCTGTGCAGTGGACTTCGGGGCCCGCTGTGCTGCCTCTACCAGGGGAGGTCACCACGAGGCTGTGCAGGTCATTCTGGAAAGCCCATGTGCCCTGTGCAAGCAAAGTCCTAGGTGAATCCAGGAGGCCCCCGTCCATGCAGTCACCTCCAGCTCCAAACCTGTTATTTGTCAGACAGAGCTGTCCTGGGACGTGGATTTGGGGGCAGCGGCCAGACTTCCCAGAGGGGCTGCTGTGCTGTGAGGCGGGGCGGGCGGAACCCCATGCCGCTCCCTGCAGGGCTGAGGGAGGCCTGTGGCTCTCCTAGACCCAGGAGCCTCCTCAAAGACACCCCTTGACCTGCCTCTAGGCAGGCTCCCCTGAGCCCTCAAGGCCCCGACCTTGGGCTCTGGCCTTGGCCTGCTTACTCCAGTTTTAGCAAGAATCCTGCTGGGTCAGGATTTTAGTGAAAATCCCCCACCCTTGATATCTGATCAGATGCCTCCTCCCCCACCCTAGGGATCTTATTGCCTTGGCCTGCCTGCAGCCTCCATGTTTCCTCTTAGTGATATCCTTTCATCCACCCCACGCTGCTTCTGGGCTGTGAATCTCTACTTTCTTTGTTGTCATCAGAGTTGAGCCCAATCTCTCTCACTTCCTGGAAAACTCCAGGGTAGTAGTCCCTATACTTGGGTGGCAGTCCCCCTGAATAAAGTCAGCCTTACCATTTTAATAAGTGTCGGGAATAATTTTTTATTTAATACCTCCTCCCACAAACATCCAAGCAAAGCCTCTGGGTGTGGCCATCTGCTTGTCTACAGCCCCCTCTGGCTGTGTTTTGACATTCCCCTCCTGCAGAGAAGACAGGATTGGCCTGAGCCCAGGCTTCCACTAGCCCACAGGGCCTTTGCATGAATTAGGAAAGGGCCTCTTCCTTGGGTGGCTCACCTTAGTGTGACCTGGACACCTGTATGAGGTGGGCTGGCCCTCCTCCTCCCAGGAGCTCCCAGGGCCCCAGTGAGCACCACCCTGGCAGCCCCCGCCCTCGGACCCTCACCCACACCAGCAATATCACACCCCGTCCACCCACACTTCCTTCCTCCTTCCCACCCACCAGCAAGAATAGGCAACTGTTCTGGGTTGTTCCCTCAATGGGGGCAGGAATTGGGTTTCCTAAAGGGCTGGCAGGAAGGAGAAGTGACTGCAGGTCCCTCCCGGAGCATGGCTGGGATAGGGCCCTATGAGGCAGGCATGCGTGTGTGCTTATAACATTGCCAGGTGGATTTATGTAGCTCTTCACTGCTACTGCAGGACTCTGTGCCCACCCATGCACTCTCAGATAAGTTGATCTACAACGTAAATGGCACCCCTCCCCAGGACATTGCATATTTGGGCAGTGTGCAACTTGAACACCGGTACATGGACAGATTTCTTGTACAGGGCACATAGTCCTTGAGTCAGGCTTCAGGCCTTGCAGCTTCTGGTGGTCATCAGAGGAAGGTTAGTAGTTAGGACAAACTTACTGTGCGCTCTCTCTTTTCACCTCTGGTCCTGCTCAACACTTGCTGCCCAGATGTGGCTTGCTTTGGAACAATGGCCATGTCCAGAAGAGGGAGGGGGATATGGCTCCCCTTGCATGCAATTCTCTCAAACCTCTGACTTCATTTAACCACCCGCAATGACACCTGCCAGCAACCATGACAGTGCATGCTTGGAACTTTCACCCTTTGATTCCCCACCCAGCATTCCTACCATATTTTATTTCGCACAAAACAGTGTTATCACATAATGTTAGAGGAAATATAAAGAAGGAAAAACATCCACTCCAGTTCTGTCTTTGTAGCCCATTGGTTCAGCAGTTCTTTGCATTTTCCCATGTTCCCTCCAGAAAGCATGTTTGTGCATGGCTGAAAACTCCGTATACACATGTTAAAATCATCAAATTCTAGAGTGCGGAAAGACCTAGGTAATATCTCGCCTTCTCTTCCCTGCTTAGGTGGCATGGTGGGGATGTTTGCTGGAGAGAAGGAATGGCAAAAAGTGAAGTCATGTGGACTGGGGGATGTTTTTATTTTTATCCACAGGACAGCACAAGTGAATCTTGGTCCCTGTGGGAATTCTCAGGAACAGAGGGCTAGAAACAGATTTGATCAATGAAAGCTGGTTCCAGAGAGAACAAGCCGTTGATAAATTCTAGTACTGCCAGTCAATCAGAGCTCATCTGTTTCTGGGAGCCAGAGTCAGGAAGTGGGTGCAGGAGGCGCAGCACCTGCTGGAAGCCGGTGACCAAGACCTGCAGGGATGCCGCCCATCCTCCTGCCATGAATCATTCATTACCTCCTCTGTCTGGGAATGGGGAAGAGATGCAGCTCTCTGGGAGCCAGCTTTCTTTCTAATTAGCACCAGAAGGACCTGGGATTGATCTCTGCTGTGGTTGATGGGTTTACCCTTGTGGCAGGGGAGTCAGGCCGCTCACGGGAGATGGTTAAGCGTGCTGGGCCGGAGACCTTGGGGTTGCTTAATGCAGAGACTTTAGAGACTTTGGAAATAAAATAAGCCCCTTGCCCCTAGCCCTTGCCATCTATGTTTTTTAAGTAGCAAGATGACTGAGGCCTGGATGAGGAAGTGATTCCTCCACAATGGCACATGGCAGCCTATAGCGGATCCCAGCCTGCTGCTCCTGCGCAGTGTCTGCGGGGCTCAGAAGGAAGCCTGCGGTCCCTTGGGAGTCATTGGCTGCACCCTGGGTGCACAGGGTGGCGCGTGGGGGGGTCAGCTGGGCTTCAGCCCCTCCCACCTAGGCTGGACCCCGCGCAGTGCTCTCTGGCACCCCTGACTGAGCCCCTCAGCACTGTGACCAAACATGCCAGACACGCAGCACAGGCCGGGGCTTCAGCGGTGCAGGTGCCCAACAGCCCAGAAGGCTTTCTGCAGGTGGCCAGGAAGCCTAGGAGAGTTTAGCCCCTGCTAGGGGTGCGGGAGTGGGAGGACGGCGGGCAGCAGAGGAATCCTAACGAGCCCTCTAGAGGTCCCCAAGCTTTCCCGGAGTGTGCTGCTCTGGGCTCACTCCCGGTGGGCAAGGCCATTCCAACTGGAAACAGGGGTCGGGGTGGGGGTGGGGAAGAGAGGAGAGGACACCAGCTTTAACTCAAGGTGCGGGCAATGGGGAGAGAAAACCAGGGGGAGAGAGAACTGGGCTCTGGGCTCCCCCACAGGCCAGACAGCCAAAGCCTCACGTCCAGGAACGGGGCTGAAGGAGATGCCCCCACCCTCAGCACACCCATCCCTTCACCAACTCACCCATTCAACAGAGCCTTACCTCGCGCCATCTGCATGCCAGATGCCAGCCAGTGTCGGTCCGGGAGATTCCACAGGGAACTGGACACACAAATTTCCTATCTTCGAGTTTGCATTTTCGTGGGGAAGGCCATAAACAAACAAAAGAGACATTTTCATTTCAGATGACAAGTGCTCTGGGAAACAAGAGCTGGGGGACAGATAGTGCCTTATGGGATGGGGGTGTTGTTTTAGATTCGGGAGTCAAGGGAGGCCCCTCTGAGCTGCTATCCTTGAGCAGATACCTCGGTGGTGGGAAGGAGCACATCAGATCCAAGAAGCCTTCCAGGCAGGAGACCCCAAGCGCAGCTCCCCTGGGGTGGGAACCTGCTTGGAGAGTGGAAGGAGCAGCAGGGAAGCCAGTTTGGTTGGAGCAGAGGGGGTGAGGGGTCTGGGGAAGGGGACAGAGAGGCAGGCGGTGGAAAGAACATTGGATTTTATGCTGAAGTATAAGACTAAGCGTTGAGGGGAGGGAACTTAGAGGACGAATCAACAGGTGCAGCAAACCACCATGGCACACGCATACCTGTGCAACACGCCACCGTGGCACACGCGCACCTCTGTAACAAACCACCATGGCATATGTATACCTATGTAACAAACCTGCACGTTCTGCACGTGTATCCCGTTTTGTTTGTTTGGGTTTTTTTTTGTTTTTGCTTTTTTTTAGAAGAAACACAGAAAAAAAGGCTAAGCTATTGGAGGGCTTTCAGCACTGGAGGGCTGCAGTCTTATTTCAACCTCAAATCCTTCATTCTGGCTGCTGTGTAGGGTGGAGGCAGTGGGGAAAAGCTGCTCGTGAATGGAGTCAGTTAGTATCAGCCAAGGAGATGAGAAGGGAGAAGCCGGCAGATGCAGACATACGTTCTGCAGGTGGGGTAAGAAGGATCAGGCATGGGGCGTGAGGAAAAGAGGAGCCAAAGATTTGCCTTATTTTTTTGGCTTGAGCAACTGGATAATGTGATGGTGTCCTTTACTCCGCTGGGGAAGCCCGAAGGAAGAACAGGCCTGGAGGGGAAAACTTAGGAGTTCAGTTTTGAATTTGGAAAGTTGGAGATGCCTGTGAAACACCCCTGGGGAAGTGTAGGGCTTGGAGATGTCACTTTGGGAGTCATCAGTATCTAGATAATGTTAAAATCCATGGTCGGAAGGAAAGTACCGAGGGGGAGACTGGAGAGACAGGCAGCTGCCGAGGTCTGAGCTTGCCATACCTGGAGGACAGGAGGTGGGGGAACCAGCAGGGTGATCGGGGGCCAGTGAGCTAGAAGCAAACCAGGAAGAAGAAGTGTCTGGAACCCAAGGGAAGAAAGGAGTCTAGCAGATGGGGGGTGATCCACTGAATTAAATGCTACAACAAGGCCAAGGGAGAGGGCTGCTGAGAGCTGGACATCAGACTTGGGAGGACTAAGGGCTTTGGTGACTTTTTGGCAAGAATGAGAGACTGGCAGGGGCTGCTAGTCAATACTGGTAGTTTCTTTGAGACGTTCTGCTCCAAGGCGAAACAGAGAATTAAGGGCCATAGCTGGAGGAGATGTGAGGTCAGAGGATGTTTTCATTTTTGAAATATCTGGGCTGTTATTCTGAGGATGAGGGTGACCACCAGAGAGAAGAGTGGGTGGTGCAGGGAGGAGTGGGGAGCAGCACTGGGGAATGGGGGATAGGTGTTGAGGAATGGGGCCAATGGTTCTGGGGACATGGTCATCCGTCTGTGGGGACATGAGGGAAGAACAGGCAGAGGGCATGTAAGCGAGTGGCTGGTGGTAGAAAACGGAAGCCCTTCTCTACCAAACAGCTCTTCTCTTTGAAAGAAAAATATCCACAAGTGTTCTTTTCCTGCCCAGTAGTTTCTTTTCTCTTTCTTCATAGCTTTTCTGGGATATCAAGTCAGGTTCTCTCTCTCTTTTTTTTTTTTTTTTAAATAAAATGAAAGCTCTTTCTCTCTTCTGTTTCCCTCTCTTTTCTCCCTTTTCTGTCCCTTGGATTTGGCTGGGGACCTAAAAATGTTTCTGTCAACAAACTTGTCTTTTTCTCATTGTTCTTCATAGAGTTGTAGACTGTCGGAGCTGGAAGGGATCTCCGAGACCATCATCCAGGCCCATCCCCTTATTTTACACTGATGAGGAGATCGTGGGGCTTGGAGGGACGAAGTGACTCGCTCCAACCAGGACTTAATGTGAATGCCACGATTGCTGAGATCAGCCGCGATCTCGACGATAGCTGATGTTGGCCATATTCTTGAATCCTGTCGCAGTTACATTGCCCCTCCCTGTATCTGGCACGCTTGTCTCTGTTACTCAGCCAGCTTCACTGAATCTGCGTGTCTCCGTGTGCTAGCCACAACAGCACCGGCCCTGGGAGTAGGAGGGGAATCCATTCCTGATATTCCTTTGTAAATGTTTCTGTTTTGCAAGTGAAAACCCCGAGGACTGGAGCGTGTTGCTCAAGGCCAGGGAGCAGCTCCTAGTGGAAATGCGAGATCTCTGTGGTTGCAGCAATATGATTTCCTCACGAGGGGCCCGGGAAAGGCAATGGACGCTATATTTTGCAATGGTAAATTGAGGCACAGAAGGGGGAAATGTCCTTCTAGCCTCTCTGCAGCAGACACAGTCTTTCTCTCCTGGCTGTGTGTATGCGCTGTTTGCCCCTTAGTGACTCTTGAAGGCCTTTTAAAGCTAAGTAGGAAAAGACTAGAAAAATTCTGCCCAACAGATTTGGTTAACTTTTTTTTCTTCTTCTTTCTCACCCATCATTGAGAGAATGTTTTTGGTTTTTATCAGCCAGGTGTTTCCAGTGTTAACACTGGTGCCTCCCCTGCCAGCCCACGGGGAGGTGGGCACCTCAGCCAGCCTTGGCAGCCCTTCTTGCAGGATGGGTCTCGCTGCCAAGCCTGCTCCAGGGCCTTGATCCATTTCCCTCTCTCTGGGGCTCCCCAGTAAAAAATCCCTCTTAGTGGTGTCAGTAGGGTCTTCAGCTCTTGGTAGGTCTTCACGTACAGCCACCCCTGGAGGAGGCTAATTCCCGCAGCCCCCTGCAGAGAGGCGCAGGGAGCAGCCAGCCCCGGGTCAGGGGCTGTGTTCCATCAGGCATCCACCTGTTCACAAATAGACTCAAATAAAGTCCCAGCCTGGAAGGGCTCTGAACCCTCCTGCCGGGTCATGTCCTGAGAAAAGGGGGAACAGATAGAGGTTTTGGCTACTCTCCAAACAAGAATTAAAAGAGGCAGCAGAGATGCCAAGAGCAGGTTTCATTAAGCCAGTGGGTGCCTTGCAGCCATTAGAACCCCAGGTGCCTTTTCCGAGAATAAGCTGCTCTGCAGTGCAAAGGCAGACAGAGCATCCATTCCAATGGGCTCCTGAGCAACCCAGAACCCAGAGCCCTTTCCTCCCCAGAAAAGCTTCTTGCCACCAAGGCCAGCCACTTCAGCAGGGTGACCTCCAGAATACCACCTAGGGCATAGTCACGGGATCTTGTTCCGACTCGTCTTCAGCAGACACCCTGTTGATCTCATTGATAAGAGCCTGCAGCCACCTCAGCCACTGTGCACCTGGGCAGCCAGCCAAGCCCACTTAATTGACAGACAGGCGGGGCCGGCTGGAGCGAGTGGGCAGGACAGTGCCATGGGGCAGGGGTAAGGAGGGGGAGGCCAGCGAGAGGACAGAGCAGAGGCTGTAGGCCTGGCCCAGAACCACGCAGAGCCAGGGGCAGCGCCAGGCATCAGCCACCGGGAGGTCTGGGGCTTCACAGGACAGGGGGTAGCACAAACCCTGCAGACCAGAGGCCTGCGGAGTCCAGAGTCACCCAGGAAGGGGACTCAGCCTCCAGGGCTCCCTTCATTTGTAGAGACCCCTGGGCTAGCTCTTCTCCAACCTCACCGTGCATCCGAATCCTCGGGGGCCTTTAAAAATACACATCTCCAGGTTTCGCCGAGGCACTCAGACACGTAGGAGTTGGTCCCAGGAACCTGTATTTTTAACACACGCTCAGGTGTCCTTGCTGTCTGGTATTGCTATACATATTAAGAGACCTCGATATGCGTTTCTGCAAGTCTGAAACCATTTCATCAAAGGAGCACAGGGACTCTGGTGGGCGGGGCGGGGAGAGAAGGCAAGGCCTCCAGAAAGCAGTAGTTTCCCTCCCCCTGGCGAGAAGACCTGAACTTCCTTCCTGAGTCGTCTGCCCTAAACAGCTTGATGTTTCAGAACTGCAGGCAAAGAATGTTGAGAAACAAGGGCCGGATTCCCCTTGCTGATGGTGTGAGGTGACCTGTCGGTGAGATACGGAAGTTCAGCCCCATAGTGTCTAGGCGCTAGGCTTCCCCAGGGCTGAGTGTTACCAGCTCAACAGGTGGCTTTCTGGCTGCTGCAGTGACTGAGCGTGGGGGGTGTGTGATCGAAGGATACAGACAGTCCCCTTGTTATCACTCTGGGTTGCTAAAGAGGTGGAGCTATTCAGGGTTGCAATCAGGAGAACACAGGCGCTGGAGGCTGACATGTCTGTGTTTGAGAATTTTCTTGGCAAAGCAGGTAACTCCTCTAAGTTTAGAGTCCCCATCTGTAAAACTGGGACTTTCAACACTAATCAGAAGGTTGTAAAGATTAACTGAAAGAAGTGTCATCCACTGAGCCTGTTCCTGGGATCATGTAGTGAGATTCAGTAATCGCATGTTCACTGTTGTTAAGGCCAATTTTTTTATGGTAAAATACATATATTAAATTTACCATTTTAACTATCTGTAAACGTATCGTTTGGTGGCATTAAGTACACTCGCGCTGTTGTGCAACCATCACCACTATCCATCGCCAGAACTCTTGCATCTTCCCAAACTGAAGCTCTGTCTCCATCAAACAACAACTCCTCATGCCCCCTTTTCCCAGCCCCTGGCAACCCTCATTCTACTTTCTGTCTCTATGAATCTGGCTGTTCTAGGGACCTCACAGATGTGGAATCATGTGGAATTTGTCTTTTTGTGACTGGTTTCTTTTTCATGGAAAATGGGCCAATGACATATTTGAAATGTAGTTTATATTTGCATTAAAGCAGTAAATGTACACAGTAGTGGAATCACCATCCTACTCGTGAAGCCCATGAAAGCCACATGGTATCCCTGATGAAAAATTGAAAAATAAAATATTCTTAACATATCTTTTGTGTTACAACTGGTTTCATGAACTCTGCTTCCCCTCCCAGCTTTATTGAGGTGTAGTTGACAAAAGGAAACTATGTATTAATGGTGTACTGTGTGATGTTTTGATACACTGTGTATACATTGTGAAATGATTCCCGCAAGTAAGCTAATTAGTGTAGCTTCCCCTCGCATAGTTATTTTTTTCTTGCTGTGAGAATATTTAAGATCTATTCTCTTAGTAAATTTCAGGTAGACAATATGTTATTAACTATAGTCACCATGCTGTGCGTTAGAGCTCCAGAACTCTTTCATCCTGCCGAATTGAAACTTTGTGCCCTTTGACCAACACCCGCCCCCCATTTCCCTTCTCCCCAGCCCCTGGCACTCACCGTCCTCCTCTCTGCTTCTATGAGTTTGAGTTGTTTAGATTCCACACATAAGCGAGATCATGTAGTATTTGTCTTTCTGTGCCTGGTTTATTTCACTTAGCATAATGTCCTCCAGGTTCATCCATGTTGTTGCAAATCACAGGATTTAAATATCTTTTAAGGATGAATAAGACTCTATTAAACATTTATCTATGTATCTATATCTTTATCTGTCTCAGATTTTCTTTGTCTATTCATCCATGGATGGCCACTTAAGTTGATTCCTTATCTTGGCTATTGTGAATAAGCGGCTGGCTTATTTCACTTAGCACTACATCTTCAAGGTTTATCATGTTGTAGCATGTGTCAGAATTTCCTTATTTTTTATAACTGAAAAATATTCTGCTGTATGTAATAACCACATTTTCTCTATCCATTCATCCACCGGTGAACACTTGAGTTACTTCTACCTTTTGGCTACTGTGAATAATGTTGCTAGGAACATTATAATGTTCATATAAAGGGTACAAATATTTCTTTGGGTCCCTGCTTTCTTCTTTTCTTTTACTCTCTTTCCTTTTCTTTTTCTTCTTTTGAGACAGAGTCCCACTCTGTTGCCCAGGCTGGGATGCAGTGGTACAACCTCGGCTCATTGCAACCTCTGTCTCCTAGATTCAAGTGATTCTTCTGCCTCAGCCTCCTGAGTAGCCGGGATTACAGGCACGTGCCACCATGCCCAGCTAATTTTTGTATTTTTAGTAGAGACGGGGGTTTCACCATATTGATCAGGCTGGTCTCAAACTCCTGGCCCCAAGCAATCTGCCCACCTCGACCTCCCAAAGTGCTGGGATTACAGGTGTGAGCCACCGTGACCAGCCTGAATCCCTGCTTTAAATTCTTTTGGGTATATACCCGGAAGTGGGATTGGATTATATGGTAATTCTCTGTTTAACTTTTTTGAGGGACTGCATACTGTTTTCTACAGCAGCTGCACCACTTTACATTCTCTCAACAACAGCGCACAAGGGTACCAGTTTCTCTGCATCCTTGACAACACTTGGGATTTTCTGTTATTTTGATAACAGCCATCCTACTCTGGCTGTGGCTATTGTCTCTTTTCTTTTTCTTTTATTTTTTAACTTACAAGTGATGAGACACAGTAAACGTTTACTTTCTTCCATTTTCCTTGTGGTAACCCCCAAGTCACACCAGTGCACTGCCTCTGTGGTGGAGACTGTGGAAATTCAATAAGGAAGGGAGCAGGAGAAAGATAGGAACAGGAGAAAGACCTGATGTGGTTGGTGTTGTGGAGTTTTCATGATGATGGCTAGACTCAAGCATCTTCTCCGAGCTGTCCGCAACACTCAGCACTATACACACATTGTTTAATTTAACCCTCCCAATAATTCTAGGAGGTCAGTAGTAGTATTATCTCTGTTTTATAGCAGAGGAAATGGAAGATTAAAAGAGAAAATAGTTTTATAACTAGTCACACAGACCCTAAGAAGTAGGAACCTAGATGGTGATAGCTGCCCATCCTCCCCTCTGGCATTATTGGGACAATCAAAATCAGATTGATATATTTAATATCTTTAAGAGTGGCTTGAGGCCATGCACAGTGGCTCACACCTATAATCCCAGCACTCTGGGAGGCCAAGATGGGTAGATCACTTGAGGTTAGGAGTTCGAGACCAGCCTAGTCAACATGGTGAAACCCTGTCTCCACCAAAAAATACAAAAATTAGCCAGGTCTGGTGGTGTGTGCCTGTAGTCTCTAGCTACTCAGGAGGCTGAGGCAGGAGAATCACTTGAACCTGGAGGCAGAGGTTGCAATGAGCTGAGATCGTGCCACTGCACTCCGGCCTGGGCGACAGAGCGACACTTCCTCAAAAAAAAAAAAAAAAAAAAAAAAAAAAAAAGAGTGATTTGAGGGTGGAAATGGTAACACAAAGGGCAAATAAGGGAATGTTACAAGTAAGCAAAGATCACTGGAGTTGAGCTTAGAAAGATGTTGTCTTTCAGCCTGCTACCTATCTTCTCTAAGCCTTCATTTTCTCATCTGTAAAATGAGAAAATTGGCTGGGTGCAGTGGCTCACGCCTGTAATCCCAGCACTTTGGGAGGCCGAGTTGGGTGGATCACAAGGTCAGGAGTTCAAGACCAGCCTACCCAACATGGTGAAACCCCGTCTCTACTAAAAATACAAAAAATGAGCCCAGAGTGGTGGCATTCGCCTGTAGTCCCAGCTGCTTGGGAGCCTGAGGCAGGAGAATCACTTGAACCCAGGAGGCAGAGGTTGCAGTGAGCTGAGATCATGCTATTGCACTCCAGCCTAGGTGACAGAGCAAAAAAAAAAAAAATCAGAAAATCATTACCCTGCCTGCTTATAAGACAGCGTTGTTGGGAGGATGATCTGAGGGAATATATGTAGATGTGTTTGCCATAAAGTACACTTCATGCTGACCTTGGCGATGGAAGGGCCCCAGGTGTGTCAGCTGAAAAATCACACAATTGATGAATTTAGAAAGGAGAGCTTTATTTCTTAAGAAGGAGATCGCAAACTGCAGGCGGGAAGTGCAACCACTGGTTGAAAACCAAAAGCAAGGACTTTTTTGCTGAAGGGGTTGGCTGAGAATACATATTCAACAGGTTCTGGGAGGAGCTATGAATATTCATGAAGGGGGAATGCATGCACGCATAGTAAGCAAACATGCACTTTATGTTCCATGTTCATTTTTGGTTGGAGACTTAACATTTAAATGCATTACAGTTAGGTTCTGTACGTTAAAAGGTGAGGCAAGGACATGAAGGCCCTCAGTGCTCAGCCTCTGTAAACCAGCCAGAACCAGTCCACGGTCAGTGGTCTTATCAGGAGAAAGTTACTGAAATCAGTCTCTTGTCCAATCAAAGCTGTAGTTACAGCTGGTGGAACAGGGGTTCGGTTAGTCACTGTCTGGTGGAGCTGCAAGTGGTTTACTATTGCTTATCTTGAGGCAAGTGTTGTTTAGCTGCTGGAGAAAAAGAAGAACCCTGTGACAGTTAGAGCTTAGTTGATTCTTTAAGTGTAGGTGTGCCTGACTTCACCATTGCCTGCACGGCCTTAGGTCCTGTTTATAATTGGGTATCTTATCACCACAGAGTCTGTTCTGTCAGTCTTATGATCTCTGCTTTGGCATTAATGCTGGTCAGTTGTTTCTAGTGTTTAAATGAAAACGGGAGTATGTATAATGAGGTGCATCCAACCTCCTGTCCTGTCATGGGCGGGAACTTAGTTTTTAAGATTTCTCTGGGGTTCCCTTGGCCAAGAGGTGGGTGGGACCATTCAGTGGTTTGGGAGGCTTAGGATTTTATTTTTAGTTCTCAGGTGGGAACACCTTTTCATTCAGTAGAGATTTCCTGGACTGACTCTGCCCAGGGGAAGTGCAAGACCCAGTGCCTGCCCTCCAGGGGCTCTGCAGCTGCTGGGGCAGAGACTGAGGCTCAGGGGACGTAAAACAAACTCCTCAAGGTCAAACGTGAAGGAGGGACTTCCAGAGAGTCCTGGGTAGGTAAAGGAGGAAGAGGTCAGGGTCGGCTCCCTGAAGGAGCAGGAAGAGGAGGCTGGGTGGCCCAGGAGGAGATGGACGATTTCCTAGACTTGCAGCCATCCAGCCGCTTAGCTCCAAGCATGTGAGCTGAGTTCCTGCTGCAGGGGAGACTCACTCCCAACACCCCACCTCGCATCCTCACCAGTGTTTGAGTGCTCACGCTAAGAGTGTTCATCTTTTTTTTTTTCTCTTCCTCTTCAGTAAAGACGCATTGGGCATATATTATTTATGATAATTAAGTTAATATTTTATATTGTATAGGTTTAAATATTTTATCCTCCCATAATGCATGGAGTTCCTAGGGAGCCCTGCGTGTTCTGAGTACTCTGTGGAGGTCTCCAACCAGGACCCCTCTGGGTGGGCCCCAGCCCCCCAGGGCTGGCAAGAGCACTACAGCAGCACAAGCCTGGGGTCCACCACTGCCCTGGGCTCGTGGGGCTGGCCAATCTCAAGTCTCCTGCACCCTGCCTCACTGAGTTCCAGAGACCTGGCAGGAAGAGGAGTGCAGGGAGGACTCTTCTGGGCCTAAGTGCTAGGGAGGCCCAGGGAGCTGCCTTCCCCATTTCTGCCAAGGCAGGGGCCATGGAAGGGTCCACTGCTGGGATCCAAATGTTAGTCCAGGTAGCACATCCCAGATCTGGGAAAATCCGAAATCCAAATGCTCCAAAATCTGAAGCTTTTTGAGCACCCACATGATGCTCAAAGGATATGTTCATTGGAACATTTCAGATTTCAGATTTGGGATTTTTGGATTTGGGATGTTGTACTAATCCATTTTCATATTGCCATGAAGAAATACCCAAGACTGAGTAATTTATAAAGAAAAAGAGGTTTAATGGACTCACAGTTCCACCTGGCTGGGAGGCTTCACAATCATGGCAGAAGGCAAAGAAGGAGCAAAGTCATGTCTTACATGGTGGCAGACAACAGAGTATGTGCAGGGGAACTGCCCTTTATAAAACCATCAGATCTCATGAGAACTCACTCACTATCTTGAGAATAGCACGGGAAAAATCTGTCCCCACGGTTCAGTTACCTCCCACCGGGTCCCTCCCATGACATGTGGGGATTATGGGAGCTACAGTTCAAGATGAGATTTGGGTGGGGACACAGTCAAACCATATCAGATACTCAACTAGTATAATGCAAATATTTCAAGATAAAAAAAAAAAAAAGGAATCCTAAACACTTCTGGTCCCAAGCATTTTGGATAAGGGAGACTCGACCTGTGATAAACTGCCACAGTCCTGCTGTGATGTGAAGAGTGAAGAAGGCAGAACAGTATGTTTAGAATGCCTCCTATTGGTAAAAACGGGAAAATCAGACAGGTGCATGTGTACTTGCTTATTTAATCATAAAGGACCACTGCAAAATTACAGTTTGGTGTGTACCTTTGGGAGGCCAAGTGGGGTGGGAAGAGGACTTTATACACACACTTATATATATACAGTACAATGAGTGTGGGTGTGTATACATGTGTGTGGTTTACATTTGCATTTGTGTGTGTTGTGTTTATATATGTATGTGTGTGTGTATATGTGTTGGTGCAGAGAGAAAACTTCCTGAACTGTATCAATGTATTAGACCATTTTTAATGTCTTATTCCACCAGTAGCGTAAGGTCCCAGGATTTTCCCTATCCTGGCCTGGGCCAGATGGCAGAGGGGTTTCTTTCGAGCCTCTTTGAGCCCCCAGGGCCCTGGGCCCCTCTCCTCTTCTCCCTCTAGTCCCACCTAAGATGACCCACAACCCCACTACCCACGTACCAGCAGTTGTTAACTTTTTTGGCTCCTCCCTTTGCATCTGCATCATCAACATCATTCCCAAAACCTAAGTTGATTTTTTTTTTTTTTTGAGACAAAGTCTTGCTCTGTCACCAAGGCTGGAGGGCAGTGGCAAGATCTTGACTCACTGCAGCCCCTGCCTCCCAGGTTCAAGCGATACTCCTGCCTCAGCCTCCCGAGTAGCTGGAATTACAAGCACGCACCACCACGCCCAGCTAGTTTTTGTATTTTTAGTAGAGACGGGGTTTCACCATGTTGGCCAGACTGATCTCAAACTCCTGACCTTGTGATCCGTCTGCCTTGGTCTCCCAAAGTGCTGGGATTACAGGCGTGAGCCACCGCGCCCGGCCTGATGTCATGCTCTTTGCACAATGTTTTGTTCTGCTTGTTTTCCCTTAATGCTCTGTTACAAGCATCATCCAAGTTTTTATAAACTCCTCATGAATAACATTTCTAAAATGCGTTTCAGGGATGTACGGTACACTGAGCTGTCCCTAACGTCTCAGTGGCATCTCTCCTCTGATCCTGATGGGGGTGGCAGCCACTTCCACCAATGCTGTTTGAGAGGCTGGAATGGGCCATTGTCCATAAGGTCCACATTGCCCCTAGGTCCCTGCAGCCCCCACCTAGCACGGAGGAGATGGTCAAAGCATTTGCTTCAGTATCTGCCCGATGTACGTAGATACCTGCTTCTGGGAGTCTTCTTCAGGCCCCCAAACTGAGATTTGGTTTTCCCTGAGTTGCCCCTGTGAGAGAGACGCTACAAGCAATGATTCTGTTTTACAGGAGGCCATTAGCTACAGCCAGAGTGTTAATGTCCCCCAAATGCATGTGTTGACATCCTAACCCCATGTGCTGGTCTTAGGAGGTGGGGGTTTGGGGGGCGATCAGTCGTGAAGGTGCAGCCCAGTGATGGTGTTAGTGCCCTGATGAGGAGGGTTTGTTCACAGTGAGAAGGCATCGTCTACGAACCAGGAGAGCCCTCACCAGACACCAAATCTGCCTTCATCTTGGACTCCCAAGCCTTCAGAACTGAGAAATGAATTTCTGTTGTTTGTAAGCCTCCCAGGCTGTGGTAGGTTTTGTTTTGTGTTTTGAGACAGGATTGCACGGTCACCCAGGCTGGAGTACTGTGGTGCAATCATGGCTCACTGCAGCCTCGACCCCCTGGGCTCAAGTGATCCTCCTGCTTCAGCCTCCTGAGTAGCTGGGTCTACAGGTGGGTGCCACCCTGTTTGGCTAATTTTTTTTTTTTTTTTTTTTTTTAGCAGACATGAGATCTGCTTATGTTGCCCCGGCTGGTCTCAAATTCCTGGGCTCAAGCAATCCTCCTGCTTCGGCCTCTCAGAGTGCTGGGATTCCAGGCGTGAGGCTGTGGTAGTTTTGAGGGACTGAGGCAGGGCCGGAGCCTTGGGCAGGAAGGGTCCTGTTCCTGCAGGAGTGGAAAGTAGGGCATCGTGGACCTTATGGACAAGGGAGTGGAAGGTCCCCCCGGCCTGGGTCCTTACTGCAAGGTCTCACCCTTCCCAAGGAACTGCCTGGGCCTCCGTTTTCTTCTTGCTTCCTCACCTCCCGACGGTGAGGGAGGCAGAGGGTGGCGGGATGGGGATAGGAAAGTGAGCAATTGCTGGAAGGTGGGAAACCCCAGCCGGGTGGCATAAATAATTCAGCACCTTAGCAGTTAACGAGTTATGCTTTTAAGGCATGGACAGGAAGCTTGTTCCGCTAACGGGCTGATGTCCTTTTGCTCTTTGGAGAGCAGCTGTCCCCGGCGTTCGTAGAGCTGTGCTCGGGCTGCTTCCCTGTGCTTGTCAGGTGGGGGCTGTATGCCCAGGTAGGGCCGGGACGTGCACTTATTCATTTGCAGGTGCATATTCAAGGCCCTACGGTCTCAGCTGCCGTCCTTGGGAAGGGGCGAGTACAGATGGGAATTGGTGGGAGTCCTTGTGGAGGGCGTGGGCCACCAGGCTGGAACTGTTACCGCCGGGCTCTCCCCTCTCGCACCAGAAGGTCTTGTTCCATCCACCCTGGACGTTGGGGCCAGCGCGTGTTGTCTCTGTTCCAAGTTCTTTGGTGGCCCCAGCCATGGGTCCGTCAAGGCCCAATGTCCTCATCTCGGAAGAGAAAAGGCACACAGAAGTTACTCATGGGCAGTGCGCGTCCCTCATCTTGCACACACAGCGTGTCCAGTAAGCAGGGAAAGGCTGGCCTTGGCCTAACCATGGCTGTTGCAGGCCCATCTGAGGCTGCAGAGCCTTCTGTTCCAGGGCTTCATTGCCCAGCCACTCTTTGTAGCTTTCCCAGGGCCTCAATCCCCCCTCTGGTGTTGCTTCCTCCTGCCTTTTGGATCTGCAGTCTCCCTCTTTTCTGTTTCACACCATGAGTGAGATCTGGAGTGGATTTTATGACTTCAGTACATTGGCTGGTGGCCTCCCCTTCGCTTTGCATTTCTAGGGCAGCTGAGTGGGGCGGCGTGTGCTTCCCTTCTTGTCCTCGGCGGTGTGATGACACTACAGGCTTCTTCCTGCCAAAGTCCCCTGAGGTCTCCCTGGCTCTCACTGGGCCTGCGCCACTCTCTGGGGACCATAAGCTCTGAGTGGCAGGGTCTCAGTGCCCACCCGCCCTGCAGCTGGGGGTGGCGTCGACAACTGAGTTGGGCGGTAAGCAGCCCTAGTGGGAAACGAGTGAGTGTAAGCAGGTAGCTAAAGCCTCAGAAGCCCACCTAGCTGCCTCTGGCCAAACTAAGCCAATCTAAATCACTTAAATTTATTACATGCCTGAAGTCGGCCAGGCGCGGTGGCTCATGCCTGTAATCCCAGCACTTTGGGAGTCTCAGGTGGAAGGATCACTTGAGCCTAGAAGTCCTTGACCAGCCTGGACAACATAGGGAGGCATCGGCTCTACAAAAATAAAAAATAAAAAAATTAGCCAGGCGTGGTGGTGAGCACTTGTGGTCCCAACTACTCAGGAGGCTGAGGCAGGAGGATCATCTGAGCCTGGTAGTTTGAGGCTGCAGTGAGCTGTGATCATACAACTGCACTCCAGCCTAGGCGACAGAGCGAGACCCTGCCTCAAACACACACACACACACACACACACACACACACACACACACACACACACACACAAAATGACTACAATTACTTATCTGAGTCCATGAAGTGTACTCTTCCCTTTTCCCCACAATTTATTCGTGCCTCTCCACACAATGTGTCCCTGCTCTCTGATTTAATTATACTTAAAATACCTGTGTGACCTCGAGTGACTCACATGACATCATAAGGACTCAGACTCCTTAACTATAAAATGAGCGGGGTGTCCTAAATTAGTAATTTTCTAACATTTAAAAAGCAGAGACACTTTTTTCTCAAATTAAATCCTACACAAGCTCACCGCTAAACAAGTTAGATACAAGTAACATTTTTCATATAAAGGTTCCCATAAGTTAAAACTTAGAATGTCACTTGCTAGTAAACTTGCAAATGAGAAAAACCGGCCCCTTTCGATGACACAGAAATTTGAAATCAGGGATCAGGGATGGTAGTTAATAGTTTGTCTTAGACATTAGTCTTAGCATTCAATCTTTTTTTTTTTTTTTTTTAGATATATCTGACTCTGTTGCCCAGGCTGGACTGCAGTGGCATGATCTTGGCTCACTACAACCTCTGCCTCCTGGGTTCAAGCAATTCTCCTGCCTCAGCCTCCCGAGTAGCTGGGAGTATAGGTGTGTGCCACCACACCCGGCTAATTTTTTTTTTTTTTTTTTTTGAAACCAAGTCTCGCTCTGTCATCCAGGCTGGAGTGCAGTGGCACGATCTCGGCTCAGTGCAAGCTCTGCCTTCTGGGTTCAAACGAATCTCCTGCCTTAGCCTCCCAAGTAGCTGGGATTACAGGCGCACGCCACCATGCCCAGCCAATTTTTGTATTTTTAGTAGTGACAGGGTTTCACCATGTTGGCCAGGATGGTCTCGATCTCTTGACCTCGTGATCCACTGGCCTCAGCTTCCCAAAGTGCTGGGATTACAGGCGTGAGCCACTGCGCCCGGCCCATTCAATCATTTTTACATGCGTGTAACACAGTATTGAGAAATACAGCATTGAGGCTGGGTGCAGTGGCTCATGCCTGTAATCCCGGTACTTTTGGAGCCGGAGGTGGGTGGATCGCTAGATCCCAGGAATTGGAGACCAGCCTGGACAACATGGCACAGCCCAGTCTCTACAAAAATACAAAGATTAGCCAGTCGTGGTGATGTGCACCTGTAGTCTCAGCTACTCAGGAGGCCTAGGCAGGAGGACGGCTTGAGCCCGGGAGGTGAAGGTTGCAGTGAGCCGAGATTGTACCACCACACTCCAGCCTGGGTGAGAGTGAGACCCTGTCTTAAAAAAAGAAAAAAGTATTAAAATTCTTGATCAACTCATGTAATCACATAAGTGGTGGTTGTGGATGGTAAAAAGTTTTTTTAACAGCTCAACTTATAATTGTTGGGTGAAACAGATGCAGAAATTTGAGAAGTGTTGTGTTATTTCTGTGTCACGTAGCATCACTAAATGATATCCACGCCTCGTCATAAGTATAAGTAGGATCATAATAAATACAAAAACCTGCAGAGGGCACCGACGTTTTCAGCTGGCTTTCATACCCGATCTAGGGGGCTTCTCAAGCAGGGGAGAGCTAACTGAGAGAGCTCGCCAGAGCGGTTCTAGCTCAAGCCAGTGTGCACTGCCTAGGATGGGGCACGCCCCACCCTGTGCTCACAGAATAACACACGCAGCCACCTTCCAGGGAGTTCGGACATGAAAGCGTGACCTAAGTCTGTGGCCCAAGGTGGCCTCCCAGTTGTTAAAATTTGGTATATAACTTAGGGTTCAAGGGCTGTTTTCAAATTGTGGTTTAAAAACACAGTTACGTCAACATAATGAAAATGTGCCTTAAACTTCTGTTGAACCCTCCAAAGAACACTCACCCCCAACTCTTGAGAGCAGTGTTGTTCAGATCTTAGCATGCATCAGATTAAGCATGCTAAATTCTCAAAATTTACTGTGCAGCCACCTGGCTAATTTGTTAAAATGCAGATTCCTGGACCCCACCCAGAGATGCTGATGTAGCAAGTCTGGGGTGGGGCCTAAGAATGTGCATTCCTAACAAGCTCCCATTGATGCTGATGCTGCCGGTAGCAAGATTCACATTCAACGGTTTGGAAACTCTTTGACCAGAGAAGATATCTTTGGGGTTATTCTTACTTTAAATAGGGGCACAGTGGCTTCCTCTAGGTCTCCCACCTCTCATCTGAGACATGAAGAGATTGGATTAGAAACTTTCCTAGAATCCTACAAGCTTGGAAGTGCTTCTCTCTCTGCCTGGTAAGAAGGAACTTCCAGGCTGGGTGTGATGGCTCATGCCTGTGATCTTAGCACTTTGGGAGACTGAGGCAGGAGGATCACTTGAGCCCAGGAGTTAGAGACCAACCTAGGCAACACAGTGAGACCCCATCTCTACAAAAACTAAGAAAAACAATTAGCCTGGTATGGTGGTGGGTATCTGTGGTCCCAGTTACTCAAGAGGCTGAGGCAGGAGGATTGCTTGAGCCCAGGAGGTCAGGGCTGCAGTGAGTTGTGACTGCACCACTGCACTCCTGCCTAGGTGACAGAGCAAGATCCTGCCTCAAAAAAAAAAAAAAAAAAAAAAGACTTTCACAGGTAACTCAACTCAGATTTCTCACATGCATCTGGTCAGATACACAAAGGGGAGCCCTAGATGTAGGTAGAATCAGACCTGCCTTTTTCAGGGAAAAAAATCAGACCTGTGGCATTTCAGGGAAACCACTTACCTCCCTCTCCTCAGTTTCCCCATCTATCACATCAACTCACTAATCTCCTTCCTGCCTCCTCACAGGGATGATGGATCTGAAAATGTGTGAGAAATGACACACCACTGTCTGTACACATGTAAGGAGCTGTTGTAATCAATATCTTTGAAATGCTTATTCATGCAAAACAGGATATTTCAGGTCTCCAAATTCTTCAGCGAGAACTTCGAGATGCAGCTGGGTTCTTGAAGTTCAGCTGCAGAGCAGAACTTGCTCTTAGGCCACTGGGGTTCCTCCCCAGGCCACCCTGGGGCTTCCTCCTCCCTTTATGTAGATGTGATGAGTCCCAGATTACCCCACTTCTTGGATCCTGTTTGGGTGCAGAGATTTGGCCTTAATCTTCTCTCTTTCCTGGAGTTGCACTTTGCCTGAAGTGCAAAGAGCCCCATTCATGATTTGATCTCCTGGCTCCTGCATGGCCAGTGGGGGCCCAAGCTGCCACAACGCAGGAAGATGGCTTGATGATGCTGCTGATGCTGGCGGTGATCCCGATGGTGTGAGCTGGAAATGGGGTGCTACGTCATCGTTGTCATCGTCATCATCATCATCCGAGCAGCCACCAGATAGCTTGCACCCACGCTGGGCTGGGCACGAGACTGGCTGTTTGTCATAGTTTGTCTTTCGACCTCATGGCAGCCCTTTAAGGTAAGTATCATCATCCCCATTTTACAGATGAGGAAACCGAAGCTCAGAAAGAATCAGTAACTGGCCCAGGGTCACACTACTACTAAATGTGTACGCATATGAAATGCAGAGTCTTCAGGGCACTGGCTGGCAGTCTGGCAGTCCCACATCCCTCACCCACCATATGTGGCCTCTCAGGGTTTGGCTAGTACATTAGTATCACACCGCAGGAGAAGCCCAGCTTATGCATCACTGTGAGGGAACAGGCAAGGCTGGCCGGTATGGATGGAGATGGGTGTGCTGGGTGGGGACAGAGCACAGAGCAGACCTGGCCATGGTAAATGTTGCACACACCCACTTCCAACCCATCACCCCTTCCCCATCAGAGGCAGGAGGGAGGTAAGAGAATGGACAGGCCTAGGGAGGGGCAGCTGTCCCAGCAGGGGCCTGACAGTCATGTGCTGGTATCTTTAGGGGACTGAGCTTAGGGACAAAGTTGTCTCCCATTCCATCTAGTTTTAAGCTGCTGTCAGGCTGACCTGTCTAAGGTGCATGTCACTCCCTTCCTGGAAAGCCTGCCATGGCTCTCTGTTGCCCATAGAGTAAAAGCCAATCTTACCTGCCTAGCTTCAGGTACCCATATTCTCTGGCTCCCCCATCCTTGTGCTTCATGTGGTACATTTCACCTGGAGCTCTAGACACATGCAGCTTCTTCCCCTTCCCCATAAATGTCCTGGACATTTTGCCTTGTACCTTTACCCATGATGCTCTCTCGGCCTGTGGCACCCTTCTTGTTATTTTGTTTGGCTAAACTGTGCTCATCTTTCAAAGCTGCAGCTGAAGTGCTGGCTCCTCCATGCCGTCTTCCTGGATCTTTGAGATCCTCCAGCCTCTCATTTCCCACACTGTGCAGCCTTTCCTGTTGAACTCCCTCAGCTTCTCTCTCTTCCCCTTGTCTGGCACTCACCATTCCCCATTATTCTTTTATCTCCTACACAGGCCATGTCTCCTTGAGGCATGCGTTTTATGTGATTTGTTTTTTTCTCATTTAGTTTGGTCGTGGACTGTGCTTTGCAGACAGTTGGCACTTAACACATAAGGTTGACTAAACAGGCTATGCTGGAGCAACAAGGGACTGCTCTTGAAATTTGAGGATGTGGTTATAGTCCTGGCTCTGCCATTCCTGGCTGGCCAAGCTGCTTCTCTGCAGGCCTCAGTTTCCTCATTTGTAAAATGAGAGAGCTGGATTGTATGGGTGGCTCTCCATGTCTAGTATACGGAAGAACTACTTGGGGAGCTTGTTTAAAATGTGTATTTCTGGACCCCTAGGAGTCATAATCTGAAGATACGAGTGGACCTGGGTATCTGCATAATTCACACACACCCAGAGGCTTTCTCATTCAGTTGGTTCTCAGACTACCCTTTGAGCGACTCTGTTTCAGGTCGACTTTGGGGAAAGGCCTTTCTAATTCTAAGGGGCTGGTAGAGCAATGAAGGGAAGCAGAGGTTATGGGGCAGTGCCCATAATGAGTGGGGCAGGGGCCATTAACAGTATCATCACCATCACCATAATCATCATTGTCATCGTGATCTTCTTCATTTTGTTTTTCTTCATTGTCATCATCATCATCATTACCATAGTCATTACCACCATCATCATCATCACCATCATTACCATCATCATCATTACGACCATCATCATCACCATCATCATCATCATCATCACCATCACTATCGTCATCATCATCATCACCACCACCATCACCATCACTATCGTCATCATCATCATCACCACCACCATCACCATCACTATCGTCATCATCATCATCACCACCACCATCACCATCACTATCGTCATCATCGCCATCATCATCATTAGCATCTCCACTGTCACCACCACCATCACCATCGTAACCATCCTTAGCACCACCATCCTCATCACCATCATCCTCACCACCATTACCATCATCATCAACCCCTTCATCACCATTACCATCATCATCATTACCATCGTGATAATCTTCATCCTCTTCATCATCATCATTATCACCATTACCATCGTCACCACCACATTACCATCATCATCATCTTCATCATTATTACCATCATCATCCTTACCATCCTGATCATCGTTTTCATCATCACAACCATCACCATTATCACCACTACAATCACCATCGGTACCATCATCATCGTTGTCATCTTTTTATCTTCATGGTCACAATCACTATCACCATCTCCACCACCAGCAAAGCCACTACTGCTCCTCAGTGCTCATGAGGGGAGGGCCAGTGTCAACACCTTTGTGGGCATTACCTCCTTTAGTCTTCTCAGGAGCCTTGTAAGGTAGGTCCTGAGAGGGCAGGAGGCAGGGCTTGGAGGGGTGTTTGACCATGCCCTGGAGCAGACCCCTAGCTGCAGTCTGCAATGGCCCCAGCTCCTGAGCCATCCTGCTGTTGGAGTGAGCCTGTACCTTCTCTGGTGAGCCTGGGGAGGGCAAACAGTCTTGCCCTCAACTTCCCTCCCTTCTTTCAACACATCTCTATTACAGCCCTGCCTTGTGCCAGACACCAGGTTTGAATTTGCTCCAGGCCAACATTTTTTTCATGTTCACAAAACAAAGATTTTATTTTTTCTTATCCCCAACCTCTTCCTCCCTAATCTAAACTCATGTGAAAATAGCATGCGTAGCTGAGCCTCGGGCCAATTTGTGTCTTTGTACTCAGCACACACACTCTGTCTTTCACACCACAAACAGCTTTGCTCAGGAAAATATGTTTTCTCTCTGCAAAACTGCCATTTTCGGGCAACACATAGAAGGCAAAAAGAAACTATTTCACTTTTTCTTCCCCTGGAAAAACCCACCAAGATGTTGTTTTCCTTTGCTTTTTCTGGAGGGGAGATATTTTTGACAGCTTTCTTCCCTAATCTGGCTCTCAGCCCTGCGTCTGGTGCCAATTTGTAAAAGAAGCAGAAGAAAAACTAGATGAGCAAAGGCAAGATTCTCCCAGAGGGGCAGTATCACCCTAGAATTCAGGAGTAGTAAGGGACCTCTGTGGCAAACCTGTTGCCTGCCCCACGGGGGAGCCCTGTCTTGGGAGCCCTGTCTCAGAAGCCCTGAATGGGGACACGCACACCTGCTTGGAAACAGCTGTGGCTAGGCAGAGGCTGCCTGCTGGGGGGATCTCCCTGTGCACTCATTCAACAGGCATCCTTCCAGACTTCCTTAGGATAGGCTGGGGACTGGGCTGGGTGCTTTGGGATGCAAAAATAAATCACACATGGATTCTGCATCAGTACTTTCCATTCCAGTATAGGAATGAAGATACAGGCAGGGCCATGTGAATAAAGTCCTAGTTTCACTGTCACGTTTATTTTAGCCAGAGTTAGGAGAGGTTTGGAGGAGGTGGTGGCACTTGGGCTTTCTAGCAAATGTCTTCTTCTAGAATGCTGCAATCAGGCCTCATCTGAAATCTGCATGAAACCCATTTGCTCTCCATTCCTTCCCTGGCCCAGCTAAGAGGACAGCCCCTTCTCAGCAGCACAGTCCTGGGATGCTGGCAGATCCCTGCTGAGTGTCCCTGACTCTCCGGCCTTACTGTTCTATTCTCATGGCCTGTCTCCTGGAGTGGTTCTTTCTGCTGTGGGCCCCAAATTCCTGCAGCCAGGAACCCCCGTGGGCTACACTTGTCTTTGCACCTCCAGTGCCTTACTCGGACCTGCCTCAGACCTTATTGCTTACTCTCCTTCTAGTTGAAGAGAACCCACTGGGCTGGCATAAGCCCCAAGGAGAGATCTCAGGAGACCCAAGGCAAGGGTGCAGCTGAGCCGTTGGGTCACTGTGGATTAGGAGATGGAAGTCTAAAATATCCCTCATGCTCTCACGTTCTTGCACGCACTCTCTCTCTTTCTCTATTGCTCTCGCTCTTTATCTAAGCATTTTCTCTCCCAATACCAGATTCTGATTGGCCCAGCTTGGATCAGGAGCCCACCTCTGGTTCAATCAGTAGCAGCCAGTGAACAGGGTCATCTCAAACAAGACCACCATGGTTCCCCTCTGTGAAGGAAGGGAGCAGTTAGCTGGAATGGGCTTGCCGTGAGCCAGGAGAGAGCCAGTAGGTGTGCACTCTACCAACTCTGCCTTTTACTAGCTGTGCCACTTCTCAGAGCCTCAGTTTTCTAATATTTAAAATGGTCATAAGAGTACCTACTTCATAGGGCAGTTGTAACAAATACCACATTTATTGAATGGTAGTGACATAGGTGGTCAATGAGGAGCCTGAGAGGGCAATTCCCTCCTCATTTTGGGGCTTTCAGATGAGGGCATTGGAGTAGGGAGGTTTCACTTCATACCATTCCCACCCTCCACGCCTAGGAGAGACTGGCTGGCTGGCTGGCAGAGGTGAGGAACTACCGCCCATTAGGGGGATGCTGTCCTAGGGGAACCTGCTGCTGTCTACAAGGGATTAACTGAGTCCCTCCCCTCACGCCACCCCCAGGAATGTCCCTGTCACTTGTGGGACCTGAGGTTGTAAGGGACCCTTGCAGAGGTCATTGCTGGTGGGTTGGCACTCGGGCACATGCTAGATTTCTCAAGAGGGAGACTGTTTTGCTGCGGGTTGTCACTAGGCTTACTTTTTACTTCGACATTGATCAAGGATCAAGGGTATGCAATCTGAGGATTGCTGGACACCTCCTCACTGGAGGGCATCCTGTTGGTGAGCAAGAGACACCAGCTACCAAGAGAGGCCTGTTGTTTGATGGCATCTGCAGAGAAACAATGGCAGCATGTACATTCTCAATCTGTGCAGTTTAGAACGATCCACAGATTCTGTGGCTGGCCTTGGGACCATTCTGGAAGGCCTGTTGTCACCCAGATGGAAAGGGAAGGAGGATGAGGGCAGTCCAGGCCAGGGGACTGTATGTGGAGCCACGCGGAGGTGGAAATGAGCCCAACTCGGGCAGGCAACAGAGAGGGGGTGGACTGAGCCAAAGCAGGGATCTGTGCAGAGTGAGCTGGGACAGCTGCAGCTAGGGGTGAGACTCCTGCAGTCTGGGAATACTAGAACAGAGTGCACTTTATCCAAGCAGCAGTAGGGAGCCATAGCGGGTTGTGGAGTGATCTACATGGTTTGGGTGGTATTGCTGTTGCAGATTTGTGTGTATGATGACTGGATGAAGGGAGATTGGAGGTATGGACACCACATAGACTGTTAGAGTTCTTCTGTTATGGATGGAAAATGGCTTCAGCCAAGATCGTGGAGTAGGGATAGAAAGGTAAGAACCCAAGAGAGATTTTGAAGGGGAAATTGAGAATTGAAAATTAGAATAAGAGAGGAGAGTTAGAGTGTCCTGGGTTCCAGGGGACTGGCTAAAGGGCAAGTGGAAATGGCACTGACGTGAGGAAATGGGGGGACTGGCAAGGAGGGACAATGAGGTCGTCTTCTGTCATGGCAAATGTCAGTCAACTGGGCTGCTGTGAAGAAAGCCAGAGACTGGTGGCTCACACAGCAGACACTGATTTCTCTTGGTTCTGGAGGCTGAAGTTTGGGACCAGTGTGCCAACCATGCCCGAGTTCTTGGTGAGGACGGGAGGGCACCACCTCTTCCTGGTAGTATGCTCACATGTCCTTCATTGGTTCATGCACTTCTGTTTATAAGGACAGAAATCCCATCATGGGGGCTACATCCTCATGACCTCATCTAAACCTAATCACCCCCAAAGACCCCATTTCCTAATACCATCACATTAAGGGTTGGAGATTTAACATATGGATCTGGGGAAACACAGTCAGTCCCTACCAGCGAATATGAGGGGTCTGTAAGGGTCTCCTAAAGGGACAACTGATGACAGCATTCAGAGACAAAAGGAAATGGAGATCTTTGCACAAGACCAGGTTGGGTGTGGCATTTGGGGGTCAACAGCCCAGAAGGAAAATTGGGACTATGAGAGTGAAGGGGCCTGGGAGGGATGATAGAGATAGGGCTGGGTTCTTGGGGACAGCTCACATGAAAGAGCAGAGCCTACGACACAGGACTGGGAGGGTCGCTGAGGACTCAGCCAGCATCACTGGTGTCCTAACAGGTGAGGCACCAGGCACAGGGTGGGGGTGACTTCCAGGCGCATGAGGTATTGTCCTGGCCCTTAAAGAGCTCATAGCTAAGTAAGATGGAGAGACAGGTACCAGGGAGCAGCCTAGTCCAGGGGGCCACCTGCAGAGAGTTCACATCCCACCCTGCCACCTGCCAGCAGTGTGACCTTGGACAAGCCACTGAGCACATCTGAGACCCCGTTGTCCTGTGTGTAAATGTGGACTGTCATAGTGCCTGGGCCATAGGGTTGCTGTGAGGGTCAATGGGACAAGATATGGAAAGACCTCTGCCCAGTTCCCAGCTCATATTAAGTGCTTGCCATGAGCTGTAATTATTAGTAAGCGGCAAAGGTACATCCACCAAGTGCCAAATGCTACCTGTAGGAACCCCAGTGAGATTGGATGGCTGGGGTCTGGCCAGAAAGGTGGAGCTCCTACAAACAAGAATAACATGGCAATGAGCTCATCAAAGTAGCATGCCTCTCATTCATTGCTGGTGGGAACTCAAAATAGTACAGCTATTGGTGGTTTTGTACAAAACTAAACATAGTCTTATACAATCCAGCATAGTGTTCCTTGGCGTTTACCCAAAGGAATTGAAAATTATGTCCACAAAAATCTGCATACAGATGCGTATAGCAGCTTTATTCATACTTACTGAAACTTGGAAACAAGCAAGGTGTCCGTCAGCAGGTGAACGGGTAAACTGTGATCCATGCAAACGATGGGATATCATTCAGTGCTAAAAAAGAAATGAGCTACCAAGCTATGAAAAAACATGGAAGAACCTATTCCTAAGTGAAGGACGCCACCCTGAAAAGGCTACTTGGTGTATGATTCCAACTAGATGACATTCTGGAAAGGCAAAACTATAAAGAGAGTAAATATCTCGGTGGTTGCCGGGGTTGGAGGGAGGCAGGGATGAACAGGCCAAGCACAGGGGGTTTTTAGGGTGGTGAAACTGCTCTGTATGTTAATAATGTAATGGTGGGTACAGATCATTATACATTCGCCAAAATTCCCAGAATGTTCAACACCAAGTATGAACCCTGATGTAACCTATGGACTCTGGGTGATGACGATCTGTCAATGTAGATTCATCGATTGCAACAAGTGCACCACTCTGGAGGGGTGGGATGTTGATAATGGGGGAGGAGAGGGGCTTCTAGCCCAGCCTCAAAGGCTGTAACTGTGGGCCTTGTAGGTAGGAGGCGCCAGGGGGAGGGGATATTTTTAAGACGTGTGATACAATGATGACCGTCCTCACTTGTTGAACACACGGAGTACCTACTCTCCTTCTGTTCTTACCCACAAGTAATGGAGCAAATAACTGGCCCCAGGCCACACTGCCAGTAGACGTGGTTGTCTTGGCCTTCATCTTGCTGCAAGGCCTTGAGCCACTGGCCCAAGATAGTCATCAGCTCAAGTGAGTTGCTGAAGCCTAATGTCATGTGACTTGGAGTAATTTACTACTTCTCTGAGCCTCAATTAGCTTGACTGTAAAATGGGGGTGAATGCCTACTTTGTAGCATGGTGGTGAGAATTAAATGACGAAACGAATATGAATGCTCTAGATCTGCATTGGCCAATAGGAATATAAGGTGGACCATAAATGTGAATCACATTTGGGGTTTTAAATTTTCCAGTAGCTACAATAAAACAAAAAAAGTAAAAAGAAGTAAGATGAAATTAATTTTAATTCTATAACATATTTTATTTAACCCAATATACATAGTCACATGCCACATAATAACATTTCAGTCAATGGTGGACTGCATATATGAGGATGGTCCCATAAGATGATAATACCATATTTTATTGTACCTTTTCTACGTTTAAATATGTTTAGATTCACAAATACTTACCACTGTGTTACAACTGCCTACTGTATTCAGTACAGTATTGTACTGTACAGGTTTGTAGCCTAGGAGCAACAGGCTATGCCGTATAGCCTAGGTGTGTGGTAGGCAACGCCATCTACGTGTGTAGTAGGCCAGAGCATTTAGGTGTGTAGTAGGCAACAGCATCTAAGTGTATAGTAGGCTAGACCATCTAGGTGTGTAGTAGGCAACACCATCGAAGTGTGTAGTAGGCTAGACCATCTAGGTGTGTAGTAGGCTAGACTATCTAGGTGTGTAGTAGGCTAGACCATCTAAGGGTGTAGCAGGCTAGACCATCTAGGTGTGTAGTAGGCTAGGCTATCTAGGTGTGTAGTAGGCTAGACCATCTAAGGGTGTAGTAGCCTAGACCATCTAGGTGTGTAGTAGGTTAGGCTATCTAGATGTGTAGTAGGCTAGACCATCTAAGTGTGTAGTAGGCTAGACCATCTAGGTGTGTAGTAGGCTAGACCATCTAGGTGTGTAGTAGGCAACGCCATTAAGAGTTTAGTAGGCTAGACCATCTAGGTGTGTAGTAGGCTAGACCATCTAAGTGTGTAGTAGGCTAGACCATCTAGGTGTGTAGTAGGCAACGCCATTAAGAGTTTAGTAGGCTAGACCATCTAGGTGTGTAGTAGGCTAGACCATCTAAGTGTGTAGTAGGCTAGACCATCTAGGTGTGTAGTAGGCTAGACCATCTAGGTGTGTAGTAGGCTAGACTATCTAAGTGTGTAGTAGGCTAGACCATCTAGGTGTGTAGTAGGCTAGACCATCTAAGTGTGTAGTAGGCCAGACCATTTAGGTGTGTAGTAGGCAACACTATCTAAGTGTATAGTAGGCTAGACCATCTAGGTGTGTAGTAGGCTAGACCATCTAGGTGTGTAGTAGGCAACACCATTAAGAGTGTAGTAGGCTAGACTATCTAGGTGTGTAGTAGGCTAGACCATCTAAGTGTGTAGTAGGCTAGACCATCTAGGTGTGTAGTAGGCTAGACCATCTAGGTGTGTCGTAGGTGTGTAGTAGGCGACACCATCTAGGCATGTGTAACTCACTCTGTGATGCTCGTACAATGATGAAATCGCCTAACGACACATTTCTCAGAATGTATCCCCGTTGTTGATTGGTGCATGACTGTATAAGATATTATTGTTTAAACATGTAATCAGTACAAAATGTATTCATGAGCTGTTTTAATCTCTTGTACTGATTCTTTGATATCTGGTCTTTGATATCTCATGTGTATTTAACAGCACATTTCAGTTTGGACCAGCCACATTTCAAGTGCTCAGTAGCCACGTGTGCCTGGTGGCTGCCATACTGGAGGCATGGCTGTATATACACATAGGCAGTGCTACGCCTCCCTCCACAAGCAGGGCTAATGTCACACCCCAGAGCTTCACTAATTACTCATCCAGCTCACACTCTATTTGGTGTGTATTAGTGTTATTAGATCAAGAGCTTTATTTCATGCACCATGATGTATATTAACAAATCGTAACTCATGAATTCACAAACCTGAAATCAGAGGCCCATGCAAACACAGGAATTAGGCTTTTGTTCCTGAAGCAATTTGTGTTCACTTCTTTCCGTGTACTTACCAAGCCTGGCATTAGTTGTGTGAATTTCCATCTCCCCCAGGCCGCCCCCACTCTAAGCTTCTTGGAGGGAAAGTATGTGTCTCTGGCTTCCTCTATCCCATTGGCAACCCCTCCCTGCACCCCAAGTGTCTGGCTTTCAGCAGGCCTTAGCAGGTATTCAATAGGTATTTTTTGAATAGACTCCATTAACCAAAGGCATCGGCTCCTCTTAGAAAGGAAGCATATTATAAAGAAAAGGCTCTAAAGTCAGATTATGTAAAAATGTGTTGAAAGGCACAGGGACATCAAACGTAACCACTGAATTGAAGTTTTTATTCGAGTAGACATGAATCTGGCGGACATGAGTACAGGGTTCCTGTGGATGGGTGTGTGTTTGGGAGAAGAGGCAGGAACAGAAGTGTCTGGAAGTCTGTCACAAGCATTTGAACATATGATGAAATAAGTCCTGCTCACCCCTCTGTGACATGCTCCAGTCGGCTCCAAGGCCTCGTAGAAAGATGGGGGGATCCCTTGTTCCCATCACTGCTCACTTCCTGGATCAATCAGACTGCACCACCCCTCCTGTGGACTTTGGTTACTGGGAGCCACAGGGCCTGAGGCAGCCACTTTAGAGAGCCGGTCTTGACCACCTAATGGTGAGTGTGTGGCCAGGCCAGTCACAGGTGCTGTCTCAACTTGGGATGTGTGTGTAACTCTGGGAGGAGTAGGGATGGATGGTCCACTTCTGGAAGTTCCCAGGGCCCCAACACCCAGGTTTTGCAGCCGTCTGCTAGTCTGCACTGTCTTTAAGAGGGATCAGTTCTAGATTCTCTTCCCCATCCCATCTGTGACTTGGCCCTCTTGGGCCTCCCTGGGGGTCAATAGAGGAAATACCTTCAACAGATGGTGGAAATGTGGGAGCAAGGTTGCCTCAAAATAGTCAGGGTGATTCGGCCTCATGGGCATAGTTCTGACAGTGCCAGCATGGGACAGATGAAGTCTGGGAGAGGCCAAGCCCTGAGGATAGTCAGACACTTGGTAGGTTGTGATATTTGAGTTTATTAATAAGAAAGTAATGGCTACCACTGACTGAATGCTTATTAGGTGCCAGACAATTGACTAGGCATTTTACCTGGATTACTTTATTTAAATCTTAGAGCATCCCTACATCATGGGTTCTGTCATAGCTCCATTTCACTAATAAGGAGACAGATGTGGAGGTTGGGGAGTTGGTCCCAGGTCACCCAACTGGGGAGGGCAGAGGTTGGGGAGGGACAGGAGTCAATAACCCAAAGTCATGAAATGAGAAAGGAAGTAAACACTTGGATGGAGAATCACACACACACACACACACACACACACACACACACACACACACACACACCTCCTAACAGGTATGTTGTCTGCAACAAGGCAAAAATAATTCATTAATATCTCATTTAAACTTGAGGGCGAGGGAATTCCTGAACCACCTCTCTGGAGCAAATAATGGAAATTGGAAATTGATTGTCATTTACCTTTGAGGAAGACTTCGGGATGTGCCATGTCTTTGGTATAGGGCTGCGTGGTGTTGTGACGCATGTGAAGAAATACATCCAAGGACCTTCCTAAGCTCATCTGCAGCCACAATTCCCCCACCCTATTCTTCTCGTAGGGTTTTAAGTTTGCTGTCTGCAAATGTTCCTCATTCCGGAGTCTTTGGGAACCAATCCACCTAGCTGGAGAAGGACATCGTACCCTGGTAATGAAGACAGGCATAGAGAGGCACAGGGTTCAGGAGGGGACAGTCAGCACCGCAGGTGGCTCCGCAGCAGGTGAGAAATGATCCGCAGGAGGCCTTCATGGAGCCAGGGGAAAGACTCTGCTCCCAGACATGCTGAAGGCAGAGTTAGCAGTCCCTCGCTGTGGGGTTCCTCAACCCTAAATAAAGGGGAACAGGCCAGACCTTTATGCCACCTCTCACCAGCTCCTCCTCAAGTGGCCCCCACAGATTCTAAGATAGAAAATCTCTTTAGAAAGCAGTCCCAGGTGGCACAGTGGCTCACACCTGTAATGCCAGCACTTTGGGAAGTTGAGGAAGGAGGATCCCTTGAGCCCAGGAGTTTGAGACCAGCCTGGGCAATGCAGCCAGACCCCATCTCTACAAAAAATAAAATTAGTCGGGTGTGGTGGCACTGCCTAGAGTTCCAGCTACTCAGAAGGCTGAGGTTAGAGGATTTCTTGCTGTGATCATGCCACTGCACTCCAGCCACCAGCCTCAGATGACTTCGGGGGCCTGTGAGGTGCCTCACTGCTTCCAGGGCAGAACAGGGTCTGGGATCTGCAGAGGGTTCTAGTGCCTGCTCTGGGAGCAGCCCTGGGTGCAGAAAATGCAGGGCCAGCTCAGTCTAGGAAATGGGGACATGGAGGGAGGGCCCTCCCCAGCTTTCCACCTGCCCATTTTCTCACCGCCAGCTGACTCAGTGATTGAGACGAGTTCCTGTCTCTGGTTTTGTTCGGCACATCAGAGTCTGCGACTGAGCCTTTGGTCTGGAGTTTGAGCAAACTGGAGCTGAAATTGCCTCGACAGATACCTTGGAGCGCTGACACCGCAGCACCAGCCCTGCTGTGGCCAGGAAGGGAGGGAGGGGACTGCCTTTCCTGTGTGTCTGTGGGTCACGGCCTTGAGTTAGAGCCCCGGGCCTCCTGCCCTGGGACGTGGAGGACCTTACACAGGTGCCTGAGGAACTAAATGTTGATCAATGAAATATTTATAACAAATAAAAAAGTGGAAAATATTTCTCTGCTTTTGTAGTCTGAATGGTATAGTTGAAAAGACCCAGCTTTAAAAATAAAAAGCTTGGGTCTTGGTTCTACCACTTACTAATTGCAGGGCCTTGCGCAAGATAACCTCTCTGGGCCTCAGTGTTTGCATCTGTAAAAGGGGAATAATGTCACCCTTCTGTGGGTCGTAGGGATGGAAAAAGATGACACTGGAGGAAGCGCATGCATTCTCCTCTGCTCCTGCCGCCCGCTTCACCCATTGGCTGCTGACTGAGTTTGGGATTTTGACACTTAGTCTTTGTCCCATTCATGTGTCTAAGACCTAATTTCTGGTGTTTGTATAAGGTCATTTTGTGGTCTCCCACTTGGAGTGGGCCCTCTGCCTTGGACCCAGGGGGACTGCTTGGACATGTTTGAACAGCAAGAGAGTTTTGGGTCGCTGCAGGTAGAGCATAAGTACCTGTGTCCACATGTAAATCTGCTCTCCCCTAGCAATGGCCATGATCACCCAGGTGGAACAATGGGGCTTGGTTACAGCCCATGCACCTTTCCCAGGGATGCTAAGGCAACAGCACTCTGCAGCATCTTTCTCTGAACTGTTTGTGCTACTGGCACCTACTGTTTTGTGCCATAGTTACATGAATGAGAAGGGTTGGACCTCTTTAAGAGAGGGCCCCTTTCTATCTAGGATGCACTGTCTGTGGACTGAAAGCTCTCCAGGGCAGGGGCTTCTTTGGTTATATTTCTGAAAAAGCTCCCCAGTGGGCCATGAACTCCTTCAGGCCAGTGCCTTTGTTTCTTCCCCTTTGTTTTCTGCAGTGTGCAGTCCAGTGCTCAGCTGGAGACAGAGGCTAAGGAAATGCAACTAGAAACACAAAGTAAGCAGCTGGTACCAGCCAGCAATGATGGTGGGAGGAAAGTAGGAAGGAGGAAAAAGGTTTATATGGAACAAGGCTAAGTTCAGGAAGCCAAGGTCAGGGAGACAGGCTTACCCTAAAGTTCCTTGAGGGCAGGGATTGTGTCTTATCACGTTAGTATCTCAGGAGGCTGTCAGTCTTAGCATAGTTGAATGAAGCAGGAAAGTGAAGAGAGAACATTTGAGACTCTGAATGGATGAAAAGAAGCACCAAGAATATATAGCAGTCATGATCTCTGATGTGCTTGACAACAAAGTCTCTATGGACTCTGGAGCGTTTGGGATCCTGTGTGCTTTGGGCTCCTGGGTCCTGAGCAGACCCAGCCACTGCTCTCTGAGCTGGGTCTGTTTTCTGCTTGAAAGGGACAAAAGGCTAGAAGCTACTAATGAATTGTGCTGGGCCCTGAAGAAAGAAATGACTATCCATTTATATTTGTGTTATGAATGTAAACCATTGCTTAAACAAGGCAGTGTCTCTGTCCATGGGTTTATACATTATACATTAAGCTCATCCTTAATCCGATGGAACTTATGGAATCCAGCAGCAGCTAGAAACTCTCAGCAGTCCATCACTTTAGCTGTACCCCTTGTTCTACTCCAAGTGCAAGAAAAATCTAAGCTTTTTACCCACATGAGTGTAGGAAGAGGGAAGACAGGGTTCTGTATAACTCTTCCTCTCCCTGTGAGACCTGCAGTGCCTTCCTGTAAGAGGCTGCAGTGTCTTAGGACACAGAGTTTCTGGTCTGAGACTCTGAGAGAAGCCCAAGATTCCTTCCTAGGACAGCTGTTTTATGGAGATGGTTTAAAATCTGAGGAGACTAAGGCTTGACGTATCTTAAAGCCAGAAGCATTTGCCTCATAGGACCCCCTAGGGTCCCTTTGTAAAAGGTGAGCCTGAACCCCCATTTCCCAGGGCCAGATTGCATCATCTCCACAAGTAGCTCACCCTTAGATAGTACCTACTCTGTGCCAGCCACTATGCTAAGCAATTCACATATACTGACTCTCTGATCATCACAACAGCCCTAAGAGATAGTTACTCATGTCACTGCCATTTTACAGTGGATGAAACTGTTGCACAGAGAGGTCACCTGGCCTGCCCAAGTGCACACAGCAAGTTTAGGGGGAAGCATACTTCAGTAAGGATCTCAAAATTTACATTCTAGACCCTCATATTAGGAAAAAGGCGTAAGAGTTCAAAGTTGACCTGAAAAGCCATAGCCCATGAATGCCAATCAAGGCCTCCTTGGCTGAGATTTTGAGGACCAAAGGAGGGAAAGGAAGCTCTTAGGGGCTGGGGTGTTCCCTTCTTGGAAGCACCCAAAGGCTTCTCTCTGTCAAAGCCCCAACTCACCGATACATGTGTGATACTTCCCAGGCTGCAAGCACATTTCTTTCCTCGATGGGTTCTTACAAGCACCCTAAGAAGGACGGGGAGAAGCAGCACCGTTTACAGGTGAGGTCACAAGGAACTTAGCACAGGGCTTGCCACATCATTGGGACTCAATTCTTATTTGTCAAATGAATTACTGAATGACTAGATATTTGGATGGATGGATGGATGGATGCATTTCTGGAGGGATGGCTGAGTGACAGGAGAGTGGACTTGTGCTTCCGTGTCGGGATGCACAGACGGTGTCGGCTTCCTACACTGAAATCATATGAACTCTGGCCAAGCCCTGGCTCCACTGAGAGCCTGAACTCAACTCCCAAGACCATTATTTGAAGTCCCCTCATCCTATGCCTGCCCTGTAAGTCCCCATGCTCCACGGAGTCAGGGCAGAAGCAAGCACTTCACAGACAGGGAAAGGGGACTGGGCCTTGGGTGGGTGGGGATGAGGCCACCATCTCCTGTCCTCTGCTCTGACAGGTCCCGCTGTTCCTTGGAGAGGCCTGCCATTCCTTCCTGGGGGAAGAGTGCCCTATCCCTTCTCTCCAGTGGATTATCAGTGGCGGTTCCTCCACTATTTATAGCCTGCCGCCTCTCTGCCCCACTCTGGCCCGGCTGGGAAGTGAGCACCACAACCTCTGATCGGATTTCTCTTTTCTGGGTTTGAGCTTACACGGAAGTACAGCATCCTCAGAGGCCACAGCTTCTGAGCCTCACGGGTGCCTGATCAATGCTCCTACTTTTAGCTGAAGGTTGGAACCAATTAACCGTGTTAGCCTCTGCCTCTGAGGGCTGTGTCTGCAGGTGTGGCTGGGGCCTGCCAGGGTTACGGCCCTGCAGCCTCAGCTCACCATGTCTTGGCGGTCAGAGCCAGCTGCCACACTGCTCACACCACCTCTAGGTGGAAACTGGGGCCCAGACCTGGGCCTGGGTACAGCTGGAATGTCACCTGCGCGTTCTAGCAGCCTGTTCCTGAGTCCTGCCTCCTGTGCCTGTGGCCAGGCTGCCCTGTCTCCATCCCCAGAGGAGGCAGCCCAGCAGCCCACCTCCCTCCAGCCAGTCACAGCTCTGAAGAGGTGGGATGGAGGAAGAATAGTTACAATGGGTGGTCCCGAAGTCCAGAGGCGAAGGGTTCAGCTCCCCTGTTCTTGTGTCTTTACCAGGGGATGGAGGCTTCCCTGGGTGAATGTGAAGTGTCTGCCCATTCACAGTCTCCTCACTCATCTTTGGTGAAGATCTTAGAAAGCAAGTCAGAGAGGAGAGGGAGGGTGGGTCAGTGCCAAGCAATTCACATTGGCTTTTGGCCCCATGCTAGACCCTCTGAGGGGTGAAGGGATAGGAAAGTGAGTGAAACATGTTGGTCTTTTACGGGCCCCAGGCCATGGAGATGACAGCCACACTTAGATCTCAGTGATGCATGGCAGACTCTATTCTCTAACAGGACTCCAAAAGTGCCACCAGGAAGAAGGAGTGAAATTTTAACTGGGGGAGTGGGTGAGGGGGCCTGAGGATGAAGGCTGAGCTTGAGGAAGTGAACACGGAGCTAGGGTGGCCCAGGCAGAGGGTCATCTCCAGATGAGCATGGTGGCAGGAGAGACAGAGCACCTTTGGGAAGCAGGAAGTGGTCTGCTGAGGGTATGGCATGCAGAGTGGGACAGGAGTTCTTAGGGGCAGCAAGGCAGGTCGCTAGGTAGAAAGGAGGCTGAGGCCAGGGAAAGGAGTTTGGGTCTTCTTTTTTGGCAATGGGGAGCTATTGATGGTTTGGGGCAGGAGCTTAATGGACCATGTTTCAGGAAGAATCTTTTGGTGTTCTGTGTGTTCATGTGTGTGTGTAAAACTTTGCTGAGAAAGACAACATTTCACAAATAAGGATCCATCCCTCCCAAGTGCATTCTCAAAGATGGCCTAGAAGAATGGAAAATCTTGGTATTACCTGTAGTTTCTCCTGGGGACACCAAAAACTTCTTTGGTAGTTTTCAGCTCTTGCCTTCATGTCCTTTGTCCTCCTCTCCCTGGGGACCCCCATATTATGGAGGGAAGTGCTAGCCTGGAGGCCCGGTGGTGGAGGTATCTGTCATCTGGCCTCCCTCTCTTGCCATCGCTCCCTTCCTGAGTTTGTGCAGGGGAGGAAGGCGCTGGGATGCTGCCTGTCAAATATCTCTGCAGGTGAGGAGCTGTGCACAGCATTCATCTCAGGAGCAATTTAGACCTCCAGGTCTCATCAGGAAGGAGGGGTATGAACCGGGCTTCTTGAGGTCGCTATGGTAACCAGTTACAGTCTTAGCTGATGGCAGGGAGGGAGTTGGGAGTCAGGGGCTGAGTCACCCTGAGGGGGAGGCTGTCCCTGGGTGGGTGGGGGGGATTCAGGTCAGACAGAGGGAGGGGCTGCTGACAGCAGCGTAACCCTTTGACATCCAGAGCTGCTCCTGAAGGAGGGCTGTCTAACTCGGGGATTGTCACATGTGTATAGGTTTGAAGTCCACGCCCAGAGGACCGGGGTTGTGCACCTTTGTCATTTCAGGTGCCTGGGGACAGGTATAACAGAGGAGATGGGAACAGGAGAAATAGATGGGCTCTCAGAATCCCTCTCAACCTGGCCTCAGCCAGCTTTCCTCCTCTCTGAGCACAAGCTACACCCCAGCACCCACTGTCATCTCAGGATCCGGGGATCCAGCCCCACAAAACTGCTTCCTGGCCCAGGAGGAACCAGGCCCTCTATTCCTATGGGCACCTACTGGTGCCTCTGACTGATGTGGTTTTTCTTCTTCTGGGAACCTCAGCCCGTCCTCAGGACCCAGGTCAAATGCCTGCCCCTCTCGTGTTTCCCAGCACCCCTCCCTGCCCTCTCCCAGGGCACTGCCACATGGATCAAGTGAGGCTCTGTGTGGGTGTCTCTGATGCCCACCATAATGTCAGCCCCTCTCGAGCAGGCCCAGGGTCTCTGAGTGCCGGAACCCAGCCACAGGCAGCTGCAACAGGCTCAGCAGATGCTTGAAAGAATGAACAAATGTCGTGTTACTTGCAGGCAACCTTGCAGCCCTGGAGCTGCGCTCAAACTGCCTGCAGCCAGCACTTGAGTTTCCAGGCTAAGCTGCCGTTGTGGTTAGTTCCAGGGATTTAAAGCACTTTACAGTTTGCCCGGCGTAAGCAGCTGAAAACCTGCAGCTTCGTGTCTATTGAGGAGGTTGCCAAAGCCTGGGTACTGTCCTGGCCAGCCTGGGGTCCGGGTTGTCCCTTCAGGACATATACCTATATCTATACGCATATCCATCCATCTACCTCCTATCTACCCACTGCCTACCTATCTGTGGCCTATCTATACGTGTTACAATGTTATATATCATCTCTATCTATCTCTGTCATCTATATGTATCTATCATCTATGCCTTTTTATCATCTATAACTATCATCTTTATCCAACCATCTATCATCCACATCGTATCAATCATCCATCTGTCTATGATCTATCCATATGTATCTATCCATATGTATGCAAATCTCTACCATCTACATCTTTCATCTTATCAGTCTATCTAATCTATCCGTCTAATCTCTATCTAATCTCTCTAATCTATCTCTAACCTGTCTGTCTATCTAAAGGAAAGGTGACTTGCTCGCTGAAGATCTGGGTGGTGGAGGGTCTCCGAGGAGGTGAAATTGAGGAGGGAACTGGAAAAACAGAAGAGGAGAGGCCTTTTGGGCTCGGCTGGCCCGAGAGAGAAGAGTGGTGGGGGAGCAAGGACGCGCCGGCTCAGAGCGGGGCAAGGAGGGGTTGGGGAGCAAGCGCAGGCCAGGACGCTCCCCAGTGCTGGCCGCGGAGGCAGAGGCGGAGGCGGGGCCGGGGGCCTGGGGCGTCGTCATCCGTGGCAGTGACGAGGAGGCGGGGCCTTGGAACGCCCCCTACCGAGGGCCCGCGCTGCAGCCAGCCGGAGGGCGGCGCTGTCGGGGCGCGGACGGGGACTTCCGGGTGGCAGCCAGGCAGGGATGGTGGGAGGGAAGGCGTGGGCGAAGGCGCTACCCGCTTTGAAGCAGAGGGCTCAGGATCTAGCTTGTTGTCTGCGCCTCGAGAGACCCCGCCCCCAGACCTGCGCTACTCCCG